>NC_000002.12:8191818-8494848 GCF_000001405.40 Homo sapiens | reverse complement strand
GCAGCCTTGAAAGGGAGGGAGGGCCCTGGGTTGGAACACAAGGAGGATGTCAGGAGGTGAGCCTGGAAAGTCGCCAGCTCATGGAAGGCAAGACCATGGGATGTGGATTTTATTCTCTGAGGAGAGGAGCCACTGGAAGGTGGCAGTGGACGTCATGGGCTGAATCATGCTCCCCAACCCCACTGCAAAAGCTGTGTGGCAGTCCCAACCCCCAGGGCCTCAGAATGTGGCCTCATTTAGAAATAGGACTGGGGGGTAATTAGTTAAGATGAGGTACTGGAGTAAAGTGTCCCTGTAAGAGGAGGGGAAGGCATAGAGAAACAGGGAGACGCCATGTGAGGACAGAGGCCGGGACAGAGGCACCGCAGCTGCAGGCCAGGGAAGGCAGGGCCTGTCGGCCACAGTGGTGGCCAGAGAGGGAGGCAGGATTCTCTTCCACAGGGATCAAAGGGGGCAGGGCCCTGCCAACAGCTTGGTGTTGCACTTCTGGCCTCCAGAACTGTGAGAGGATGCGTTTCTCTTGTTTTAAGCTGCCCAGCTGGTGGTGCCTTGTCATGGCAGCCCCTGGAAGTGAATCCCCCGGGGGTGGGGCGCACGGATGCCACTGTCTGATGACCCTCTCCCCTGGTGCTCTGCTTGGCCTCGAGCCCCCAGTGGTGGGCATGGGCCACATCTCAGCTCACTGCCCCCTGCCAATGTTTGCACCATCAGGGGGCTGCTGTTTTCACCTTAGCCCAGATGGACGCCCCCACCTCTGATAACCTGTGGATTAGGTTGACAAAAGCTTCAATTCTTTTTTTATTTTTCTGGGAAGAGATACAGGTTTGGGAAGACATGCTGTTATACAAAGAGGTTTCTTTCTTTTTCTTTTTTTTTCTTTAAGGGACAGAGTGTGAAAGTCCTTGTGGGTGAACAGGGGGAATATTCCAGAGGAGGTGCTCAGGTCAGAGAGGAGGAAGGAGGCAGGGACATTGATGCTGCTAACGTTGCACTTGTCGATAGCAGTGTGGTGACTCTGACAGTCTTGTGCCTGATTGAGGAGAAACGCAATGTGCTGCTGACTGCATGTAGTTAAACCAAAGTTTGTGTAGCTACTTCTACATGTTAGGATAAACAAACAGAATTGGGGGGCTGGTTCCAGCTTAGCATGGCGACCTGTTTTAACCTAGCTTGGCCAGAGTCACATCTAGTTGAGGGAGGTGGCTGCGTTATTGAAAGAGATCATTAAAATCACTTTCCTGTTTCCCACTGTGTCCTGCCCAACCCGTCTCCCTCCCACCTCCATTCCGGCTCCTTCATCAGCCTGTTTGTTCAGAGGAGGTGGAGGAAAAAGTCACCCTTGCTGGATATTGATAGAAGGGCTGCCTGTGTCTTGCACACTAAGGACATTGTTTAAGATGGTGCCACCTCTATAAAAATATTGGTTCTGTATTGTTGCCAAGATTTCTGAGTTATCTATCAACCAGAACTCCTTGTGCAAACTCAGTCTGCTTTCTGACAGGTTTAATCAGCACACATTCCTTTTTAGAAAACGTTCACAGTATTTGCGAGCTTGTCTTCTCTTCCTCCCTGTGTGCCCCAGCAGTCCTGGGGTGGCAGCTGCGTGAAGCTGTTCATCTGGGGCAGGACAGGGTAATTACAACATGAAGATGGGCAGGAGAATTCTCTCTCCAACAGGTTGGGAGAGAAATCATCTCCCTTTCGGGCCAGGCGCAGTGGCTCACACCTGCAGTCCCAGCACTTTGGGAGGCAGGGGCAGGAGGGGCACGAGGTCAGGAGATCGAGACCATCCTGGCTAACACGGTGAAACCCCATCTCTACTAAAAATACAAAAAAATTAGCTGGGCGTGGTGGCGGGTGCCTGTGGTCCCAGCTACTTGGGAGGCTGAGGCAGGAGAATGGCATGAACCCGGAAGGCGGAGCTTGCAGTGAGCCGAGATCGCGCCACTGCACTCCAGCCTGGGCGGCAGAGTGAGACTCCGTCCCCCCAAAAAAAAAAAAAAAGGAAATCATCTCCCTTTCAGACTCGCATGTCTGTAGAGAATATCTTTAGCCAACGATTAAAAGCAAAAGTGTCCTCGTCACTCTAGAAGACCTCAATTCACCTGACCTCCAGTGTTTAGATTCTGGGACTCTCAGCAAAGTCAACGTTTTGAACTGCAGGTATCCACTGGCTTGGAGAGGAAAATGTAGTGGCATTTCCTTGGATGTAATCGCCTTGAAAAACAAGAGTGTTGCAGTTCCGAGGCACTCAGCGAACTCTGCAATGTGTTTTTGTAAAATAATTCTGTACAGAAAGGCAGACTGACCGGTGAAATTTATCTGAGAACAAAGTTATCATTTCAGCCATTAATCTATTTGGGATCAGAAAAGGTTATTTCCAAGTTCTAACAATAATAAGAAGCTCAAATCTCACCTAGACATTAGATTAACATTTCTAAAAATTTAAGCATGGTCAGAAGTTAATTATAAAACATGCTGGACCTTTACAGTCACTGATTTAATATAGAGAGTATATAAAGACAATAACTGGATAGAAATTACCAGATAAATTTCCCCCTGCCTTTCCTCCAAGAATGTGCCTCCATTTATTAGAAACCCCCATGTCTCTTATAAATGGCTATTTTAATTTATGGATTTACAGTAGGGAGGAAATTAATTAACACGAAGTTGGAGCAGTTCCAACACGAAGTTGGAACACGACTGGGAAGCTGGCACTTGGGCCCATTACTTCTCTGCTCCTGACTGACTGTGTGACATTGGCCAAAGCAGTTAACCTCTGTGGGGCTCAGCTTCTCCATCTGTAAAAGAGGAATATTGCTTCTCAGCTGCCCTGCAAGGGGTAAAAATGCATGAACCAGCACATGGGAAGAGAAAGGAGAGGGCTCAGAGACGGGGTGAAGGCAGCAGGGAATAATAAACGGCTCCCATTTATTTCCCAGACCTTGAAGTTTGGGCCATACTCAGGGCTGATGTTTGCAATCCGCAACGCCAAGTTGACTTGGCCTGTTACTTGAAAATATGGAGGGCAAATATTAACTCAAGATAATGCAGCACGAGCAACGCAAAGGCCAGTTAACCTGAAAAAAGAAGAAATCACCATAGTTTAAAACGATGACACACGATGGCTCCCGGGATCGCTCATAAATTTCTGCTTTGTGGTAGCAAGAACATGTTCAAGGAATTAGTGCTGGGGTATCTCAGGGCAGCTTTCTAACCGCGTCTGATCTGTACGCTGTCCCCATTTGCCAAAACTCTTCATCGCCGATAAGGTGCTTGTTAGAGAAACGGGAACTAAATTTATAATCGGCTTTTGTGAAGCCAATTTACATGTTGTACTGCTGGAACTTAGAACTAAAGGGAATGTGCTTGAAGCCAAAATTGGCTTTGTGGCTCCAGTTTCCTCAGCTCAGCACCACCTGCCTCCAATCAAACTGTCCAATTACAGGAAACAATTGTTTTCTTGCTTTCTGGGAAGTGAAGAAATTCATCCAGTAAAGGACTGATTTCTAAATGCTTCTTTTTTTCCTTCTTAAAAAGAAAAAAAAAAGAAGATCAGAAAAGACCAACAAATCCAAAACATCAACATTGTTTGGGGAAGAAAGTGTTTCCCTAACAAATTGCCTTCAAAGTTCAAAAACCAGAATATTGCCATCTACATACGTTGGTGTTACTGACCACAGATAACTGCTCTGTAATTACCTCTTATAATAACATTATTAGCCATTCAGAAGAAAGATTCTCTCTTTTAACGTGAGGCAGTAATTAAAGGCAGTGAATTTCACAGGTGAAATCTTGCAGAAAGTATGATTCTGAAGTCAAAGAATTTAGTGATCCACCTCTGCCTAATTAAACTTTCGTCTCAAAATAAAATCTTATATTTGAAACAATGAAATCAGGGCAATGATACTATTTATCTTTGAGGCCAAGTCTCGTTTCTTTAAGCCCTAATTTGACTTTCTACAGCTTATTTCCCTGAAATGGTTAAGATGGCAGCAGAGAAGTTGAAAAGAATATAAACCGCTGGTCACATGTAGGTGGTATTTAGTATGCATTGAGCATAGATGACAATTATAGTACATTCTTTCCTCTGGCAGGTAATATTTTAATGGAACTAACAAACTTCACTTGGCTTGTTTCTACTTCATCTCTTGAGTTTCTGTTTTTAAAAATAAAACAGAACTGCTCAATATTTTATGATTCAATAAAAATAATGACCTCATGGAAACCACTTACTGGCATTTTTCTTATCATTCCTCAGTAGTGCATTGGCCTTACTGAGGCAACCTCCAGAAGCTTACATTTACATTGACTTTGTGCTCCACTAGGAATTCGCTTAAGTTATTCAGGGGAATAATTCCACTCCATTCCAAGGGAGTTCTCTGGTGCACAGGATATTAGCTTCTAAGAATACTGCTTGCCTCCAGGAAGCCTTCCTGGGTCAGATCAGCCAGGGGCGAGCTCTCACTTTCCTGCCCTGGCACTGGCCCTGCATGGGCCTCTGTCCCAGGTGGTGGTTTGACTTCTGCCTTGTAGTGTGGCCCTCAGTGAACAGGACTCACTGAGGACCAGGCAATCACTCTTTCATTTGCTAGAAATGAGAGAGTGGATGCTTGGTGCTTGGTAAAATGAATGAAAGCATGATCTTCCTCCTATTTTTCTGGGTATTTTTTCTGAGGTCCCTCAGGGGCCTTTTCTCTTCTCCATGTCCCCTTGGACTCTTTCCTTAGCACCTTTTCTTAGATTCTGCACACACCTTGGGTGGTCGCATGCACCCCTGTGATTTCACCTATAAGTGGCGGTCCCCAAACCCAGAGGCCTGTGTTCTTATCCTGCTCTACGGAAAACTTGGGGGTGGTATTAGGGGCCGTGGTAGATAAACAAAGGGGCTTCGGAATTGGATTCCCCTGTGCTGTGTCTGGGTCATCCATGCACGAATGTGGGGCCTTGCTTAACATCCGTAAGCCTTAGTTTTCTTACCAAATAGGAATGCATGATACCAGCCAGAAGTACCTGGAGCTGCTAAGCGGAAACCATTGTTCATACATCACCAGCCCAGGTGCCTTCCTGAGCTTTAGATGCAAAAAGTACATTGCTTGCTGTCTGCAAACCCTAGATCTACCATAACTGGCATGGTAGCCAGTTGCACATGTGGTGATGAACGTTAATTAAAATGAAATGAAGTTTAAAATTCAGCTCCTCACTTGCAGTAGCTGTATTTCACATATGTGACTCACGGCTATTGTATCAGACAGGGCAGAATTACAGAACATTCTAGAACATAGCACAGAAGAATTCCCACGGGGCAGTGTTGCCTGTTGCCCTAGATCTTCCACTGGTGTCTCAGCTTAGACCTTCTCTGTTAGTGCCCTCCTTCCCCATGACTGGCCCTGCCATCCACCCTGCTGTGCAAGCTGGCCACCATGGGCCGGCCTTGGATGGGCACGCTAGGCTGTGGTTAACAGGGGACCCTGGAAGCCGACGGCCTTGTACTGCATGTCATGGCTCTGTGGTCTCAACTGCTTTTTGTCTCTGTTTTCTCTTCTGAAAAATGGGGACTATAACAGCTCCTGCGGCAAGGGATTTTGAAGATGATAAAATAATGCAAGTTAAGTGCTTAGTGGGTACAGCGTAGGCGGCACGCGCCCAGCCCATCATGATCATCTGTGATTGTCCTGGAGCTCTCCTCCCTCCTTCTCACATGCAGCCTCCAGCTTGGTTAGCCTGCAAACCTCCAATCAGTCAGTGCCTTCCCTAGGGTGGCCCAGCTGCCCACTGTGATCCTGCAGCCTCTCACCCTGCTCCCGGGCTGCAGGCTGCCTGCACCATCCTTTCAGACGCATGCATCTGATCAGGTTCTGTCTTTGCCAGAAAGTCATCCAACAAGTCTCTTGTGTCTTAGGGCACAGTTCTGCCTCCCTAGCACAGCAGGTGGGCTCAAAGAGGGCCCACCGCCCCTCTTCCACCTCCCACAGAGGGAATGGGCCTCTCTGTCTCATGTCTTTGGACACATTGCTTTCTCCCCTTGATGCATCTCTCTGCTCTCGCCCCAGCTCCATCTTGCTCTCTTTTCTTTTTCTCCTCCTTGTCATCCTTTGCACTCAGCTCAGCTAAAGCGCACAGCCCTGAGGGGTCCCTCCCTGCACATCCCAGCTGGGCCCTCCAGCCTCACACGAAGCTCCTGGGAATCCTCTGATTCTGCATCCTCGGGGCCTGGTGCTTGTTTCCATCCCAGCCACCGGGAAGCGGTTTCTCCAGAGCAGGGGCTAGCATGACTTAGCTTTGTTTCCTGGGGCCTGAAGCCCAGTAGGCATCGGGAGGGGTCTGGGAGGATCTTCACGGCATGAATAGACCCGCTGGCCACAGCCGATTCTGTGTTCCTTCCCCACGTGTGCTGCTGTCCCCACAAAAAATGCATTTCGGATGCTGAATATCCACGCCTCACGGTGCTCTGGTGACTAGGGGGATCCCTGTGAGATGGGGGCTTTCCAGCAACCTAGATAATGAAACCACAGAGCAGCCTTCCCCTGCGGTGACCTAGTTCTTAATTCCTGTAGTTTCAACACTCATCACAGCAGAATTCTGATGAGGCTGGGCTCTTTCGCAGCTGGCATTTGATGAGAAAAGGGAATTGAAATGTAGGTGATTGATTTGGACCTGGAGAAGCTGATTGGATGTCACCCTGTTCTTCCCGACAATGGGGACCGGTCTGTGCAAAGGGGACTTCCTGTGACCCCTGCGGGTCCACCGGAAGTTCTGATTTCTCCCCGTGGAATAGGGGCGCGAAGGCTGCCCTGTCACACACGGCCCAAGAGATTGATTACCTGGGCTCTGGCAGCCTCTCTGGGTGAGTTTCTCAATTAGAATGAAAAATCTCTAACAATTCTTCACCCAGATCCTCATTTGTCTTTTTAGAACTGAAGCAAAAATTGAACTCTCTGAGTTGGCTTAATGGAGTTCATCCAGGAGGCCGTGGGGCTGGTGGCTGCAGCTCGTGGGCTGATGGGCACACGTGCTTTCCTCTCCAGTCAGAGAAGGGCTGAGCGGGCAGGCTGGAGCCCGCCGTGCCTCTGGGGGATCACGTCCATACAGCCGTTTAGCAGGAAAGGGAAGTGGAGACGCTAGCATGGCAGGTTTACTTTTCTCCCCCTTTTTCTCTTGGTGAACCTTACTCAGCACAAACGTCCCCTCCCCTAAGGAATCCTTTCCTGCCAATTCCCATCTCTTCCCAAACCGCATTGGCCCAGGCTTCCCTCCCGCGGCCTCACTTGGCTCTCTCCAAAGCCCCCGTCCGACAAATTCTCTTATTGGGTGAGGTTTCCTGGTCACTGCTCAGCAACCTGGCAGCCCCTGGAGGGCAGAATGTGCCCCGTGGAGTGCCTGGGATCTGTAAGGAATAAGGGGAGCCATGCAGCCGTTGTCGGCCCCGGCTGCCCAGTGAACTGTTAGAATCTTCTGAGGGGTTTTAAAATAAAACGCAGAAGCTGGGGCCCCACACTGGACCAATGGAATCAGAAACTCTTAGGAAAAGACCTGGGAACCAACATTAAAAAAAATATCCGGCCGGGCGAGGTGGCTCACGCCTGTAATCCCAGCACTTTGGGAGGCCGAGGAGATAGAGACTATCCTGGCTAACACAGTGAAACCCCGTCTCTACTGAAAAATACAAAAAAATTAGCCGGGCGCGGTGGCGGGTGCCTGTAGTCCCAGCTACTCAGGAGGCTGAGGCAGGAGAATGGCGTGAACCCAGGACGCGGAGCTTGCAGTGAGCCGAGATCGCGCCACTGCACTCCAGCCTGGGCGACAAAGCGAGGCTCTGTCTCAAAAAAAAAAAAAAAAAAAATCCCTTAGGTGTTTTTATTTGCAGGCGGGGAGAAGAACAACTTGGAACAGCAGAAACGGGCCTTTGGAATCTGACTGCTTGGGCTGGGATCGGGGCTTCCCTCTTGACTAACTTGGCTTTCTTCATAAAGGTTCATGTCAGGGAGCTGTCTGCCAGGTGAGGTTGCTCGGTTCTAGATAGGATGTATAAAGCACCTGGAGTAGAATGTGCACCCAGTGACTTTTATTCCTGTGGTTGCAAATGCTTGGTGGACATCAGGCATATGGAGTCGGTGGTAGGCAAGATCTGGTTTGAGCAAGTTACCAAATATTTGAATGTGGGTGGGTTGCCTTTTCTGAGTCTCAGTTATCTCATTTGTGAAAAGGGCTTGATAAGATTGCCCACATATCCAAGATGTGGAAACAACTAAGACAATGTCTGTGGATAGATGAGTACATACAGAAAATGTGGTCCATCCATACAATGGAATATTATTCAGTCTTTAAAGAGGAGGAAATCCTGCAATATGCAATGACATGAATGAAACTTGAGGACAATTATTGCAAGTGAAATAAGCCAGTAATAGAAAGACAAATACTGCATGATTACACTTATATGAGGTCTCTAAAATAGTGAAATTCACAGAAGCAGAGTGTGAATGGTAGTTGGTTACCAGGGGTTGGAGAGGCAGGAAGTGGGGAGTTACTAATCAATGGGCATAAAGTTTCAGTCAAGCGAGATAAATAAGGTCTGGAGATCTACCGTACCGCATTGTACCTATAGTCAACAATAAAGCATCGTGCACTTAAATATTTATCAGGAGGGTAAATCTCATGTTTAATGTTCTTACCACAATAACAAAATTAATTGCATGGTAAAAAGAATATGATCCACATCATAGACATGTAAGCATTCAATGAGCCAAGACATTCAAGTAATAAGTATTTGATAACCGGTAGTTATTTATTGTTATTGTTATTATTAGACTGCTGGCCAAGTGGGTGAAGAACATAGGGTAAATGCCAACTGATGTTTATAGGGGCAAAAACAGTTAGATGATGATATATGACTTGTGGTTATTTGGACTTCCCTTCTAAAGCATATCTCTTGAAGCCTTGAACTTCAAGGAAACACCTCACACCTTGATTTTTGACCTTCATAAATCAAAATATTGATTAGACCTTGTCTTTATTATGTAACGTTAGATTGGTGAACTCCCAGTACATTTATGGAGTCAAAATACATTTTCATTTGGTAATTTCTGTTAACAAGGCAAAAAGCTTTCTTAAATAAACAATTATATTTTTAGGGAAGTGTAAATTAAAGCACTATTCTTAATTTTGCTAAACTTGTCCTCCTTCTAAACTGTGTAATTTACTCTGATGCTCTCCCTGTTCTTGTAACTGCTAAATTATGAAGCTCTTAGCCAGCCCTCAGTTTGAGCTGTTAGACGCATATGAATGTGATAGAGCTTTGGTTTGGGATCTAGGGCTGTGGACTGGGAGTCAGAGTTTGAGGTCTGGTAGTTGAGCCGCTGCAGCCCATGCACTTTCTCCCCAACCGAGGTTGATGGAGTTGAGGAGGCCACGATCCACATGTGGGCTGTTCAGCCTTCCAGTACGAGGACGGATGGATGAGTGGATTCTAGCCATGATAAAACAATCAAATGCTGAAAAATTATGGAGAAAATTATGAATATCTAATTCATTTGTCTGTTGGCTCAGGATGGGTTGGCTCAGAGCTGCCATCAGAGGGATAATCTGAACTTCCTCCCCAAGTACTCCCAGTTATTTCTGGCATCTTCCCAGACCCCCTAAACCAGGTCACTTGGGGTCATTGGGATCGTTCTCTCTATCCAAGACTGGTGCTTGTGAATAAACTAGCAGGTATCTTGTTGCTGTCTCAGTCTGCTTCAAGAAGGCCACCGTCCCAGGCATGATGTTACCTTCAAGGGTTCCCCAAATTTCCAAACCTCAGGGGGCCAGAGGGGTGCTAGGCTTGCTGCAGACACAGAATGAGTGAGCTTTTCCCAGTGATTCTAGATCTGAAGCAGATCTGCTCTCCAGAGGCCTCCCCTGTCTCTTCTTCCACTTGGGGAGAGAAGCCTGGGACCAGCTGGGGAAGACACACCATAAGCCCCCTCTGTTGTCCGCTGGACTCTCCTTTACTGACGACCCCTTCTACTCTCCTGAGTACAAAATAATAACTCCCTTGTGCACCTCTGGGTGCAGACAGGTACTGATGTTTGTGTTTGGGGGAGGGTGTGGCAGTCTAGACCTTAGCTCTGCCAGCTAAAACTCCCTGTTACATACGCATAATTCAAACCAAGCTCATTAAGCAACCACCAAAGATAGCCTAACTTGGTAATGCCTTCCTCGAGAGCAATTTGGCAATGTTGATCAAGAGCCTTAAAAATGTTCACAGCCTTTTACTCAGCGTTTTAACTCTTAGGAATTTATTCTCAGGAAATATTCAGGTAGGTTCATCAAGATCTATGTTCAAGGATTTTTATTTTAAAATTTATCTCACTAATACACATGTAAAATTAGAAATTCACAACTTTAATGTCCATAATAGAGGAATAAATAAATCTGGTGTTTACATATATGTAATAAAATATTTTAAAGCCATTAAAATCACATTGAAGAGTAGTTAATAATCCAGGAAGATGATAATGTTGTAATGTTAGGTTTAAACTATTAGATATAAAATTGTAGATACAGTGTAGTGCCATCATGTATCATATGCTATGTATAATACATGTTTTATATGTATTTAAAATACTTGTATTTATAATACATATAAAACATGTATTATACATAGCATATATTTATGTATATGCATGTGTATATACATATGTGTGCATGCGTGTATGCGTACATATACCAGAAAGAATGCCCTGAGATATGAAGAGTGGCTATATCTGGGGAATGGAACAATTAGAGTTAATTTACTTTTTCTTTTTCAGAATATTCTTTCTGTTTTCCCTTAAGTCTCTATAATGACCATGTATGACCTAAAACAATGCTTTACAATGATTCATGCAACAGAAGTTACCAGAATCTCAAGTACACAATTCTGCAACTGAGAAAGCAGGGTATGCTATTCCAGGCCTCCTGTGTGGGGACCTCCCAAGCCTGCTCTCCCTCTTTGGTGCCACAGACTTTGCCAAGGTGAAAAAGAGCTGGAGACCAAGAGCAGAGATGGGATGGACCTGTGTGATATGGTTTGACTCTGTGTCCCCACCCAAGTCTCATCTCCAATTTTAATCCCCACGTTTCAGGGGAGGGACGTGGTGGGAGGTGATTGGATCATGGGGGTGGTTTCCCCTATGCTGCTCTTGTGATAGTGAATGAGTTCTCATGAGATCTGATGGTTTAAAAGTGTTTGGCAGTTACCACTCCTGACTCCTGCTGCCATGTAAGATGTGCATTGCTTTCCCTTCACCTTCCACCACGATTGTAAGTTTCCTGAGGCCTCCCTAGCCATGTGGGACTGTGAGTCAATTACACCTCTTTCCTTTACAAATTACCCAGTCTTGGCTATTTCTTTACAGCAGTGTAAAAATGGACTAATACACCATGTCTGGAGCCTGGTGCCCCAGACAGCCACCATCCCCCATACTCTGGGGCCCTAAAGTGAGATGCCCTGACTGCTTCCAAGGCTCTGACTTTGTCTCAGGACTGTGCCTTATTTCCTGGACTAGTCCAGTGTCCTAGGGGGTAGTGGACAGCAGAAAGAAGACTCAGTCTGCACTGGCGCCCCAGCTCCACTACATAAATGACCTGGGAGGCAGGTCTCCTCACCTGTAAAATGGGGATAATAATACCACCCACAGGATTATAAGCGAGATGACATATGAAAAGAGCTTGGTGTTGTACCATATATATAGTAAATGCCCTGTCATTGGTGTGTGTGCATACCTTGTGTATGCATGTGTTGTGTGTGTCTCTCTGTGCGCTTTCCCATCTGATAAATGTCATCCAAAGTCATTTTCAGCACTCACTTCTTAGAGCTTTGGATTAATTTATGTGTAGTATTCCTACTGGACCTATGCCGGGTAGAGTACATGGGAGTTTCTTGGTTCTGAGGAAGAGGAGGGAGTCAACAGCTCCATGTGGACACAGTTGCTCTTGCTCTCCTCTCTTCACAGCAGAAGTGGGGGATGACTGCTGGCCAGCCCTGAGGACTCTCCCTCTCCACTCTCCTCACAGTCATGAGGCTGGACCATAGCTGCCTTCAGCGACCCCGATGTCCAGGTGCACCTGCTGAGTGGAAAAGTCAATAAACAGTTGCAAATACAAATTGACTCAATGAGGGAATGATAAACTTGAGAGGAGGCTAACATTAGCATCATCCTCACCATCACCATCATCACCGTCACTATCACTATCACTGTCACCATCATCATCACCATCACCATCATTATCACCATCACCATCATCATCACAACATAATGAACAGCTGGGTGTTCACCTGGAAGCTCAGAGCCTGGTGTGGCCTGGGCCCTCCCTTTGCAGCTGGTTCCCTCCTTCTGGACTTTTAAGTGCCTGGAAACTGCCAGGTTTGCACTGGACTGTACCCCTTTCGGGAAACCACTGCTGTCACTGTTAGGTGACCTGGCTGGAAAGGAGGATGTCTGGGTGACAGGGCTTGTGGGCCATCCTGGCTATAGGAGTACGTACCATTGCAGAATCATCCCACACTGGCACCATCAGGGCCATGCAGGCAAGAACAACATAGCATGAGGCCAAATGCAAATTGTTTTAAAACACACAAATGAGCTTGGTTCAGGTGGTGCCAAAGAATTCTCTATTTCAGCAGAGAGATATTTTGTGCACTTTTACTACTATCATCCAATAAAAATGCAACTGTTCATGGAGTCATTAAGCTGTACTTTTAGGAGATGCTGTCAAGGAAAACGGGCCACAAATTTAATCTGATTTGCTAAACTGATTTTAGTTACTCCTGTCAAAGCCACATCAAACCTTCAAATCTGTGTGCTTTCTTTTGCATCATGAAATTGTTACCCTGAACACTTAGAATCAATTTGATTTGGGGATACCTTTAGTCACTCAAAGTGCCTATGTGCACTCAGGCATGTGATGTGGTTCCTGACCACAAGGAGCTATGGGGAAAGATGACGTAAGATAGAATGTGAATGGGAAAACAGGTAGCATGGGCTGGAGGTACATGGTGGGTCAGGAAGGGAGGAGATGGTGCTGGCTGCCATATGACAAGCACCTCCTCTGTCCAGGCCTGAATTGAGTGTTTAACCGTGCAGCCACACAGAACCCACGCCGAGAAGGGTCCTACACTGATGTAATGCTCTGCTGCCTCTGTTTGGAAATTCTTAGTAATTATGAACATGGCACTCTGCATTTTCATTTTTGCACCAAAGCTGTTTCCTTTTCTTTCTGCACACACAGCCAGACCATATCTTCCAGCCTCCCCTGCGGTCAGGCATGGCCATGTGGCTGAGTCTGATGGATGGAGGGTGAAAGCCATCTGCATGCCCAGCCCAGAAGCGTCTCTGTGCAGGAGTCTTTAAAACACATGAGCTTGGTTCAGGTGGTGCAAAGAATTCTCGATTTCAGCAGGGCGGTATGTTGTGCACTTTTACTGCTGTCATCCAACAACAATGCAACTGTTCCTGGGGTCACTAAGTTGTCCTTCTAGGAGATGCTGCCAAGGACAGCAGACCAGGCTCTTTCCCCCTTTGGTTAATTGGGGTCTGACCATCAGGGCAACTGTGGAAGCCAGGTTTTGAAGATGGTACAGCCTGTGCTTGAGTCTCAATAACTGCATGGAGCAGAGCTCCCTGTGCCCACTGCTCCCTTGTCCCAGCCACTTGGAACTGCCCTGGACTCTCACACGAGCATAACAGGCATCTCTGTGTTGAGTGACCGCAGCTTCAGATCTGTGGTGCCTGCAGCCTGGCCCGTGTGAATGCCTCATTTTCAGAGGAAGGAGCTTCCTCAGAAGTTTCCCAGCGGACTTCCTCTCTCAGCTTGTTAGCCAGAATTATGCCTTATGTTTTTTCCCAAACCTGTCTCATCAAGGAGAAGGGAATTGCTACGATCAGCTTGGATGAATGAGGACTTACTCCCTAGGGCCAGGGAGGGCCCTGGTCACCCCAAGCCCAGGGCTGTCCACACCTGAGCAAAACTGGGCTTTGAATCACCGGGTCTGGCAGGGACTTGTCACTGAGTAGGCAGCCAAATAGTGTCTGGGGAGGAAGAAACACTTTAAAAAAAATTTTAAAATTTTAAAAAATTTAAACCATATTAAATGACAATGACCATATTAATTTTTTGAGGAACAATAAAATATTCCCTGTAATTTCTTGTACATTGGGGAGTGAAAAAATTATACATGTTGCATAGGTGGAGAGAAACTTTCCTGGAACTGTGAGGTTTATATAGAATTAAGAATGCCACGTGTAGGTCTTCAACCATAACTACTAGTTTTCCCACCTCTTATATGGACGCAATACATTCAAAGGAGAAGAACACACAGAGTTCCCTGGGAATTGTGATTAAAATGTGCTTAAATATCAGGCAGAGAGTGATGTGGGAAGTGGTTGATGTTGATGTTGAGTTTCTTTGGAACAGTCTACATTTTTGGACAAACGATTTTCCCGCTTTATATTTGGTTTGTATATGTCAAAGGCTGCAAGTAACAGCATATCTGACTGCTTGACTCTATGGCTTTTAAGTAATGAGGAGTTTATTTTTCCTCATGTAACAGGAAGACTGGAGGTCAGTGGTTACTGGTGCTGGTTCATAAACTCGGTGATATTAGCACTAACCTTCTGCAGTTTTCTTAGAATTCTTCTCTTGTTTGCAATATGGCTGTTGGAGCTGCAGTGGTCACGTCTGGGGCAGAATGAAGATGTTTGGGGCAGGAGAGACATTTTGAACCTCATCTGTCTCATTTTACCAAGAATCCAAAGTTTTCTAGACACTGGCCCCAAAGCAGTCTCTGGCCTTGGTGTCATGTCAGAACTGAGTGACAGCCCACCCCTAACTTCAGGGCAGGCTGGGCAGTGAGGAGTGAAATTATCAAGACTGGCTTAGACAGAGGATCAGGACCCATCGCCTGGGGCTGCTGGACCCATGGCTTTTCTGAACCCAAATGGGCTTCTTCCAGTAAGATACGACAGAGGAGTGGACACTGAGTAAGCAACAAAGAGTGTATATCACGAGCTGCCAAGGGGCTGAGGGGAGAGGAATGGTTTACATAAATAAGGCAGGTGGGATTTTTGAACCTCTCCTGGAAGTTTAAGGAGGGAGGTTTGGGGCCTGGAATACTTTTGATAAAAATAAAGCCAGAGCAAAGTGAAAACCACAGCAGAGCTCCCATCTGAGCTGGTGCTGGTGTCCAGAGCTGAATCCCACAGTCTCTGCTGCCAGCCTGTGTTCTACTGCTGAGCCAGGTCCTCTAACGTGATAGGGTTGTCATTGAGTCTCTCCAGAACAGGCTGGCGAGCGTGGTAGATTATCTCTCCAGTCAACTAGACCACTGATAAGAGGGCTCGACTTCCCTGTCGGAGCTCGTAAGGCAGGCGTGGCATTTCCCTTGCTTTCCTCTGGCCTCCCTTCATGCTTCCTTTGCTTTCCTTGCCTGCCTGGGCCATGGGGACAGCTCTGTTCACGTCTCCTCCTCTCCAGACATGTGCCTCTAGCGCAGTGCAATCCGATAAAAATGGAACGTGAGCCACGTAGGTCACTTCAAACTATCTAGCAGCCACGTTTTAAAAAGGAAAAGAAATGCATGGAAATAAAAATGATTTTAGTTAATCCATATATTAAAATATAATTTTAACATAGATTCAATAAGATTCAATAGAAACATGATTAAGATATTTTACACTTTTTTCATAAGAAGATTTTGAAGCCTGGTGTGTATTTTACACTTTACGTATTTCAATTCATATTAGTCAAATTTTGAGCAATCAATAGACACATGTGGCTAGTGGCACCATCGTGGAGGGTACTGGAGAGTACACGTGTAGAAGACAGATACCATGATATTCATCTCTTTATCTCCAGGACCTGACCAACAGTGGACCCTTCATAAGTACTTAATGAATAAATATGAACACGCTGCTAGAAACGGGCCTTTTTCAAACATAGGTATTGGCTGGGGGTGGAGGTGGGGGCAGAACAGAAAACCCTGGAACACTGTACTTGGTAATACAGAGCATGGACTTACATTCTCACACCTTGGGTAGGGCTGCATCAGCAGCTGACCCAGATACCTTGGAATTCCTTAGCTTCTTTCTGTCTCTGTTTCCTCATCTGTAAAAAGAGATAGCGACACCTGTCTTGCAAGATGCTGGGAAGATTAAATGAATAGGCGTACACCAAGTGCTAAGTACCCGACATGCCCATAAGCACTGAAGAAGCAGTAGCCACAGTTACTTTAAACCAGAGATTCTGTCAGTCATATGGACAACTCATACTTTAGTAGCAGCAGGATGGTTTGGCCAGGGCTTTCGTGCTGGTCCTGAAGTTGGCTGTGTCCCAGTGGTAGGACTCTTGTGGTATAGATTTTCTCATTTTGGGAGCACTCTTGACAAGGGGTCACGAAGCAATTTGTGGTGTTTGTCTTTTTGGCTGTAGCTGTGGAAAGTCATGTGCCAACCCTGGGGCTTAGGGTTTAGTCAGCAAGGGCACGTGTGGAATGAGGGGGGCCCTACTCTGGGAGCCCATAGTACCCCCCAAGCCTGAGGGCTCAGCTTCCCGTGGGAGCCTGGGCTGACTTAGGGCAGCCAGGCCCCTTCAGAGCAGGGTGAAGACCTGGACCCCGCTGCCTGCTGTCTGTGCCCCCTCGGCCATCCTCGTATGCTCCGCCCCTCTACCCTGTCCTTTGGACGCCCCCTGACTTTTTCCCCTAAATTGACTGAATTGAAATTTACTTGTTTGAAACAATAGAAACCACGTGTTTCCTGATCATACCTAGCTTTGAAAACAGAAAGTGGGCAAAACAAGCCAGGCGCATAGTGGCATTGAGAAAGGCAAAGGCTAACTTCATTAAAAAGCTTCTTTGTGGTATCAGGCAGGAAGTGAAACAGCTTTAAATGGCAAACATTTCTCAATCATTTAATGCACCAGTAAGCTTGGCATTCTTTCTCCTTTGTCCCCTTAAAGAAAAAGAGAGCCCAGATATAACTCAGATGAGGAGGGGGAGGGCCCGATCCTGTGTGTTGGAGGAGTTCCCTGGAGCATTGGTCCTCACCCCCATGAAGCTTCACGGGAGGACCAATGTCAGACGTGGGTGCAGAGGACAGTGCAGTTTCTCTTGTGTGGCTGAGCCTGGGCCACCCCGGATGGATCGCTGACTTCTTGTTGGTGCCACTCACCAGCTAGTTCTCTCAAATCTGTTACCATCAGAAGCCCGGTAAATGGCAAACTTTCCTTGTTAACATGTAGGTCCATTTCCTGGGGATAGTGAAACCCCAGTCCCCACAGGTAGCATTGACCTCTGTTGCCAAATGCCATTATCCTGGTGTCCACTGCATGTTAGGCTCTTTCCACAGAAACCAAAAACACAGACAAGTGTGATAGGCTGAATCCTTTCTTGAAGAAAAAAATTGCACGTACATATTGAATAGCAAACCAATCAAAATGAAAAGGAAAACCAGAAGATGGATGCCACTGATACACGCTTGCTTAGTTGCACTTTTTAAGATTCATTTATAGATGTCAAATAGGATATGAACACATGGAGGTGTGCAGTAAATACTCCTTAATTGATGAAAAGGCAGACATATATGTGAAGATTTTTAGGGAAATACTTTTTTGGGGAAATAGCAGCCAGTTTAAGTTGGTAACATAAATGGTGCCAGATGAAATCATATTGACTGAGACCAAAGTCCAGCCAATATGAAATCGCTCTCAAATGTAATGACTTTAGCATAAAAATTCTGAGTGGTTTCCCACATCTCGTTAACCTTTGTACTGCTCTGCAGCCGTAGGGGCCAGGCATTCTCATAGGGCACTAAGGAAGTGAGAGGTGTGCCTTAAGGTGTGGCTGTAACTCACATTTCTTTTTTTTTTTTTTTTTTTTTTTTGAGACGGAGTCTCGCTCTGTTGCCCAGGCCGGACTGCGGACTGCAGTGGCGCAATCTCGGCTCACTGCAAGCTCCGCTTCCCGGGTTCACGCCATTCTCCTGCCTCAGCCTCCCGAGTAGCTGGGACTACAGGCGCCCGCCACCGCGCCCGGCTAATTTTTTGTATTTTTAGTAGAGACGGGGTTTCACCTTGTTAGCCAGGATGGTCTCGATCTCCTGACCTCATGATCCACCCGCCTCGGCCTCCCAAAGTGCTGGGATTACAGGCTGTAACTCACATTTCTGGACTTCCATTATCATCCTGTCTAATCCTATCATCACCCTGCTGCATCTGGCAAAATCCCCCTGTTCTTGAGCCTCCAAGTGGGTGAATTGGCTCCCATATCACCTCATTCCTGCTGTTGGCACAGGGCTAGTCCACGGTGTCGCAACTGTTTGTTTAGTGTCTGTCTTTCCCATACAAGCTCCTCCAGGGCACAGATCCAGAATTATACACCCCAACATCCCAGTAACTCCCACAGTGTCTGGTAGGTAATAGTTTAATAAAAGCTGGTTGAATGAAAGAGCAGGTACATTCTTTGGTGTTCAGAGTTATTAATTCCGTTTGTTGTTGGTGTTTTCTTGTGGTAGATTTCGAGTCTTGCTTCTCATAGTTATTTTTTTTTCCTAAGATATGTAATGAAGGCAGACTTCTCACCTTGCAAAAGGTTAGTCCCATTTCTAAAGCAATTTTATGGGCTCCTTTGAGAGTCTGGAAATGTCTCCTATATCTCTCGGGAGAATCCTAGGTGAGGGGTTGGCAAATGTAGCTGCAAACCAAAAGAGCTTGCCCTTGGAGTTAAGTGGAAAGGGCGTTGTGTCCCTTCTCTTTTAATTTCAGTCCCTGTCATTGTCATTTGTCTGGCAGGGAGCTCTGCAGGCTGGGAAAGCCTGATTTTCTCCTCTCTGAGCTCCTTGTAGCCGGATCCAGTTTGTGATTTTCCCTCATTGATTTTTCCTGCTTAAATGTAGTTGAAACAACCTTTTTGAATATGGAAAAAGGTTTTAGCACGGTCCAAACAGCTAGCAGGTGACAGCCGTTATACTGACGTGTGCTGCGCTGATTTTAGGGAAGTATTTATTTTTTTTTTAAGAGCCCTGACAATAAGTGGCTGCTTTTTCAGGTGGTGCTATTGCAGAAATGTTACAAACAATGGCTACTTGTGGAGCCTAACATCACTTCTTTGGCTTACATTTCTACAGAAATTGCTCACAGGCCTATAGCCTGGTTGATGCTCTTCCTTGTTTCAATTCATCTGATTATTCTAATGTACATCAGACCTACGGTCCCCTGTCTGATGAAGCCCCAACCGTTAAGGGGAAGTATTTGTCATCTCAGCACCTGGTTTCAGGAACAAAGTACTCACCTCCTGGCCACGTAAGCTATTTCAAAATAACCTTTGTTCAGGGATCCCGGAGGGCTCAGTGCAGTCCCGACTGTCCTGCAAACTGGTTGAGTGACGGGGTTGGGGAATTCAGGTGAGCAGGACTTCCACGGTTGCCATGGAGACCATCAATCATTTGAGGAAGCCTGCTGGGGGGAGTTGGGTGAGAAACCACGAGAAAAAATCATCCACCTTTTAACGATTTGTTAGCACCTAATGCAGCCATTAGGCCTGCACTTTTGGAAGTGTTTATTTGGAGCACTTGATTCTGGAAGTAGAAGGAAAGCTAAACATTGTAACTTCCTTTGGCAAATGCATCTAATTTGTGCATCAGAGATCTCTCACAATTCTTTAAGGGCCCTCAGCGCCTGAGGCTAATTAGGGCAGGGGGTGGTGCTCTTTTCCATGGTGGGCCCATTGGGCCATATACACACCTTGCAGGCTGCAGGGGTTCCTGGCTGCCATGGGGAATCCCATTCTTGGGGTTTCTGTTTAGAAGCCTAGCTATAGGTCGCTAACCTTTCAGGCTCTCACCAAAGTGTGCTCCCTTCTGTTGAAGACCTACTATGGGCCAAAGGCTTTTCCCACATCCCCTTCTTTGATTCTCTCTCTTTTTTTTTTTTTTTTTTTTTTTTGAGACAGAGTCTTGCTCTGTCACCCAGGCTGGAGTGCAGTGGCACAATCTTGGCTCACTGCACCCTCCGCCTCCCAGGTTCAAGCGATTCTCTTACCTCAGCCTCCCGAGTAGCTGGGATTACAGGCATGCACCACTACGGCCAGCTAATTTCTATATTTTCAGTAAAGACTGGGTTTCACCAAGTTGGCCAGGCTGGTCTAGAACTCCTGACCTCAAGTGATCTGCCCTATTTGGCCTCCCAAAGTGCTGGGATTACAGGTGTCAGCAACTGTGCCCAGCCCTCTCCTTTAATTCTTATGAAACCTTTGTAAGGTGGACGTTGTCAACCCTATTTTACAGATGAGGAAACAAAGGGCCAAGAATTGAAATGACCTCTTCAAGATCACAGAGCTAATCACTGTATAGCAGGGTGTCCACCCCAGCTGAGGGTGAAAATTACGTCTGTTCCATCACGGCACCCTCTCGAAGGAGGTGATGAAGAAACTCGTTCTGTGCTATTCCTAATAGCAGTCACTTCGGGCACTGCTTCATCAGCAGCTCCTACGGCCATCTTGGTGTCCATGTCCACTCCGTGTCTCAGCACTCTGTAGCTGTCATCAGTTTGATGCATCTCCCCTTCCCTAGGAGAACCGACAGGGCTGTCTCACCTGTAACACAGGTGAGGGGTTAGGGAGGAGGTAAGGGGTTAGGGAGCTTGCATGTTGGCCATCCCAGGCACTGCCAAGAGCCAGATCCATTCCTTTAATCCATTGACCCTGGAGTTTGGGAAGAGCTTTCATTCTGAAGCATAGGACTCTGAATTTGCAAAATGTCTTACAGCAGAGACCACCATAAAAATAATTGCACTTTGGTTGCTCTTCTGGATAATCTACAGATTTGTAAGTCTAGAAAATCAGACACTGCCATTGAACCAAATTTGAAATTCTGTAAGGCCTTGGGGTGTGTCCAGGTGCCCTGAGGAAGTGACCAAGGCCATCAGGGTGCTGTTACTGACTTAAGCTTGAGTTTCTTGACATCGGCATCTTTTTCCTGTGGGGAGGACTCCATAGCCAGGCTGGTGCCAGCCAGGACCTGGGTGCCCTTTTCCCTGGCTGCTTGTCTGCTTAGGCTCTTTCCAAGGCTTTAGTTCTGCCCATGTCTGTAAAGAAGGACCATCTTAGGAGAGGGAGAGGGAATGCCAGAGGCCTCCTGGTTCATCATCTCATTACAATACCTCTAACACCTTTGACCTTAGAGTCCTTCTCTTCTTCTAGAGCTACAAATAACACCAGGAAGGTGTGTGGCAGTGGTAGGGCCTCCAGACAGACTTGGTTCCACCAGGCTTTGGAGGGAAGTCATGTACCTCTCAGCCTCATACTCCACATCTGCAAAATGGGAACACGAAGGTCCATGTTGCCAGGGTAAGGAACAAGGCATATTTAGCACTTGTTGCCAAGTAGGTATTCCATAAATGGTTACTATTATTCTTCTATAATAAACTTATTACATAAATCTAACTTTATAGGGCTTATGGGAATTGGAAGGGCTCAGCTCTGATGTTCCCTTCCTCCTTACCTCAGCCAGGAAGAATCCCCCTTTTCCTCCCTCCTGCAGGCCTTGTCTTGCCTGACCATAGAATCTAATACCAACCTTGTAATTGTCATCTGAATACAGACTGCGTCTTATCTACTTAATAGATTGAGGCTCACAGAGGTTAAGGGCTCAAGATCGCAGGCCGGTTAGTGGGGAAGCTGGAGTTCATACACTGACCCGTATTCCTTATCTCAACACCATGAGAACAACAGCATTAAGTGCCAAGTTTCAGAAACTCACATGAAAACTCTTGCTTTTGCTTAGAGGTGGGAATGAGAGGTTCTGAGCTGTCCCATATTGGACATAGGGAACTGGACAGGCCTCCTGGTCTCTAGCACACAGCATATTTTACAGGGAACTTACCAACTTTCCACTTTCCCAACCGGAGGAGGGTTTAGAAACAGCCCCCAGTGATATGGGTGTAGAAACTCCTGAAAGAGTATAGCCATGGAGAGGAAGTGCTCAGAGGTGCTGGGCCAGCAGGAAGTGGGAGCTGTTTCTAGCACAGAGGATGTGGCTCAAGACAAGGTATAAGAAATGAAAGTCAAGAAAGAAGTAGAAGTGGGATACTGAGGTGCCTCAAGCACAAGGAAGTGGCTTTATTGGCCAAGGTGGAAGGACAAAACAGCATTGCAGCGAAGATTTTGGGTGGGTGTGGAAGCCATTTTTCCTCTTATAGTGGCTGCATGAGGGAGGTGTTGGAACCTGGGGATTAGACATCTGGTGTATGGTGATTCTCAGTCAACTCTCACGGGGACTGCATAGAAACCATCTTGAGGAGAAATCGAACTTGTGAAGGCAAAGAAACATTGATTTCAGTGAGGTTTAGTTGACTGAGTTGTGCTTGCATTTTAGTCTTACAGCTCTGCAGGATGTGCTGGTGAGCTGGGAGCTACCCTGGGGAGGCAGCTCTGGTTTTCCTTAGTGTTGAGGGGTCTACCAGCCATTGAGCACAAATGGTGTGCTGGGGCTTACAGAGAGCAAATAATTTCATCCTCACAGTAACTCGTAAACTAGACAAATGCTATCACCCACATTTTACAGAAAGGAGGCAGCTCAGAATCACAGTATTTAATTAACTTGTCCAAAAGTAGAGTTCAGCTGGCAAATTGACGTGAACCCAGGTCTCTCTGATCCAGAATTGAGATTCTTTCTGCTAGGTGGCTTATCCATATACAGGTCTTGTTGGGAAATTTTTCTCCCCTGCCTATGAACGAGAAGCATAATCAGAGGCCACTTTGCGGGGCAAGGGTCCCTTTGAAAATCAGATGAAAGCCACTATGAAAGAGTGCATATGCCCCACAACTTTAGGGGGCTGAGGGCACCTCTGAGGTGCATCCAGAAGTCTCTTAATGTCTATGGAGCCCAGCTCAGGAAACCTTGTGATAAGGAAAAAAGGAACCAGAAGATGTCAGAAAAGAAAGAATTTTTAATGTAAGCAGATTTAAAAACTGCATTGTACGTACAGCCTACACACTCTGAATTTGTTGCCTTGAACATAACAAGCTTACATAAACAGGCTTCCATTACCTTATATGATAAATGTTCTTCTGGTTTGTAATGTGCACGTGAAAATGGACAACTCATTTGAACATTCTACAGGTAGATGTTTTTTCCTACCATAAAAGCCAAAACATCAAATAGCTTAAAACAATATACCTGGAAGTCGACATGATAAAATAGCATCACTTCCTTTTCCTTTACTACTCAGTTATTTTTCCCTGAGGGCAGTCCCTTTGCAGGTGGTATAGGGATGACTTCCATGCTATCACCCAGACTCACTTTACACTACTGCTATAGTCATCTTAAAGAAATTTGCATTTCATTGGAATGTATGTGTTTTCACTAAATTGATTATTTATGTTATACTCCCTTCCAGTGATCCTTAAAAATGTTCATGCACTGAGAATCACCAATGAACAGAGATGGAAGGGAGCTTAGAGATCATCCAACCTGACCTCCTTTACTTTTACAGATGGAGAAACTGAGGAGCTGAGAGGTTAAATCCCAGGCACTCAAGAAGTACCTGTGAAATGTGAGGCCAGATGGAATTTTCCTTCTGCTCCAAAGTCCTGGCAGGGTGGGAATCTTCAGTGGGACAGGGAGCCACAGAGGCTTTGCTAGCAATGAGGGGATGGCCACCGTGAAGGAAGGGTGCCCTGGTCCAGGATGGAGGTAGGACCCACCTGTGCCTCTAAGGATAACCGTCACCAACCCAAACCCGATGGGAGCATCTCTAAGATGAAGTAGAGTCCAAGTGGGGAAGACAGGGGGACAGAAAGGTCCAGAGACTCAGAGAACTTTGGGACAGGGAGAGGATGGTGCAGACCCTCCAGCAAGAGACTCAGGGACCCCCAGCTGTTCCCTGAAGGAGTCCTGGTGTGGGTTGAAAGGTGACTTGAAGGGAAAAGGGAAAAAAATATGTGGTTTAGCCTTAGGCCTCTGTGGATGTTTGGGACCATCTGGGGAAGGGGGTTACTTAGCTGTCAACACGTATGAATAGCCTGCCTGAGCACATTTTGGACCAGGTACTGTGGGAAGTTATAAAGGAGTAGAAGTCAGGGTCTCCACTTTCCAGCTTCTTAGCCACAGAGGTTGATGTGGTTAGGTGCCAAATTTAGCCACTTAACCTTTCGTGCTTTGACTGGCATTTTCAGACATTTACTCCTTTTTAGTTGGATTTAGTTTAGATTAAAACCTGGGTTGTAATCCAGTTTGGCAGCCATCATCTGGGTAGCCTGGGATAGTTGAGTCCTGTGAACTCTTGAGCCTCAGTTCCTTTGCCGGCCAAATGCACATTCTTCCTGTCCCCAAGAAATTAGAAATAACTTGTTTAAAGAGTTAAATTATAAGTCAAATCAGAGGAGCAAAACACCCTGGCTGTCTTCTGAACATACTTTTACTACAGCCATGTTCAGAGCATGATCACGTGCAAAGACAGGGTTTGTGTTTCTGGAGAATGGGCTGAATGTTTCAGAAGAAGCAGAGAGGCAGACACAGACACAGTGTCCTCCCGGTACAGGGAGGGCTCCCGGCCTAGAGGTGGGTCCACTGTAGCTGCCAGCAATGCCTTGCCATAGAAATGAGTTCACGTGATGTTAGGACGCCTTCAAATTGGAAACAATTCTCACTCTTTTCCCTCCAAGGTTGTTGAGCAAACTTCTGATTATCATTTGGTTTCCCAGTGTAATTTGTCTACACGGAGCAAATGTTTGGCCACAGGAAGTAAGCGCTGGTAAAGTTGGTGGTCATCTTTTGTTTCAGTTAAAAATTAATGCATTGACATTCTGGTTTCTCTACTTGGTTTCCTGTGGGTTGGTTGGCGTGAGTCACACACAGCCGCTGACCCCCAATGCCCCTTCCATGCCCTGCACCATTGTCTCTTTCTTCCCACCCGCTGTGTCTCCCATCTTCACTGACCATACACAGGGGCTCAGAGCCAGTTTTAACTCTCAAGAGATAACTGTGGGGCTCAGCTCAGTCCTCAGAGCTGTGTCCTATTGCAGGCTCCTGGAAGTAGGAAGTGTGACCACAACCATAGCCCAAAGGCCTGTTGACACTCAACAATGCTAACTGAATGAATGAGTGACTTAATGCCTGGGCGCAGGTGGAAAGGGAATAGAGGGCAAAGCTCTGGCATTAGGGTGGGGAAGTTCCTATTTGAAGTTGGTGGAAGGAGTAATATGCCAAGGCCGCTGGCCTGGTCTCTTTCACTGTCCCTGTATGGCTGTGGGAATGCCAACATGTCCTTGTTTACAAAATGAAGCAGGTGGAATTGGGATCTTGGAATCATGGAAGGGAAGGTAAAATATCATGAGGATTTCCGTGCACACTTTAACATTCAACTCTAAAGTCAATGGCGTTCATGGAGTTTGCATAGATAATCCTAAAACCTACATGCAAGAGTAAAGGACCAAATGAAGACAATTTTAATGGAAAAAATATGCTGTGGGATTTGCTTTCCAAGCATTGACTTATTAAAAAGCTGTTGTCATTTAGACAGTGCAGCATCAAGGCAGGAACAGAAAGCAGATCAATTGGCCAAACTGGCCGAAAGATTCGCTGGTCTAGGACAGAGGCAGAGTTACGCATCAGTGGGAAATATTTGCTGTTTGGGACATTTGGTTATCCAAATGGGAAAAAAAGTTAAATTAGCTCTTTACCTCACAACAAATAAATATGTCAATTCAGATAGATTAAAGATTTATACACAAAAGTGGAATGATAGAATACCTTCCAACATTGGGTAGAAAAGCATCTTAAACAAAATACAACAAGCAATGGCCGTAAAGGCAAGATTCATACATTTGATATTAAAACTACAATTCCTAGGCAAGAAAGATAAAGATGACCATATATTGGGGGAAGGTATTTGCAACAAACATAACTAAGAAAAAACAAGTGCTAAGAATATATATGTAGGAAAACAGTATAGCAGCTCCCCAAAAAATTAAATATAGAGTTACCATATGATCTGGCAACTCTATTTCTGTGTATACACCCCAAAGCATTGAAGGGAGGGACTCAAATAAATATGTGCCCACCAGTGCTCACAGCAGCGCTATTCCTAAGAGCCAAAAGGTGGAAACAACCCTAGCGTGCACCAGTGGTTGAACAGGCAAAGAAAATGCACAGTATCCATATAACGGAATACTCTCCAGCCTTAAGAAGACAGCACATTCTGGCCGGGTGTGGTGGCTCACGCCTGTAATCCCAGCACTTTGGGAGGCCGAGACGGGCGGATCACGAGGTGAGGAGATCGAGACCATCCTGGCTAACATGGTGAAACCCCGTCTCTACTAAAAATACAAAAAAAAAAAAAAAAAAAAAAAAAAATTAGCCAGGCGTGGTGGCGGGTGCCTGTAGTCCCAGCTACTTGGGAAGCTGAGGCAGGAGAATGGCATGAACCCAGGAGGCGGAGGTTGCAGTGAGCTGAGATCACACCACTGCACTCCAGCCTGGGTGACAGTGCAAGACTCTGTCTCAAAAAAAAAAAAAAAAAAAAAAAAAAAAAAGAAACAGCACATTCCTACACACACTACAGCACAGATGAACCCTGAAGACATCGTGCTAAGGCGCAATTATGCACAATTATGCGAAGACAGTGTACATGAAGGAAATATTGTGTGATTTCACTTACATGAGATACCTAGGGTAGTCCAATTCACAGACACAAAAAGTAGAATGATGGGTTCCAGGGGATGAGGGAGAGAGAAACGGTGAGTGAGTGTCGAATGGGACAGAGTTTCAGTTTGAGAAGATGAAAAAGTTCCGGAGGTGGAGAGTGGGGATGGTTGGTCAACCACACCAATGTACTTAATGCCACTGAGCTGTATCCTTAAAAATGGTTGAAATGATACATTTTATGTTATGTATATTTTACCACAGTGAAAAAATAGATGAAGTACTGACAGATGCTACACCATGGACGAATCTTGAAAACATTTATGCTCGGCGAAAGAAGCCAGACACAGGAGATCACACACTGTATGACTCCATTTCCATGCAACGTGTAGAGCAGGCATATTTAGAGGGACTGAAAACAGAAGCATGGTGGCCAGGGCCATGGAGGAGTGAAGGGCCCTGGGGCTGAGGGCTAAAGTGTTTCTTTTTGGGCTAATGAAAAAATCCTAAAATTGATTGTGGTGATGGATGCACAACTCTGCGAATATTGTCAAAGCCACTGGAATGTACACTTTAAGTGGGTGAGTTGTATGGCACATGAATTATATCTCAATAAAGCTGTTACAAAAAAAGTTAAAAAAAAGAATATATAAATAACTCTTTCAAAATTAGGAAAGGCAAACAACAAAGAGAAAACCGGGTAAAGAATAGAGGGGGAAGCTTGATAGGCCAGTAAATATATGAGAACAAGTTCAGCCCAGGGAAATGCAAATCAGAGCAACAGTGAGATTCCACCTCACCCATCAGGCTGGCAAGAATTCAAATCCTTTCATCCCCAGTAACGGGGAAGACGTGAAGCAACGCAAACCATCACGAGTCGCTGTGTGGAAACGTAAATTGGTACAGACTCTTTGGAGAGCAATTTGGCAATATTTGGCAAATGGGGAGAACCGCACACTTTTGACTCAGCAATTCTACTTCTAGGGATGTACCCCGGGGAATTTCTCATGTGTGTGTAGAAGTTCTGTGTAAAAACGTCAATGTGGCACTGTAATATCAAGAAAATTGGAAACATCCTAAATGTCCACCTCAGGACACAGGATAAGCGAATTGTTTATGAGGCAGTAGAATACTATACAGCAGTTAAAATGGACTGCCCGTGTACTGTATTCATATGGATGGATCTTTCAAACCAAACATTGAAAGGCAAGTAGAACACCCCACTTACACAATGTTTATAAAACAGGGAAAACCACATTTACATAATTTATAAACAGGACTTCACCTCTACCTGTATTCTTCTGTAGATCTTTTTCTTCTCTAAAATGAAAGGTCTGAAGCAAGTGTGTCGAAAGGTTAAGAATGATTAAATCTCACAGGTGTTGATATGGGTGTTTGTTATATTATTTTATACTTTTTTATATTCTTGAAATAATTCATAATTCAAAGAACATTTTAAAGACCTACATGAGGGGAACAGTACACACTGGGGCCTGTCAGGGGAGCGGGGGGAGCAGAGCATCAGGATAAGCAGCTAATGCGTGCGGGGCTTAATACCTAGGTGATGGGTTGATAGGTGCAGCAAGCCACCATGGCACACTTTTACCTATGCAACAAACCTGCACCTTCTGCACAAGTATCCTGGAACTTAAAATTAAGAGAAACAAAAACAAAAAAGACCTACATGATGCTGTATATTTGAGGTCACAGGCATTATTTTGGAAAGCGTATATGCTTCCCCACACCTTGTTAATGGTGACCCAATTGGGAAGTCTGCGCAGGTCAGATGGGTCACTGCTTCTGGGGTCTAGAGTTAGCCTCTGAGGTCGGTCAGCCAGCAAAGCCTTTCCAATCGTTCCAATCATTCCTTTCCAATCGTTCCTGGTGTGAGCCACTTGAGGGCACGTCCTGGGTCCTGCCCAGCTTTGTGCTTTTGGTCCTAGCATGGCATGCGGCGTAAATGCTTAGGTGGGTGAACCCTCCCCCAAAACACACAGATAGGAAATGTGGATCTCAACCTGAGGACTTGTATGAGGCTTAGAGAGAGGAGGGTGTCTTAAAACCTTCATGGGTTCTGCCTGGTAGATCCCAAAGTTATCCTTATAAGATGTTTGGCCTTGGCCTGCTGTTTCAGACTGAAGTGTAAACCTATATGTTACAGGACTCACTTGACAGGGGCACTCACTCTTTCTTGGAAGATACTTCTTAACTGCGTGTGGGATGACAACCAATCTGAAGGGTGACCATTGGGAATTACAAGGAAGCAGCACTCATCAAAACAGCGATGTGAAACTCCGTCAGCCCCCCTTTCTTACAAATGGCAGTAACTGTATTGAAGGAGGCCAGTGTGAGTTTCCCTGCTAAGGTGGGCTGAGATGCTGGGCTTTAGGTGGAAGTGGCAGAAAGAAAGAATGCTTCTATTTTGCTGAGGTGGTTCTTTTCTTGGAGTGAGTAAGGGGTAGTTGCTAGTTAACAGAAACAAAGGATGAGATAGTGCTGCAGAGAGAGCACCTGGGTGTGTGTGCCCGTGTGCATATGTGAAGAGAGAGTAACTGTTTCCCCTTTCATATAGAATTATTTGATTTTGCCCACATGTGTATAGGGACATGCTTAATGCACTGTCAATGAACCCATGACTGTGTCATTTCTGGTTCACCAGAATATATCAGGCATGTTCTCAACTGAGTGCCAAGTACCATGGAAAGCCTGCAGTGAAAGTTCTTGCTTTCTGTTACTCTGGCGAGGAAAGCCAGTAATGATCATGACCTTAGCTGAGATCCAGACAACAGAAGAGGACCAGTGCTGACGGCTCCTCACATGGGTTTGCTTGGGCTTTGAGGGATGACTGAGAATGTCTTCAATTTTTTTTTTTTTTTTGAGACAGAGTCTTGCTCTTGTCGCCCATGCTGGAGTGCAATGGCGTGATCTCGGCTCACTGCAACCTCCGCCTCCAGGTTTAAGCGATTCTCCTGCCTTAGCCTCCCAAGTAGCTAGGACTGCAGGCACGCGCCACCATGCCCAGCTAATTTTTTTATTTTTAGTAGAGATGGGGTTTCACCACGTCAGGCTGGTCTTGAACTCTTGACCTCAGGTGATCCACCCACCTCCGCCTCCCAAAGTGCTGGGATTACCGGTGTGAGCCACTGGCTGAGAATGTCTTCAATTTAATGGAGAAAATCTGAAAACAGTGCCCAATGATAGTGTGGAAGGATGTGATAATATTTTAATATGGACTTTATACACACATTTGCTTTTATCTGAGTAATTAGGGCTAGCGAAAGGTTTAATGAGTACTGAGCACGTAGTAACAGTGCACGAGCTGAATAGTCGGGCAGCTGGCCTGGATGCACTGGGGCTTTTTCTTTTTAGTTCACTGGAAGTCGAGTCTTCTTTCCATAATGTCTATAGTGCTGAACAATAAGATTGGTTCTAAACTGAAGTTAGAATGTCTAAGTGTTCAGCCCAAGCGTATTAGAAAAATTACTTTGGTAGAACACTTACTTTCTCCTGAAATGCTGTTGGGAAAATAGTTTCTTTCAGTTGGCCTTGCAGAGTCTTTGAAAATATCCTTGGTGCTGCAGAAGCTTTATTTGAGAATGCCACAAATCTTCTCCCACCCTCCATTCTTACTAGTGGAGACAGTGAGATATTACAAAATAGAAAGTATAATTTATTTTTTAATTGTAAAATACTTTGAGTATAATGTTTCTCTTGTGATATTAGATTAGTCATTTGCCATTATTTTCTATGGCAAAAACGACAGTCACTTTTGTACCACCCTAATGATTGACCTCCCCTTTAAAAAACAACCCATCCCCAGGAGAGATGGTTTAGTAGGATTCTTCTTTTTTTTTTTTTCTGACATACAGACAGGGGTCTCCCTATGTTGCCCATGTTGATCTCAAACTCCTGAGCTCAAGCAATCCTCCTGCCTTGGCCTCCCAAAGTGTTGGGATTGGAGGCTTCAGCCACCACACCAGGCCAGTTTAGTAAGATTCTGACCCTCGATGATCCTGTGGATAATTTTTCTCTTCAAATGTCACATGTCGGATACCTGTTGAATGGTAAGTGGGGGCTGTGGGGCTAAGGGAGGATGCCCGGCCTATGTCTGAGTAGGAGGGTCCATTTATACCAGGCCGGGTGCAGCCAGGCTGAGGCGGGCAGGTGGGAACCCCCTGCAGGCTGCAGGGTCCAGGCACTCACTGCTTCCAATGGTGGAATCAATGTCGGAAGTCCACAGAGAAGTCATAGCATGTGACTGGAATGAAAAATTGGGGTTAAAAATTCAGAGCCGTGTCTTTAGTTCATTCTTTGATCCTAGCAGTTAACATTAATTTCTCTTCTAAGTAGGTGATTTGAATGCAGCTTATCAGATTTTTTTTTTTTTGGAGTCTCTGTGGTTCTTTTTGTGCAGCTTGCTTGCTTTCTTTCTTTCTTTCCTTCCTTCCTTCCTTCTTTCCTTCCTTCCTTCCTTCCTTCCTTTCTTTCTTTCTTTCCTTCTTCCTTTTTTTTTTTTTAACTTTTTTCCCCACTTAGTGCTTAAAAAAGGCATGACTTTGAGAAAATAGTCATCTCTCTGGGATTCATCTCCGCTGAAGTCATCAGAAGCTGCACCCACAATGGAGCAGGAATTGGGGAGCGGGCAGCGGAGGGGGCTCTGCTTGCCTCAGAGACAGAGTTCCTGCTCATGCTCCCACAGGGTGGCCATGCCATGGTTGGTGGCCTGTGATTTGACTTGGCCCGGATGCCCTTGGCTGTTTTTGCTTGGCATCCAAACTGGCTGTGTGGCTGCCTGCGCGGGTTTCTCCCCAGCCCCTGGCACAGGTTCTCTCTCCTTGTCTGCTGGGACAGGGGCTTCCTAAGAGATGTCTGGTCCTTCAGGTCTGGGACCTGTTTGCCCTTGGAGCCCACCTGGGTCTTCTCTGTGGCCTTCTGGACTCTCTAGTTTGCTTATGAGCGTGTGAGGTTTCCGGGCTCCTTTCCTGCAGCCGGCCTTGCCTCCCTGCAGTTTCCTGCCTCTCCTCGCTCCCTGACCTCTCTCCCGGGGAACTCGCTCTTCTAGGCGCCATCTTCCTCCTCCTCCAGCCTCCCGAGTGCAGAGGTCCCGTGGCTCCGTCCTCAGCTGACTCCTTTGCATGCTCCGCATTTCTCCCCTGGATCCCATCCACACTATGTGTCAGTTTTATTTCCATGCAATACTCCTCTCCCTCCCTCATGACTGGCAGCCCACAATTCTGTTTCCCACTGGATTTTTCCATCGAGATGCCCTGTCAGCCCCAGAGCCCCTCACCCCTGGCTGCCGCCACACCCCCAACCCCGTGAGGCCTGTGGGGCTTTCCTTTCTCCTTCTCTGACATCTGCCCCGTTCTGTCCTTTCCTCTACCTGCTGTCTCACCAGCACAGCCTTCACCCTTCACAGAGGCTTCAAAGCTGCTCCCCAATTTCCATCTCTACCCGCTCCGATTTATCCTGACTATAGCAGCTTTCATGGGGTCCCCAAAAGAGCCCCCCTCCTCCCTGCCTGACTTTTGAGTAGGTTAAGAGATGAAACATTGAGTAAAGATGGAGGTGTCTTTATTCTTGACAGATGTCACATTAGCAAATACGACTTTGCATGCAGTGGCTAAGTGCTTGGCTGTGCTGACCTCAGTTTAAGTGACTTAGCCATCCAGTCTTTGCAGCAGTAACCCAGAGCAGGTGTCTGCCACTGGAGGGGCTGGCCCAAGGATGACTTCCTGGAGCAGGGTGACAACAGGCCAGAGCAGCAGCAGAGAACTCCTATTTTTCACCAACAGGCTCACTCCAGAGAGGAAAAAGAAGACCAGAACTGAACCAAGCTTGCCCAGTCATGCATCCTAAAATATCAACTGGAAGGCACTCTCTGTCCCTTGGTGGGCAGTAGGAAAGGCTACCGAAAGGAAGCATCTAGAGAGGGAAGAAGCATTTCTCCTTCTAGGAGAACTGACCAACCTTGTAAAGTCTGCATGCTGACCCTGATCTCCTGCTCAGATACATTCAAGCCCTCCATTTTTGTGTCCCCAGTCTTATTCTCCCAAAGAGAATAGTCTCCCAAGCTCCATTTTTGTCTAGATTAGCCAAAGGTCAATACCATTTGTCTTGTGCTTTTCCTTCTTTGTCTACATTTAAATTGGAGTCATTGAAAGTTTACAGAGACTTCAAGTTCAAGTTCAAGTTCAACCACCATAACAATCACTGCAGTAGCAATTCTCAATACCAAGCTCCCAAGCTCCCACTGTGGGCCAAAGCAGGGCACTAGATGCTTTAGAAATGCACTCTTGTTTAATTCTCAAGTGTAGAAAACCTAGCCTGCCTGACTTAAGCAGTAGGGAATTTATTGGGTCATGTAATTAAACAGTTTTTTAGACCCAGCTCCCTCTATCCAGGCTCAAAGAAGGTTATCATAATTGGTATCTATCTTTCCACTGCTCTCCATACTTGGTCCATGGACCCATTTTTATGTCCCATGTAGTTATAGTATTGCACACAACAGTGACACATCCTCTGTAAGACCATACACAGTGGTGACAAGCCCTGAGCATCATTCCCTGCAGCACCTCTAATGTGCCCTTGCACTTCCTCGGGGGAACTTGCTTCAGTGCAGGGTCTTACCCAGCAAGCCTGGAGTAGGGCCTCCCACCCACTGGAGATCCAGGTTTGTCACAAGCTCCCAGGTGATGCCTGTGACCCAGACCACATTTCCAGGAGCAAAGCACTCCAGTGCCCAAGGCCATACAATTAGCAGATGACAGATCTGGGACTTGAACCCAGTCTGATTGATTCTACAGTCCAGGTGCCTCCTACCACTGCCTCCATCTCTGTGAACACTGCCCATGTCTCCCTGAGGGAAGTGCTCCTTTTCCTCGGAGCCCCTTTAGCATCCCGTATGTCTTTTACAGTGCCTGTGTTCCATGTCTTAGTCTAGTTATTTGGGTAGGCCGTACAATGCACTGCAAGTATTACCGTTGCTCACTTTTTCCCCCTTTAACTTCTCAATTAGAATCCTATGAGAAGGTGGGACTGTTTTCCAGAATGTTGCTTTAATGAGGTCAGGGTAAAATCCCTTCCCCTGCTTCTGGTAACAGTCTTACCAGCCAACTCTTCTGTGGATTCCTGTCTCTGGTCACAAAGGAACTGTCTTAGGGACCAACCATGGATGGAGAGATCTAATCACGCACCTGGTAAGGACATCTGTGCTCCTCCTAGTTCTCAGCCCTATGCCTGGTACTCTTGGGCAGGACCCAGACAAGGAAAAAGGCATGAAGAGATTGGCCCTGCCCACAACAATCCACTTAGGGAGACCAGAATAACCCACGTGAAACCGTGGTGAACAAGACAAGACAACCTGATAATAAAATGCTAATTTGAAGGACTAGAAGTGATGTTGGATTCAGAGGCAGAAGAGATTCAAGAGAGCTGGAATAGGCAAGAAAGATTCCACAGAGGAGGGACCTGAATTAAGTTTTGAGAGGGGGACGGGATTTGGAGGGGGCAGAGGTCATTTTAGGCCAAGGAAACAACTCAGACACTGCCTTCTTCATGTCTAAAAGACAGAACACCTCTGTGGCACTGTTTGTGTTGGGCACACTGACGACATGGCAGGTAACCTCCAAAGCTGCCAAAGTGACTTGATATTTATTCAGACTCTAAAATAAATTGGCCTATTACATCAGTTGTAAGGAATCATATTTGGACAGTGACTAGATTTGAAGGATCTAGTTAAGTTATGTTGCCAGTTAAAGAAATCTCAGCGTTCATTTTCTCTACCTTTAGTGGAAAGGATCAGTCCATCAATAATATGGACAGGACTTGGCTGGATGCTGGGGAACATGGAGCAGCGGGGGGTGGAGGGAACTAAAAGGGAGTGTTAAGATACAGAGATGCATGGATTTGGGGGACCTGTCAACAGCAGGGAGAGATATCTCCTTCCCCAAATGTTGGTGTGTGAGGAAGGTCTAGGCTAGTTCACAGTAACTGGGAACTTTTGCAGGGTTTAAAGGAAGAGAGGTGGAAACTTTGAGACAAAGAAGGAGGTCATTGCTGACACCAAAGTTGGGGTACACGGAATGGTGTTGGGGAACGGCACAGGATTGGGACGTGAGGCCATCAGCAGAGGGCATGACCTAGAGGGAGGTTCCCCCACTGGTACTGACTGGGCTAACTTCTCCATAGAGTTCTCAATGGTCTGGGTGAAATAAGGGAAAGTATGGTACGGTTTTTTCCTAAATGCACTCAGCTTATAGCCTTGTATTTTTGAAAATTGCTGTTTCTTTTATGAAACGATGGGGATAGTGGTCCCTCAAAAATAACCTTCCTTGACAAAATTAAAAGTTAGAAACTCCATACAGCCCTCAGATAAAAAAAAAAAAAAGTAAGTGATCTATACAATCTAAAACCTGGGAACCAACCGCTGGTCCAAGAATACAGAGAGAAAAGGATGGAGAGGAAGGGGCCAACTGGCGGCAACCTTGTTTATTATTTATGTTATGTATTCATTCATTCATTCATTCATTCATTCATTCACTCAGCAAACACCTACTGGCCTGGAAGCCTTGCTTAATTATAGCTACTGCAGACTTCCGTGGAGACTGGTGGTGAGCAGTGCTGGTCTTTGGGAAGGTGAGTCTCAGGCTGTGTTTGTGCTGGTCTTAGAGGAGAAGGCAAAGTCAATGTCCTGTGAGACCCTCCTGGAGCCTGGCTTATGTTGATTACAGGGGTCTGCCTTCATGGGTAGTGGTCCCCAGGATAAGCAGAGGGAAGAGGGAGGAGGAGAACCAGGAACCAGAACAAACCTTTCAGCCCCTAGGGAACATCCAGATTGAAGAGCTGTAAGGGAGAATCATGCCAGAGGCTCTTTTAGTGCATTTGGGTCCAACAATTAATATTTACTGAACACCTAGCCTGATCAGGACGCAGCACTGGATACAGCCTAGGTTACTGAATAACCACGCTTATTTCATCAAAATAAGTAGTGTTTAAAGGGCCAAATGAAATCAAAAAGTGGTCCAAAGTCACTACTTTCTATTTCCAATTGCTTTGGGGCATCAGTTATTGAGAAGAATGCCTGGGTGAATTTGAAGTATCAGATGCATGTGTGTGCATGTATGCAGAGTAGTGGCAGGAAACCTGTATGACCAGCCTGGGAAGGACGTGATGTTCCTAAAGTGGAAGGGACCACTAGGATTATGAGAGCCAAGTCAAAGTTTGGGAACTCATTCTGGCTTTTGAAAATTCCACTTGCATGACTGATGTGGTTTATGCCATGGATGCCAGTTAGTGTGCAACTCCTTGCAAAATTCTGCCGGGTCAAGTCAGTGTAGCTTAGGTGGTGAGGGCATGGGATTTAATGCCCAAATGTTTAAGGCCCAGGGGCCTGAGTTTGAGTCCTGACATCACTTCAGAGCTGGGACTCCGTTACGACAGCTTACAGCAGAAGGTCTGGTCACAGACTGGCTCTGGCCCATGTGGGGTGCGGGGTCTGGGCTGGTGTCCTGCTTGTTTCTGGCTGGCACTTGTGAGAACATGAGCATCAGACATTCATGCTCCCCGTCTTCTGTGCATGTGAGTAGCGGTGTGAGGAAGGTGGTAATTCTCATTTCAGTATGAAATATGCTCTCAACACAAAAACAACCTACAAAACCAGAGGTGGGGGCAGGCCAATAAATGCACGTTAGTCTCAAACCTGACCCCATTAGAACAGCCACCCCACTCCCACCTGGAGTAGAAAGTCTGGAGAAAGGAAAAAAAATGACTTAAATCTTCTCTCCAGCCCTTCAACTTGCTGGCACGTCGCATTTGAAATGCATTCCTTCTCTAAGCTGGAAATTAGGATTTTCAAGTAATACATGAAAAACCAGTACGAAAATAAATACTGCAATAGTGGGGCCAGGATCCCTGGCCGCTCACAGAAATGTTATAGAAACTAGGCAGAATATGAGGTATTTTCCTGTGTTGTCATGCAGCACTTAATTTTTATGCTGATTATATATTTCTTATTCAATGTTATTTAACACCTGTGAAATTGACTTGACTTGGTAAGACGGCAGACTGTGGGATGGGGGTAGGGGTGAGAATCCTTCACAAGTCTTAAACGGAATTAAACCTGCGTGCTTATATTAACAAGGTAACAAGAAAAAAACCGGTCCAAACAGAAAACGGCCGGAAACCCAATGAGGTCCTAAATATAGTACAGTAGGTAATAAAGGATAAATATTTCTAGGAAGTAAAAGCCAAGAAGATAAATACCAGGTAGGCTGCACCTGCCTTCCTTATCTAACCTTTTAAGAATGCTATCGCTGGTTCCTGTTTGTCCACACCTCCAGCTGAGGGGGGAGGTGTTCCTGGGGGCAGATTGTGTTTGCAGTCGCATCTCTCCACGTCGCCTTCGCTGGTTCCGGCCTGGATGTTTTATTTCACTTTATGGGTTCACCCACCGCGGGGAGGAAGGCTAGCAAACCCGGGCTCAGGATGCTCCCTGGCGCTTCTTCGGTTATTTATTTAATCAATTTCAGCACGTAAAGGAGACCTTACTTATTTCTCAACACTTCTTTCTGTTTCCTGAAAGGCTGAAAAAAAGATGTATGTATGTATGTATGTATGTATGTATGTATGTATGTATGCATGCTCCTAAATATGTATTCAGTAAAGTTGGTAAAAAAAACACAAAGATTGGGTGGCCTGGCTGCTGCGCAGACCTGCACAGCGGGCTCAGCCCTCCCTGCACCCACCCCCGCCCCCTCGCCGACCTCCCCTGCACCTTCCATTACTCCCGCACCCACGTCTCGTCCCCCGCATCGGGCCCAGGGAGCGCAGAAGCCGGCGCGGCGGTGTTCGGGGTGGTGGTGGGGTGGGTAGTAGAGAGAGGGGAGGGCGTTCAGCGGCCCAGCAGGTGCTGCCCTCATCCGAGGCAGGCGCGGCGGGAGACAGCCTCCGCCCCACCCCGCCCCTTAACCCCGCGCCCCAGCCCGTTTACCCCGCCCGGGAGCGGCCTCCACGCCCGCCGGGCGCGTCCGGGCTGCGCCCCGACAGGAGTCCGGTGGAGCCACCTCCAACCCCCTAGGCGGCCGGGCAGGTGCAGGTGCGGGGCTGCCCTCCGCCCAGCCCAGGGCTGTTGACGCAGGTGACCCGGGTCTAAGAATCCCATCGGTCCACAGCCAGCATTCTAGGGCCCTGGGGACTGGGGTTCTTGGAAACCTCGTCAGCTGAGAGAACTCAGTTTCCCCTCTGGAGAGGTTTCAGACAGCGCGGCCCCAGACCGGGGAAGCTAGCGACTAGGCGTCCCCCCAGCCTCACAGTGGACGAGGCTGCAGTCGGGGCCTGACGGGGCCTGACCAGCGCGCCCCCTGACGCTGGCCCTTCCAGGTGCTCTCGGTGGGCACCACTGCCCGCGGTCCGCGTGATTCTTGCCCAAGTCTGTGGAGGGCCACAAAGCACCTCTTGTCATACAATTTTTAAGCGCCTCTATTCTCCCTTGGCTTAGTGGGCAACTTGCCCATTGCCCATCTCCAAATTAGGTCCCCAAAATGAGCCGTGAAATAGCGGATGATGGATGTTGCAGCCTTGGGTAAGAGCGCTCAGCTGGGTTTGTGAACAGCGTGGTTGAAGCTTCTGCAGAGGGGCCGTGAACTCTGGCCAGAGTCCGCGCTTTGGAAGAGCCCGCAGGGAATCTCAGGGATCTGCTACCTTACAAAGAAAACCGGCCTTATCCAGCCTCCTCTGCAGCACCCCCGGCCCCTCTCCCGCTTGGTGAGGCTGCAGGCCTGGGTGGGGTGGGGTGGCGGTGGGAGCATTGCTGATGCTCTCTGTACGGGCAGGGAGAAGCCTGGCTTTGGGTTAATGCTGCAGACAGGCCTGCGTGCGGGAGCCTTTGAAGGGCTTGCCGGGTTGGAAGCGGGAGGGTGGTTTAGTTTCCGAAAGCAGACTGCTTTCATTTTCTTGGTTGCCTTCTTTATCAAGATACTTCATTCTTTGACGTTTCCTGCCCAGAACCCTTTGAAGAAAGTCTTTTTTTGCTGAGTGTGCACTGTGCTCTAATAAGGCCCGTTGTGAGAGTCCCTTCTGTTGCCTGGCCCTGTGCTAAACGGTGAATAGGGGAGGCTGGGATGCGTCCCTGCCTGCTGTCCCCTCCCAGCGAGATCCGGAGAACCAGGGGAACCAGTGTTAGGGGCAGGACAGTGCCAGTGTCGAATGGCCTCTGAGATGGCAGCGTCCCCTCCGTGTGCCATCGCACTGTCGGAGAGAGCCTGTCCTAGTTTCAAAGAACTTGGGAAAAAATATTCTAAGCATCCTCAGAAGACAGGCGCTGTTGCCTAAGCGCCTCTGTTAGTCAGTTGCCCCTGACTTCTAGGTCTGAGCACAACCCTGAGTGTCTCAGCACTGTGGTCAACATGAAGAGGGCCTTCCAAGGGGGCCGTGTCAGTTATGTGGTATTTAGTATCTGGGTCAAGATGAAAAAAAAAAAAACACCAAAAAAGTTTTTCTGTTAGAAGGTTTCTCACCAGTAATTCTCCAAGACATACTTTCTGGTGTTTAATGAAAATGTTGAACTCTTCGCTGACCATCGACATGGGGAAGAACCCCACTGAGCTCATGAAATCTCCTTGTCTGCTACTTTGGTTGGCCATGTCTGCTCTGATCTTGGACAGCACCATTTCCCTTTCTTTGTGTGTTTTCCAAATGGGAGGCGGAGGCAGGCGCAGGGCCATCTCCCCAGCCTGGTGCTTTTCCTGTGTCTTTGTGAGCGGGGAGTCATTGCGGCAATACCCCGGCTCCACTGGTCACAGCTCACAGTCTTTGAGTGTGGTGGAGGCCAGGCAAGACAGCAGGCATCCAGGCCAGGACCCAGCCTTAGGTTACACTTTGCAGGGAACGTCCAGAGGAACTTTAAGGGGTGCTGGACTCCGGCGGGCCTTCCCTGGGGAATGGCCCTAAGAGAGCCACTAGAGCCGCTGACTTTCCTGGTCTCCATAAAGCAGGGGCCCCTCTTCCTGCTGCAGTGGCCCTGCTCACCCATGTGAGGATGCACCATGGTGCTAGGGTGTCTCAAGACTGGGCGACAGGTGAATGGAGGAAAGAGAAGAGCGAATCTTGTGATCCACTGGGTGTGCGGTGGTGAGATGCTGCTGTCTTGGAGAGGGTTGTGGCTTTGGGCAGATTTTATAGCATTTGTGTAACAGCTGTTATGCTTCTGCAAATCCTCTCCCTTCACTTTGGAACTCTGTCATCCTTGGCCTGCCACCTGGGGCTGTCTGGCTGCACGTCCTGAATATTTGTGTTCAAAAATGTGGAGTCGGGAGCTGGACTGTCTGGGCTGGAACCAGGCTTTGCCAATCGTTAGTTGTAGGACTTAAGTCTCTTTGTGCCTTGGTTTCCTCTTTTGCCAATTGGGGATAATAACAGTTTCAGCTTCACAGGGTGGGTGTAAGGGTTGAATGAGTGAATGTAAGTGAAGCACTTAGGATGGGGGCTGGGAGGCACAGCCCATGTGGTGAGGGCCTGCGGCGGTCATTTCACTGCTGTGTTGTTTGGCTGAGCCATATATCTTAATCCAGCTATTGGTATGTGACTTGGAATTTTCTTATTTTTTAAAAAAGAGACAGTGAGGGAGAAAATATAATTGACCTGTTTCACTGCGAGACTGACTGGACACCCTTTGCTAATGTGTGCTCTGGGGTTCCCATTTCTTAGTGGATTCACATTGGCATCACTGATTAACTTCATGGGAGCTTCCAGGTCTTTAGACAGCTTGGGATAGTGAAACTTGGGTTGTGTTTTAGAAGAAACTGGATCTGAACATCGGTATCATAAACTGTTTACCCTGGCAAGGGCTGCACTGAAGGGCAACCTATTCCTGGAGGTGTTGGTCTAGGTCTAGTCAGTACTAGCTCCAAGTTTATATGAAATGCAGCTTTAGGAGATTATCAATCAACATACCCCCAGCTCTTTGAACATAAAACAATGGAAAGTATGGCGGTTGTATCAGTTTCCATGCGTATCCGAGTGTAGCATGACTCGTCAAAGGAAAATCTCTGGAATACCCAAATGAAGCCAAGGGCTGGGCGGAGGCGTGCTATGTGCTTCTGATGAGTGAGTGCCGGGCAGCGGGTCAGGCTGGGATGTCTCCAGCAGGAAGCGCGTATGCGGCCCGCCAGGCTGCACCTGTTCTCACTTGGAATGCCCTTGCATTCTCAGGTGCAAGTCCTGAAGATGTTTTCTGAAATTCTTTCTCCTCCATGAATCCCTTTATGGCAATAATTCTGGACTGAGAGCTCTGGGGGGTGGGCTTGGGAACCTGTGAGTCACCGGAGCATGTGCCGATTCAGTGTGGCCATAGGGAAGGGCGATGGGTGATGGAGACCCCTGGTCTGCACAGCATGTATCATGGGCTGCAGCTCACAGCAACTGCCACATTCATAGTCTTGGGGAGACAAAGTGGTCTGAGTTGTTTTTCTAGAAACGGGAACGGGCCTGAGTCATTTATGCCCTTGCCAAATCGCTTTCGTTAGCAATTGTTCACATTTTCCAGATAATCTTATAAATATAGGCTTCTCTCAAACACATCTTTCCCCACATGGCCTGTTTTGTGACCAAAATTATGACCCAGTGTCTCTTCATTAATACCATGCCAGCTGGTAAGCCCAGAAGGACGCCAGATCAAAATTTCACAATTCTTTTAAAGGATGTGAGCAGTGACAGAGGAGAAAGATCTCAACAATGGCTGCTATTTATCCTGCAACAATCACACACATGCACCTTGCTCAGGACATTCCTCCCCTAAATGCAATCTTTATGAGAATACTGCAAAGTAGATTTTGCTCTCTGCCTTGTACAGATAAGGACGACATGGCTGAGAGAGAAGTCAGCTTGTGGTGGACCTCAGGGTGAAACGCTGCTGCCGTACCATTAGCTGGCTGCATTCTGTCCCTGCTAGGGCAGTGGCCGGTCCTAATTCTCTAGTGTCTCTTGCTTGTGGCAATCTCCGCTGTGGAACTGACATTTGGAACCTGACTGGGTGTGGTGTTGAAGGTGCGGCCAAGGAACAAGCAATGCCATCCACCCACCAAGGTGCTGCCACTTTGATCTTGGTGAGGTGGAGTCTATTTCAATCATTCCTCATAATCTCTTTCTCCTGGTTTCCCTGCTGTTCCATAGCCTTCTCCCCACTTTGGAGAGCGAAGCATTCACTGCCACAGGGAAGATGTAAGGAAACAGCACAGGGAACCCCAACCTGGCTTTTGAATTTCAGAAGAACTCAGGGTATGAGCAATACATTTGGAAGAATGCTAGCACAGAGCCAGTTTTTGTTCCTTGTTGCTCTGAGATTAAATAAAGATTCTAGAGATGGGAGAAGGGGAGAAAAGTTCTGAGAAGGTGTCTAAGGCTCTGTCTTCAGGCACAGACCCTGGCCAGTGCCGAACCCTCTGTTGGAGGGGGTAATGGAGGGTTCCCACTGAAACCCTAGACATGCTTGAGGATTCCTGGGGGACAGAAACGCCGTGTCACTGCTGAAGTTCCCTGGGTAGGATTTAGGAAAGGAGCCTTAATTCAGTCTCCCAGGTGGCAGCAGGTGGAATTGTTTCACTGGCGGTTCAGGTGGACAGGCTTGGAGCAGTCCCTCATATCACAGGTTCTTCCTTGTGCCTTCTCTCACCCACCTGCAGACAAGCACAGGGCAGAGTAGTGACTTGTCCCCAGGGAGGCCTGGGGGCTGCGACACCTGAAGGGGGCCATAACTGGGACAGGAGCACGTAGCAGTTAATGGCATGAGCTGGACCCCTGAGACCTGATGGAAGGAGAACATTTTTGTGGATAACAAAAATATATCCACTGATAGATGATAGTGACCAAGGGCCAGGACCACAGATGCTCCCTCCATGCCTTCCCACTGCGGCACCCCCTTGTCTTGGCACCAGGTGCTCTGGGAGCTTAACGAGACTCTGAGATGAAATTTGTCATCGTGAAAATAGAGAAACCATGTTTCTTCTACAAATCTGGAGGCCAAGATTTGCAGCTGATGTCTGAGTTAACCACCAATGGGTTTGCTGTCATTGTGGCACTGGGAAGTAGAGGTCTTGGTCACGGGAGGGGTTTTAGGTCGACCTTTTGTGATGATGGTGCCAGGTCTGGGCTGGCAATGAAGCATCTGAGTGTTTCAGTTCCTGTCTCTGACCTTTGCTCCAAGCACAGCCTCAGCCATGGATCTGCCTCTCCGGGCCTCAGTTTCCCCATTTATAAGTTAATATTGGGTCAATTATCTCTAATATCCCTTACAGTTCCAACTTTGTGAGATCATAACATTAAAATCAGACCCCAAATTCCTTTGAAATAGAGAAAGGCAAACATGCCGTGAGCCCCGGGCCCCTTGTTGATGTGACTGACCCTCCCATGATCCTTTCATTTAATTTATATCCCATTTTGTGTTGACTTTTTATTCAGCTCCTTCAAGTATGTGGACATGGTGACTTTGTCCTATGCTGTCCCGAGTCTCCATGGTGGCATTTCTCCTAGGTGACTGTCTAGGAGCTCTTGATATTCGTGTTTATCTTCTGTTCTCCAGTGTCCTGCATTTGGTCTTAAAATAGGCACATGCTTTATCATGTGCTGACCTTCTGATGTGAAGAAATCCCCAGTGTCAATGATGTTTATAAAGGAAGCCCCAGGAAGATCACAGCATTCTTGACCCTGATGACAGCCAGTAAGCACGCGGCCTTCCTGGTGTGGCCATGTGTGCCTGGGTATAAGCTTTGTACTTTCAAAAGAACCATGGAACCAGCCAGACCAAAACGAAGAGTCTTTGGTACATACGTCACCCCCAAACAAAGAAACATGTTTAAATCAGAAGGTGCACAAATCCTGATATTCCCTATTTTCACTAATGTCCTAATTTAGGGGTCCCCAACCTCGGGCCAGTGACTGGTATGAGTCTGTGGGCTGTTAGGAACTGGGCCATACAGCAGAAGTGAGTGGTGGATGAGTGAGCATTCCCTGAGCTCCACCTCCCGTCACATCAGCATGGCATTAGATTCTCATAGGAGCACGGACCCTATTGTGAACTGCACCTGTGAGGGATCTAGGTTGCCTGCTCCTTATGAGAATCTAATGCCTGATGATCTGTCACTGCCTCCCGTCACCCCCATATGGGACTGTCTAGTTGCAGGAAAACAAGCTCAGGGCTCCCACTGATTCTACATTATAATAGGTATGTAATAATAGTAGAAATAAAGTGTACAATAAATGTAATGTGCTTGAATCATGCCAAAACCATCCCCCTCACCTTGGTCTGTGAAATATTGTCTTCCACAAAACTGGTCTCTAGTGCCAAAGAAGACGGGGACCATTAACCTAATTGTTGAATGCATATACTTATTTAGTTCCAAGGAAAGACTGAATAAAGATGCAAAGAGAATCAGGTAATACATACCTATTGTGGGCATCTCTCTATCCCTGTGTTATACACTGACAATCAATAAATAATTTAAGAGTTCAGTGACACAAAAAGTGACACTGTGCAAATGGCAGTACTTCTTGTGATGGGGACGGCCGTCTTCCCTGCCCCCTGCAGCATGAGAGGCCCCTCTTGGTGCTCCCTGCGACCCTCAGCTCACTTCTTGCATGGCATAGGCGTGCTTTCCTATGGTTTCTGTTGACTTGTCTGCTTTCCGCACCAGATTGTGAGCTCCTTTGAGGCAGGGACTGTCTCATTCGTCATTGTAATACCAGTGCCAAACAAAGGGCGGAGTGGAGGAAGGTTAGATGGATGGGTGGGTGGGCGATGAGTGAGGAGCAGAGAATATGGGTAGAGGTGCGGGCACAAAAGAGTGACCATTATTGGGCACAATGAATTAATATCCAATAGTAATGCATGAGATTGAAGTCATGCAAGGAAGTTGTTTGATGGGTTGGAAATAATCCATAGAGCAAAAGTACCGCTGTTAGCAAGAATTGTTGACTTGCACACAAGCTCAAGGACAGTAAAGACAATTCATTATGGAAACTGTACATTTGTTCATGATGATGTAAGACATATTTCTCCAGTTACCAACTAGATCAATGAAATAGTGTAGGAAGTCATGCTTGGTTCATTTAAAATTGATGACCATTTGCAGGAAGGATGTTTAATTTGAAACTGCTATGCTCGTTTCAAAAATACCAAACTTATTATCTTAGAGCAGTGGTTCTCAAACTCGATAATACATTAGAATCACCTGGGAAGCTTAAACAAAATTCCTGATGCTGAGACTGTACCTAGACATTGTCTTAAACCCTTTTGGAGTTGGATCCAGGCATCAATAGCTTGTCAAGCTCCCCAGGTGATTCCAGTGTGCTCCCTGTGGCGTCTTACCTGGGCTATAACACATGGAAGGAAACTGGACACTATAAATTGCAAGAAGGAATTGGCCCCAATAGATCAATAATTTGGCTTGGTGCTTTAAAAATTTTTAAAAATGGATATTTTGAAAAAGTATCTTCAATAAATAATAGTTTAAAAACTCATACACTCTAAAAATAGAGTAAAAATGCTGTGCAAGTCAATTCTATTGCTTTGAATTCATTATTAAGTACAACCATTGTTTCACACCCAACTGAATTGAATTTCATGCCCTCATCAAGGTTCCTCCATTAGGAAGGTGAAGGCTTTCATAGCACAGGACAGGGGTGAACGTGCCACTCATATTGGAAGCCACCTTCTCAGATGCCACAGGTGCAGCAGGCTGAATCTTTTAATACCACTTCCACCCCTGGGAATTAAATTCATTCTCAGTAAAAAAGGATTCATAAATCCTGGTCCTGCCTTCCAAACAGTAGCATGATTTCGCCAGGGTGATAAATTGCTCCTATCAAAGCAGACATCGAGTCTCCCAGGGAAATAATGGGTTCCAGCAGAACAAAGTGTAACGTCTTAAGCGCTTACGAACGGGGACTAGAGGTGAAAAATCAAGTCTTGGGAAATCAGTGGCTGTATTTTTTTTTAAATCTCTTTCAACCTCTCTTTAATTGTAAGAGGTACAGAAGAGCAGATGAAATGGATAATGTGATTAGCTTTAAATGAAAAAAATCCATCATAAAATTGTCCCCCGGAGCATGTTTGTTGGAGAGGGTGGGACTGGGCTGGGTTGGGTGCTTGCTGGCAGGGCGTGTGTGGGGTTATCTTTTATGGTCTCCCTGGTGGGCTGTTGGCAGGTGGGGAAGTCAGCTGTCAGGGGAGGTGATTTGATCCCACCCTGAGATCCCTCCCGCTGACAGCCCTAATTACCTGCAATTCTCTCCTGAGGAGGGGTGAAGTCAGAGAGGCCCTGGGGGTGAAAATGAAAATGTTACCTGCACAGAAAAAAAACAAAAACATTAAACCATTTTCAGCTATTAGCAATGTATTTTATGTCATTCTCACAAATAACCAGCTGGCCTGGAAGGTGGCCTAGAAATAAATGAAAGAATGGAAGTCCATTCTGGCCACTTCTCCTTTCCTGCTTCTTTGCATGCACCTTTTCCTGCACAGACCTTAGGTTTTGCCAGATGAGGATGGTAGCCTCTTCCCCAAACTCCAAGTGTGTTTTCATTCCATGGCTGTTTGCTTGGTCTGGAACTGTTACCGGAAAGGGGTCCTGATCTAGACCCCAAGAGAGGGTTCTTGGATCCTATGCAAGAAATAATTTGGGGCAAGTCCACAGAGTAAAGTGAAAGCAGTTTATCAGAGAAGCAAAGAAATAAAAGAATGGAGTACCCTAGACAGAGTAGCCCTGAGGGCTGCTGGTTGGCGATTTTAATAGTTATTTCTTGATCATATGGGAAACAATGGATTGTTGGTGAGTTTTCCTGGAAAGTGGTGGGGATTTCCTGAAACTGAGGGTTCCTCTTCCCTTTGGACCATGTAGGGTAACTTCCAGACATTGCCATGGCATTTGTAAATGGTCATGGCACTGGTGGGAGTGTCTTTTAGCATGCGATGCTTTATAATGGCATATAATGAGCATTGAGGATGACTGTCTTGGTTTTGGTGGGTTTCGGCCAGCTTCTTTACCACATCCTGTTTTATCAGTGGGGTCTTTGTGACTTGTGTCTTGTGCCACCCTTCTGTCTCATCCTGTGACTTAGAATGCCTAACCTTCTGGGAATGCAGCCCAGCAGGTCTCAGCCTCACTTTACCCAGCCTGTATTCAAGATGGAGTCACTCTGGTTCAGACGCTTCTGACAGAACTCACTTGAACTCACCTTCTGGGACCTGATTTTGCTATTTCCTTCCTAGGAAGCTTTCTCAGATACCCCCAGGAGACTAACTGCTGCTTTCAGAGCTGTTTGCTTGTCTTCTAACGCTTATGGGAGCACAAGTGACTCATATTCATATGTGTATTCATTCAACAAATATTTACTGCCATCCTACCATGTGCCAGGCACTATGACACATATCTGGGATAAAAGGAGAGAACCAAGATCTAGTCCTTGGAGATGCCCAGATGACTGTGCCTTGAGTCTAATTCCAATTACATTGTGAGGCTGTGGGGACCCCTGGGCTCTGGGGGTCCTTCCCTGCAGGATCCAGTGGGGACAGCACTCCATTCTGGATGCTCTGGTTCTTCATCAGTAGAGTGATGAGGTTGGAGTAGATGGTACTTAAAGTGTCTTCCGGTTCTGAAATTCTGTGAACTGCGGTCACCTAAGGGAGGAATTAAAAAAAAAAATTATCTCTTAATTAGTAAAGTAAAATACTTTCTTTGTAGAAAGTTTTACATACAGAGAATCCAAAAGAAAAGAAAATCAGCATAATTCTACCACTCAGGAATAATCCCCATTAACCTTTTACTTTGATAATTTGTCTTTTATTTTGCATGTATTACTTGAACGAGCTCAAGAACAGCTACTTTTTTGTTTCCTGACTTGAATTCCCACAGGGATATTTCTTTCCCTCAGTCCATCTTCCCCTTCAACATGATTGTTATGGTTTAATATTACTGCTAGCCTTATTATAATCACTATTATCATTAAGTGGCATTTATCAAATATTGACAACAGACCAGGCACTATGTGGAGTGTTTTGTGTTCCTGAGACCTTTTAATTCCCCAGTGATCAGGTGAGCTAGGTGCTGTTGTTCCCATTTGACAGAGGAGGAATTTGAGCCTGACAGTGCTTAAGCAATTGGCTAAAGGTCATACCTTTGTAAGTGTCAGAGGTGTTTGAACCAGAGCAACTCCATCTTGAATAGGAGCTGGGTAAAATGTGGCTGAGACATACTGGGCTGCATTCCCAGAAGGTTAAGGCATTCTAAGTCACAGGATGAGATAGGAATTTGGCACAAGATACAGGTCACAAAGACCTTGCTGATAAAACAAGTTGCAGTAAAGAAGCTGGCCAAAACGCACCAAAACCAAGATGGTGATGAGAGTGATCTCTGGTCGTCCTCACTGCTACACTCCCACCAGCGCCATGACAGTTTACAAATGCCGTGGCAATGTCAGGAAGTTACCCTATCTGGTCCAAAAAGGGGAGGCATGAATAATCCACCCCTTGTTTAGCATATCATCAAGAAATAACCATAAAAATGGGCAACCAGCAGCCCTCGGGCTGCTCTGCCTATGGAGTTCCCTTACATATCCCACCCTTCTTTTATTCCTTTACTTTTTAAATAAACTTGCGTTTGCTTTACTTTATGGACTCGCCTCAAATTTTTTCTTACACGAGATCCCCCTCTCTTGGGGTCTGGATTGGGACCCCTTTCTGGCAACAGTTTTCCAGGCCATGGAGCCCAGATATCCTGAGTGGATGCACATCCTTCCCGTGTCTGAGCTCTCAGGCATCAGACCAGCCCCCTATGGCTGACCCTTTAGATTGTTCCCAGTGTCCCAGCATTATAAAAAATACTCTAATTGAAATCATTGCAGCTAGAAATTTGCACATGATCCATTCTTATTTTCTTTTTCTTTTTTTTTTTGAGACAGAGTTTTGCTCTTGTTGTCCAGGCTGGAGTGCAATGGCACGATCTCAGCTCACTGCAACTTCCACCTCCCGGTTTCAAGCAATTCTCCTGCCTCAGCCTCCTGAATAGCTGGGATTACAGGCATGTACCACCATGCCTGGCTAATTTTGTATTTTTAGTAGAGACAGGGTTTCTCCTTGTTGGTCAGGCTGGTCTCGAACTCCCGACCTCAGGTGATCAGCCCACCTCGGCCTCCCAAAGTGCTGGGATTACAGTAGTGAGCCACCGAGCCAGGCCGATCCATTATTTTCTTTAGATAAATCCTTAGTGGTAGAATTGCAAAGAGAAAGGTTGTGTTAACTTTTGAATATATGCTGCCAAACTCCTCCTTACCCAACAAGCAGAGGTTGTAACAATTTAGTGCCTCCAAAACCAGCAATGAGCAGCCAAGGGGAACTGATACAATGCTGAGGAAGAGAAGAAAAGATCAGATGCAGTGAAAGGAGACAGGGAGGCGGGGCGAGGAGGAGCCATCCCCAGTAGCAGCCCCCTGGCTGTTGTTCAGCACCAGGGATCCTTGATTTGCAGCAGGCTAAAGGGACATTACAGGTCATGGCTTTTACCCAGCTCTGTCATCTAAAGTTATTGACATTAAATAAATGCTCACTTTTCATTTGCTTCAAATTAAAAAAAAAATACATGCCTTTATTGTCTTTCTCTGCTAAGCCAAACCTGAGGCTTGTGCCAGCTCTTTCCATGTGGAAATGTTAGATGAAATTCCAGTGCCATCAAATGAGACCTTTATTCCTCCACCTGCACATTAGGACTCGAATAAACACGTTATCAGCTCGTGAAAATGATGGCAAACAGGTGACTGAAGGATTTGATAAGTCAGCAGCAAAGATTAACAGTTCTTTTCAGAGAAAGCTGTGAGAGGTTCCCCTATTTAAAACAATTGTGGCATGTGAATTTGCAGCACTTAAATCATTATCGGCAATTAGTCCTTGTCAAAAAGGTTGCAGCTGGCTTCAATTACAGGTAAGAATTTTATAATTTAAACTTAGTAGTATGTCTGATAAGTAGGACTTGGAGGAACACCCTCAGGGAGATTTGCAATTTGAGAAAAACTTAAAGACATTTCATAATTCAAAAATTCATTATTTTCAGCAATGCTTTGTTATTGACATCTATTAAGCTTCTAGAAAAAATTTCCATAAACTTCATGCTTCAGCTGTTTTCTTCCCTAACAGAAAAATTACTGATGATTAAAAATTGCTTTTTAAATTATAAAAACACTACATGCACACTATTAAAAAAAATCCAAGCAGCACAGAAGGATACAAAATAAGTCTCTTTCTAGACATCTCCCCATTCTTGGACACCCATGCCCCAAAGATAAGTACTTTTGCTTTCAATTGTTTTAGACATTATCATCATAACTTCATCTCAAATTATTTTTACCTTATTCTTGATCAATCAGCTTTGGAAAGTGTATATTAACTCCTCACTAGGAAAGATAAAGAGTGTAGGGCCCTTCCGTACTCTACCATCTCTCTTTCATATGTTGATTCTTGCTGATTATATTTATTGTGAAATCTATCTGTAAACTTTAAGTAATATGCTTCTCTATTTCTTGACCCTTCAGCTTTAGATCTGCACCATTCTAATAGTGGACATTATTGTTATTACCTATTACGACGGGTATCTCATTGTTTTAATTTGGAATTCCCTAGTGACGCGTGATGTTATATGCTTACTTACCAGCTGTATATCTTCTTTGGTGAAGTGTCCACATCTTTTATCTGTTTTTCAACTGGGCTGCTTGCTTTCTTGTTGAGTTTTAAGAGTTCTTTGTATATTTTGGATAACAGTCCTTTATCAGACATGTCTTTTGCAGATGTGTTTTTTCCCAAGACTGACTTGTCTTCTCATTGTCTTGACAGTATCTTTTGCAGAACAAGAGTTTTTAAAATTTTAATGAAGTCTACCTTATTAATTATTTCTTTAATGGATTGTACCTTTGGTGTTGTAGTTCCATCAACTGTAGATGTTATCTGTTGGTGAGAAAATTAGCATCCCTATACATCCTACCTCTCTTTCCTTTTTGGCTGGCTATGCCATTATTTTTACATCATTAAGATTTAAAATATGTGTATGTTTTACAGTAACTATAATTAAACTTTCTACGCTTCTAAAATCTATGATAAAAATAAAAAGTTAAAATATAGCATTTCTTTTATTATGATTATTTAAAAATTTTCACTGCAAAACAAAAGTACTTTTATGTCACTGAACAGTGCCATTTGAAGGATAATCTTCCAAGGGTCAAGATTAAATGTATTTTTACTTTACTTTTTTTTTTTTTTTGAGATGGAGTCTCACTCTGTCACCCAGGCTGGAGTGCAGTGGTGCGGTCTCAGCTCGCTGCAACCTCCGCCTCCCAGGTTCACGCCATTCTCCTGCCTCAGCCTCCCTAGTAACTGGGACTACAGACGCCCGCCACCACACCTGGATAATTTGTTTTTTATTTTTAGTAGAGAATGGGTTTCACCGTGTTAGCCAGGATGGTCTCCATCTCCTGACCTCATGATCCGCCCGCCTCGGCCTCCCAAAGTGCTGGAATTACAGGCGTGAACCACTGCGCCCGGCCGTATTTTTACTTTTCTTAAAACTACAACCATTCCTCAAAACTAGGCCACCTTTAAATCTGCTTCATATTTGGTCCATGCATGTTTTATGGAGCTATCTCCTCTACCCCCCACCTTGGTATTTCTTGCTTCCTGTTTGTTTGTTTGTTTTTTCTAACCACTGAGAGAAGAGACATACGCATCTTTTAGACTTTCCAGGTTCTTAATCAAATAATATATGTAATTGGATTCACTTCTGTCTTGAAGGCCTTTTTCTCCAATCCCTCCTACTTTCTCTTCTAGTTGGTCACTTGCTTTCTAGGCACAGGGTATAGCTGTCAATCTCAGATTTCTTATCATTGATCTCCTCCGTGGTTCACCATGAGTTAAATTGCATAGCATCGTTTTCCTTGAGCTTCTTCTTCATTTTGACAGAGTGTAACCCTCTCTGTGCCACATTTTCTCATCTGTAAAATTAGGATATTAATAATGCCATAGTGTTGATGTGAAGATTCAAGGAGTTTTAATACATGAAAAGTGCTAAGAAAAGTACCTGGTGAGTATTTACTGCTCTGTGATTTTTTTTTTTTTTTTCCCAGAAAGGGAAGTAAAACTTTCTGAGTCTTACAACTCTTAAAATATCTTTATTTTCCACTGCCCCACTTGATTGATAGTTTGGAATGTAATTTTAGTTTCAAAATAATTTTCCCTTATAATTTTTGAATGCTTTATTCCTTTGTCTTCTAATATTACATTCTACTGATAAATCTGAGGCCGAGTTACTTCTTATTCTTTATAGGTTTCTTTTTTCCTTCTAGAAGTATTTGCAGTTGTTATTTTAGCCTTGGGGTTCTGAAATGTTAACAGGACATATGTAGGTCTTTTTTAAACGCCCTTTAACTCATCCTTCCTGGCACTTTGTTATCTGCTTCTGGAGATAGATTAGGTGATATTGAACCTTCTGGGTTTAGCTTCTCTACATTTTCATTTTCCTTTCATATTTTCTTTCTCTCTGTCTTTTGCAGCTTGTGCTGTTGGTCTTTAGTAACTTGGTCTTTAGCTGTGTTCAAATTTTAATTAACCTGTATACTGAATGTTTAATATTCACAAATAGATTCTAAATTGCCAAGGTACTTTCTTGTTCTCTGCTTCCTCCTTTCCCCAAGCAGTGAGTTCTTTGGGGATGGCTATAACAGCATAGCCAGTCTCTCTGACCATGCCAGTTACATCTTTTTAAAGTTGTTTTCTGTCCAATAATTATTCCTCTTTTCACCAGGGTCAGTTGTCCTGTTTCTTTATCTAGACTTCTAACAATTTATTTACTTATTTTCTTCAAATACCTGATGGTTTTGGGTTGAATCTATGAATGAAGAACTATGTTGGTGAGCAAAGGGAGTTGATGTGGTTTCCTTTGCAAATGTGTGGGTCTCTAAAGCAGAACTGTCTCCCGCTGGCTGGAGGGCTGCCTGCAGGCTCCATGCACGTGGGCAGTTCTTGGGGACAGATGTGCTTCCCCAAAGGTGCTAGAGCAGAGAGCAGGCAGGTGTGGGACCTCCCACAATTGCCACTTTTCCCAAATTATCCCAATTCCTCAGAGTGTAAAAACATATCAAGTAAAATAAGGGTAATTTCTTTAGTTGTCTTGTAATGAAAATGCACGTATTAACTGAATTTTATCCTCTTTTATCATTGAGGGGAGAAGGCAGCAAAGCACCCCAATACGAAGAGATGAATGATAATCAAGGAATGAGTGAATTTGTCCAGTCGCGTAAACATTGACAGAGACAAAGCAGCATCACACTTCTTCATTCACGATTGCAAGTCCTGTGGGTCGTTAACTTTTTTGTTGTTATTGATGTTGATGGTGTGATAGGCTGGGCCATTCCCACAACAGCATTGCTTGTTTCGGACTCTTATTAGCTTGATCAATGCGATCGCCTCTTCCTACTGATCCTCCGTGCCAGCGTCTCCTCACTGTGTTCTGAGGCTCCTGTAATCTCTCCCCATGTCAACCACTGCCTCTGTGCTGACAATTCTCCATCTCTAACCTCGATTTCTAGGTGGCCTACCTGGTTGGGTGGTCCAGACTTCCACGCCTGAGAGCCCGAGCCCTTGGTCGTCACGTCCTCCTTTGGCTTTGGCTGCTGCTCTTGTCCATTCACCATCAAATATGGATGAAAGAGTCCAAGGCGACACCTTGATGGATCTCCTGAGTGCCGAATGGAGTCAGTAGCTTCATTGTGCAGTAGCTTCATCCTCCTGAGAATCCCCCTGCGATTCCCCAGGTTGGCAGTTCCTTTCCTTGCCTACTGGATGCTTGCTGCAAGGGGCCCAAAGTGCAGACATGGGCCCCTTTTGGGAGCACAGATTCCTGGAGTGGGAGTAATGGTGTGGTCACACCTGCATCCAGCCCATTGTTTCGGAATCCACGTGTTCTACCTGCTGGGGACACAGTACTATTTGATGATCATTGATTTTGCCGTGTGCCATCTTTGCAGTGGATCAGCTCCAAGCTGGTGTTTCAGCTACGTTTTTTTTTTTTTTTTTTAGATGGAGTCTCACTCTGTCACCCAGGCTGGAGTGCAGTGGCGCAATCTCAGCTCACTGCAACCTCTGCCTCCTGTGTTGAAGCAGTTCTCTTGCTTCAGCCTCCCAAGCAGCTGGGATTACAGGTATGCACCACCATGCCTGGCTTTTTTTTTTGTATTTTTTAGTGGAGATGGAGTTTCACCATGTATTTTGTATTTTTTAGTAGAGATGGAGTTTCACCATGTTGGCCAGGCTGGTCTTGAACTCCTGACCACGAGTGATCTGCCCACCTCCACCTCCCAAAGTGCTGGCATTACAGGTGTGAGCCACTGTGCCCAGCCTCAGCTACATCTTTCAAAGACAGTTCCATGGTTTTATCAGGCCAGCAGCTTTCTGGATGGTGGTAGGACCCAAAAGGATGGCCACGGATTTCATGATCCCATGCTGTGCCACCTCTGTTGCAAGGTCGGACACTTGGTCTGATGCAATGTTTTGTGGGATCATGTGCTGGCAAATCAAACATGCCATGGGCCCTTGGGCATTGGAGCTGGCTGAAGCCCTTGGGCAGGAAAGGTCAGGCTGTAAGTGAATGATGATTTGATTCTAGTCAACAAATTGCCTGTTGTGTCAGCACCATGGTGGCAGTGATAGGGGCTGGCAGCAGCTGGCCAGTTGCACACTTGGATGCTTAGTTCTTCCCAGTGGTGCTTGCGCTCTGGCGGGTGTGAACACGCTCTGCACCCATGCCCAGCACCCATGATGTGCTGCTCCCATGAGCTCGCTTCAATCTTCTGATCTTGCTTTCTTCTCCCAAGCAGCCTGCCAGGTGTCCCACATGAACGCAGCCTGTTCTGGTTCTCCTTCCTGATAAGAGTGGAAAAGAATGCATTCACCCGGTATGGGCTGCATTCCTGGGCCACAGGCCACCAAGCTCACCTGCACCAGGAAAGCTGCTCCCCACCAGTTACAAACAGCAACTGCCTGATCGAGTTGCAGATGTCCATTGTCATCCTCTAGGGTCTGTCGGGATTTTCTAGGGCCAGACGTGAATTAAATAGGGGTGTGCTGGGTGCAGCCCTCGCATCCTCTAGGTGTTTAATCTCTGGCATTTCCTCTGGGATGTGATATTATTTTTGATTTCCTGCATTGATGTGTGTGTCTGGGAGTGGGGGGCCTCCACTTGAACTTCCCCATGGTGGTAGTTCCTACCACCGACTCCTAGGAACTAATGTGGCAGTTTTACCAATTTCAAAAGTCAGTTTGAATTCTACATTTGGAGGCTGGGGAAAGGGCTCCTGGTTGGGTCTATGGACCCAGGGGAGTCACTGTGAGCTGGGTTTGGTTACCTCTTCCTTCAAAACCGGCCCCTGCACACCTCCACTCTAACAGAGGGTTCAGGACCAGGCCTAGGTCCCTAGGTACCAGTGTCGCCTCAGATCCTGTGCCCAGTGGTCCTCACATGGCATGTGTCTCTTTGTGGACGATCTGGGGGAGAATGTTTGTACAGACACTGCTGTGATGGGGGAGAATGTTTGTATAGACACTGCTGTGATGTTGGAGGGTCCTTCCTCCCGGGGCTCACCCTCTCCCTCAGTCAGTGGGTTCCAGGTCTGAAAATGAGCTCAGCTCCAGGGCTGAAATGTAGCTTTCTATTGGTCATTTTCCTGAAGCCTCTTGACTAGTTTCCCTTGAGAAAAGCTTTTGCTAAGGGTGTGTGGATTGAGAGGTGCCCTTTTCTCCTGCTATATATCTACCCTTTGCAGATGGGGTCAGGTGCTCCAGCTGCCACTCTGGGCTTGATGCCCTGTGTCACTGTGCCTACCTTGCTCCCTGCCAAATGACACACTAGCTTCTGTTGTTGTGGGATTCCATTGGCCTCCTTTGCATTCAAGAGTCCAATTCTGTAACAACAGCATAGCCGCCCCGCTTGTTTCCGCAGGCTCCCTCTCAGCAGTGCGTTCTTTATCTAGCTGGTAACTGGCATGTTCTCTGGTTGAAGGGCGTGGCTGGCTTTCCGAGCTGATGTGCTGGACCTGCTCTAGAGGGCATACTCCTCTGAGCCTTTCTGTCCCTTCCTTCATGGGCAGGAGGGCGGCCCAGGCATTTCTGCTTAACTTAGTATGGACCTTTGCTTCCTTCAGGCTCCTAGGAGCCCTCCTAGAGCACGTTAGCACTGCTTAGGGGCCTTGCCAGAGTTTACAACCCTGGATCATGGAAGGGCAGGCCCACACTGATAAACTCTCCCTATTCCAAGCTTAGGTTCTGACCGTCTTAGTCTTGTACCCTCAGAACCCAGCCCCACACATTCTCCTGGTTTCTGCCCATGCCTCTCCATGAGGTCTTGCAGCTTCTCTGGGGGCCTTTCTTCCTGTAGCAGGCACTTCCTGCACTTCCCCATCTATGTACTGCTGTGACCTGAACCTCATGATCAGCCCGGTTAGCGGGAGGGGAAGTGGGGGCAGAGGCCCAGGGGTGCATGCATCAGGGAGATGCCCACATTGTCTTGTGGGGCAGAGCTTCTGCAGCAGGGGTCCCCAGTCTTTCTGGCACCAGGAACTGGTTTTGTGGAAGACAGTTTTTCCATAGACTGGGGGTGGGGGGTGGTTTCAGGATGACTCAAGCACATTACCTTTATTGTACAATTTATTTCTATTATTATTACATTGTAATATATAATAAAATAATTATGCAACTCACCATCGTGTAGAATAAGTGGGAGCCCTGAGCTTGTTTTCCTGCAACTAGATGGTCCCATCTGGGGGTGATGGGAGACAGTGACAGATCATCAGGCATTAGATTCTCATAAGGAGCATGTGACCTAGATCCTTTGCCTGTGCGGCTCACAACAGAGTTCGTGCTCCTATGAGAACCTAATGCTGCTGCTGATCTGGCAGGAGGCGGAGCTCAGGTGGTGATGCTCACTTGCCCGCTGCTCACCTCCTGCTATGTGGCCTGGTTCCTAACAGGCCATGGATGGATACTGGTTCATGGTCCAGGGGTTGGGGACCCCTGCCTTGCAGCATTTTTCAAGTGGGGGGAGCACTAGCCTTTAACAAGGAGGAGAGAGACCCTTCTGCAAGGCCAGAGTGTTCTCACAGTTGTTGGGGGGATGTTGACCCGGATGTCCCCATCCCAAATATTAGAGTCCCACTCCTTTACAACCAGGTCCTCAGCTGGCATGGCAGACTTGTCAGGGCTGAAAGTTCAGCCATCTCTGGAGCTCTTCTGCCCTTGTAATTCAAGCCTAAGCCAGCTCTTCAGCTTTTCCTGCCATCTGGCTGAAGGAGATGTGAGCCTACCTACTTATATGCTGCCAGGAAGGTTTTCTGACTCACACGCTTCACCTGAGGTTGGTGATTAATAACTCTCAGGCTTTCATTGTCTTTCTCCAATAAATGATGCCACTTAGCAACGGCCATTCAATTCCATTATCCTTGTGATGACCACTTCCCCAGAACCTCTCCAGAGTCTTAGGCATTATACTCGTGGTGTCTGTCCAGTTCCCCACTGGTGGAAGCTCTCACAGTTGCACACCACAGCCTGATGGGAGCCTCTGGTATTCCACCTGCCATGGTGTTGGGCCTTATTGCCAGCTGTGCATGTTTGGGGGGTGAATGCTGTGCTCTCCAATGCCAAATTCTCTCTCGATGGCTATTTATAGATGCTCTGTAATGGATCAGGCACTCTGGGAATGTGATGGGGATGCCATCCTTCACTTCTCAGTTGAATGAACAGCACATGATGCACGTGCGTTCTCTCTGCATTGATATTAATCCATGTCTGTGCGTGTATACGGAGGTCAGGGCAGACACCTGTCAGTGCCGGAGATGGTAATCCCACTGGGAGTGACCAGGGCTCTGAGAAAGACCTAGGAGCCTTCACAGTCCAGAAGAGAGGAGAAACTTAGGCCGAAAATCGACTCATTTTAAAAGGCAGAAGTGGATAAAGACTTACTTCAATGAAGATAGAGAAAGACAAGATTTGAAGATCTGGTGAATCAATAGCCTTTTTGTTGCATAGAAATTTATATTTTTTCAAGATTTCTAGAAAACATACAATAAATCCTTTAATACTCACCATCAAGCTAATAAAGCTACACTATTCGGTATCACTTTGCCCTGGAAAAGACCTTGGAATAACTTCTTGAGGGGTTTACCATGACACCCCCAAACCTGTCTGTTCTACCATCCCATTCCACTTCATTTCTTCCTGCCTCCTTCCTTTCCTCCCTCCCTTATTTGCCTCTTGCCTCCCACCCTCCCTTCCTTATACATTCATTGAGGGCCCACCCCAGCCCAGGTGCGGCTCTGGTTTGGGGATCACAAAACTGCAATGGTCTGTTTGGTCCTTTCCCAGTGACCTCGTCAGTGAGAGGATGGCTTCTGAGAACTTGAGATTTCCAGGCCCCATTCGGCCATGTTCCTTCTCTGATGCATTTGGGTCTCTTTAGATGAGTTTCTCTGCTTCTATAATGGATGAAATAATACATTACATCAATTTCAGGAGCATTAGTTAGTATTTATAAAGTGTGTTGAACAAGCAAAGTATTCACCAAATGTGAATTTAGATTCGAACACGTTTTCTTGAGTTTCAGTGATTTCTAGCATGTTGCCTGGCAAGGCATCTTAGTTATGAAATGTTACCACCTGCATATATTTTGCATACATTTCCTCATATTAAAAAAATCTCATTATGGAAAACTCATAGTTTAGAGTTATCCTTTACACAGGAAATCACAGAGAAGCATGCAGGCCTGGCGGCTGTTTTTTAATGCAAAAGTCGATGCATATAGTAATTAATCTTTTGTTTACTGAAACTTTCACATTCAAAATGTTTAATTTTCACATCCAAACTCCCTGCTCTTTTGTGCATTGAATGGTGGTACTGTATTTCTAATTACTCAGCTTAAATGCAACTTCTGAATACTACTTTTCTCTTCACTTCCTCTTCTAACAAAGTGCTCATGAAAAGGCAAATTTTTATTTCCACTGGTTTTGACTTCCATTATGTGGGGTGGTCTCTGTTTAGTTCTCTGCTCTCTTTTCAACCTCTTCTCTATGTCTGGACAGCTACGGGGTGGAGACAGTCCACTCAAGATTTCTACCAGCAAGGATTCGCCTTTATAACCAATCCTTTCATGCCAGATTTCTAAAAAAATAATAATAAAAATAATTTACAAAAAGCCTCTCTTGGGAGCAGCTGTCAGGCCACACAACTTATAATTACAGGGGGAATATCTGAAGCTTTCGCTGCACTTCCACGTGGTTCCTGGGGATTTCTTCTTGGTCATGTTGCTTTAATTAAGTGTGGTCATCCCAGCAATCTTGCATTAACATTCTTGAGAAAGTAATGAAATAAACCAGGCATGGATGGGGTTGCCTGACTCAAGTGTTTGGCCCATAGAAGGAAGGGATGATAGTTTCTGCATCTTTAAATTGCTAGGGTTTTGCATATGTGTGGGGTTCTGTTGTGAACTGGAGAAACAAAAGAACGAGTGATTAAAAGAATGGATGAGTGGATAGAGGTGTGCAGTAGACATTGTTTGCATTAACTCCTCATCATAGCTGTACAGATGCAGGTGTTTGTGTTTCTTGACCACCCCGCCCAGCACTTCCTCCATTAGGTTAGAATTTTATTAAAATCTGGACCTTCCTTCCTCCCTTCCCTTCCTCCTTTCTTTTTTGCTATCTCCTTTTCTTCTTCCTCTTCTCCTCCTCCCTCTTCTTCCTTGGATCAGGTTTTCTGTGAGCCATCAGCTTTACAGCTCCATGAAGAACTCTCTTCTCTCATTAACTATGTTTTCCACCCTTACCTTTATATAATATCCCAAAGCAGGGCCAACATATCCAGGGGCTCAATGCCTCAGGCCTGCACACTTTCAGGGACCTATGAAATGTGTTAATGCTTGTGTTTTGAATCAGAAGATTAAAAAAAGGAAACAACAGATGCTGGAGAGGATGTGGAGAAATAAGAACGCTTTTACACTGTCGGTGGGAGTATAAATAAGTTCAACCATTGTGGAAGACAGTGTGGCGATTCCTCAAGGATCTAGAACCAGAAATGCCATTTGACTCAGCTATCCCATTACTGGGTATATACCCAAAGCATTATAAATCATTCTACTATAAAGACACATGCACACGTATGTTTATTGCAGCACTGTTCACAATAGCAAAGACTTGGAATCAGCCCAAATGCCCATCAATCATAGACTGGAGAAAGAAAATGTGGCACATACACCATGGAATACTATGCAGCTATAAAAAAGGATGAGTTCGTGTCCTTTGCAGGGACATGGATGAAGCTGGAAACCATCATTCTCAGCAAACTAACACAAGAACATAAAAGCAAACATCGCATGTTCTCACTTCTAAGTGGGAGTTGAACAGTGAGAACACGTGGACACAGGGAGGGGAACATCACACACTGGAGCCTGTTGGGGGGTTGGGGGTTAGGGGAGGGATAGCATTAGGAGAAATACCTAATATAGATGACAGGTTGATGGGTGCAGCAAACCACCATGGCACGTGTATACCTATGTAACAAACCTGCACGTTCTGCACAGGTATCCCAGAACTTAAAGTATAATAAAAAAAATTTTAAAAAGGAAACGTTAAAGAAAATATCTTACTATATAGTATTAACATATTTCTCTTTATACCAAGACATAGTAAACTAATTTTTAATATTATTTTACATAGGAAGGGACTCCTGGAGGCAAAGGTGCCTAGAGTCCACCAAAGCCATAATGAGACCATGTCCTGAGGCTTCATGTATTTTGATGCAGCCAGTGGGGCTCAACTGTGGCTGGACAGTAAAGTCACCTGGGGAGCTTTTGAATAAAGCCCAGGCTCACACCATTCTTTGGGATTCTGAATGAATATGTCTGGGGTGGGGCTGGGGCACTGGTTATTTAAAGCTCCTTAGGTTATTTGAATGTGTGGTCAGGACTAGAAACTAGTGCTCTAGATGCTTCTCTGACTCCATCTTGTGCACCAGTCACCTGGGAGCTTGCTGAAATGCAGTCCCTGATTCGTTGGCCTGGGGGAAATGGCCAAGACCCTGCACTTCTGACAAGCTTCTCGCTATGGTTAAGGCAAAGCTGCTGCTTCCTGGCCCACCCTTCTGCGGCAGGGGTCTGGAGTATGGGATCTGCACGCAGCGTGCAGGCTCTGGAGCCTGAAGGAACGTAGCAGCTGCTATTTATTGACCACCCACTATTTCCTAGTCACTAACTATGCTTTGCACACCGTTTCTCATGTCACAACCACCTCGTGAGGGAGGTAGCCTTGTCTCTATTTTACAGGTGAAATAATTGAGGTCCAGAGAAGTTAAGATGGGAGCCTAAGAATCCCCGTAAATGAAGTGGTGGTGCTGGGACTCAAATGAGGCCTGAGAAACTCCAAGTCCATGATCTTCCCCAGTACCAAGCCACCCCCAACAGCTGGAGTAGTCTTCCTTCCAGAGGGCAGTACTTACAGAGGCCTTCCTTACAGAGGGCAGTACTTACAGAGAGGCCTTCCTTCCAGAGGGCAGTACTTACAGAGGCCTTCCTTCCAGAGGGCAGTACTTACAGAGGCCTTCCTTCCAGAGGGCAGTACTGCACACCTGCACCTGAGAGGTCAGGGCATTCCTGCCCATGGCTCAAAAGAAAAAAGAAGCACAGCTTAAAAAGAGTGAAAACAGGCCAGGCACGGTGGCTCACGCCTGTAATCCCTGGCCTTTGGGAGGCCGAGGTGGGAGGATCACTTGAGCTCAGGAGTTTGAAACCAGCCTGGCCAACATGATGAAACCCCATCTCTACTAAAACTACAAAAAAATTTAGCTGGGAGTGGTGGCGCATGCCTGTGATCTCAGCTACTCTGGAAGCTGAGGCAGGAAAATTGCTTGAACCTGGGAAGTGGAGGCTGCAGTGAGCCCGTATCCCGCCACTGTACTCCAGCCTGGGCGACAGAGCAAGACTCTGTCAAAAAAAAAAAAAAAAAAAAAAAAGAAGTGAAAACATAAAAGTTAAAAGTGAAAGCAAAAGTGCATAGTTATATTACTTTTGATTTCTCCTAATTCCAGCCTCTCTTGCATCCAAATGTTCGATTAATCTCCCTTACATTGCTCTAATAGCATCTTTCCCCTGCGCAAGAGGAGTCTCTATGCTGATCACATCCTGGCTAAAGTCTGACCAGTGATCAAGGACCTGCACTATCTGGCTTTACCGCCATGTAAACTCACCCACATTCACTCACTCACTCAGTGAACATTTGTTAAGTATCTACCTTGATAGAAGACTCCTCCATGTTGGAACTCTTGTGTTGTTGAAGGAGCCAGTGATGTTTGGATGAGCAATAAAGACACATAACTTATGTATTATCGTATATTCATTCCACGTGAAACTTAATTTTCTTGTCATCATTTTAGCAACATAACAAATTATATTGTTATACTTAAGATTTCCACAGAATTTGGGTTCTGGTAACAGTAAAGATCTAAAGGATTAAAATATCAAATACAATTGTATTCAAGATATACAAAATTTGAATACATTTTCATTAAAATATAAATTTAAAAATATTTTAATTCAAGACATTAAAGTTATTTCTTTTCCATGTATGTTTTCAAAAAGTTATTTTTCTTTCAAATTGTTTAACATAATTTGCTCAAAAGTATACGTTATAATTAATACATTTCAACGATTAACATCAAATTATAATAATACAGGTGAAGTTTTTAGTTACTTTTGAAAAATAAATACCTTATTACAGTTTTAATAGCAACTCCTTGCAATTCTAGTGTTCAATAGTCCTTTGGTTGCCCATGTAAAAGATTAGTGTCATGTTATATGCATATGATGTCTATATCCACCTATCTATGAATGTGACAGTAGTATGAATCATTTAATGTTGCAGAATGTTCCTCAGTCACCATCTGCTGCAGACACCATACCGATTTGTGTATATCTCTGGAACCATGAACTGGAACATGAGTAGAAGCAAGGACAGGACAGTTGGCACCTCTAGGGATCTACGGTAGAGCTGCCCTCTGAGAGGGAGGATTGGAGAGAGGCATCCCTCTGTCTTTCCTCTCATCTAATTGTTTCCACTGTTCATCTTTTGCAGTGCTCCTAAGTGGCATCTGTATCCAGCCTTCAGACTTTCATGGCCATTGGGTACAGTCTTCTTTTGTTTCAAGGACACAAGTCTAATTGTGTGAAGAAGCCTCCCCGGGCCTGAATGGCATTAGTCATGAGAGCAGAGGATTGAGGATGACCTATTAAATTTCCTTTAAAAAATTACTCTTAAATTACCCAAATTGGGTGGCTTAAAGCAACAGGTATTTCTTTGCTCTCAGTTCTGGAAGGCCACAGTCTGAAATCACTTTCACTGGGCTGAAGTCAAGGTGTTGGCAGGGCCACACTCTCTCAAGATGCTCCAGGGGAACTCTGTTCCTTGACTCTTGCAGCTTCCGGAGGCTGCATTCCTTGGCTCCTAGCCACACCACTCCAATCTTTCCTCCATGGTTGCATTGCTTCCTCCCCTCCCCTGTGTGTCAAATCTTGCTCTGCCTCTCTCATAAGGATACTTGTGATGATGGCATTTCAGGCCCACCCTGATAATCTAGGATAATGACCCCATCTTAAAATCCTTACCTTAATTGCATTTGCAAAGTCCCATCTAAGGTAACATTTACAGGTTCTGGGAATTGGGATGTACATATTTTTTAGGGGGGGCATTATTCAGCCAACCACAGATGAACCACACTGTGTCAGTGCTGAGTACCAATCATGAATGACAAGGCATTTCCATGTATGTTCTTTATATGTAAATTTGTTTGCACTTGTGACATGTTGTTCCCTAATGCATGGGCCTAGGCAGGGGCTCCTCTTCTTCTCTTGCGTGTCTCGTGGGCAGTACTGGCTAAATGGGTCACTTTATGGTGAGTGCGTAAAACAATGGCACACGGTAGGAGCTGAATGAGTGCTAGCTCTGACAACTGTGACTGTGTAATGTGGTCTGGGCCCAGCTGTTGATGGACGGTCTCAGGCAGAGGGCCTTGCCAGGTATCTCTCCTTTAGCTGCTTTCAGCCCCATCTTGGGACCACAGGTTACGTGGCTCTGCTTTCTTAAATACCTCGGGGTCTTTGGGAACTGGGAAACTACCAAAGCTTTTCCACCTCTTATGGGAGACTCCTAGGCCCACGCCCAGAAGCCCCAGAAGGCTGTCCTGGGCCCAACTGCCTGGACATGCATCTCCCCTAGGGCTCTGGGCTCCTACTGCTCACTGGGACCCCCTGGAGGCAAACCCAGGTCCTCCTGATGCTCAGATCTTCTGGAAACACCTCCAGCGTCTGCTTCCAGTTGTCTGGACCCTCTGGCTTCCCCTCTGGTTCTCTTCTTTCTTGCCCTGTCTGAGAATCTTTGTCTAGTCCCAAGCTACTTTTATGTCTGCTCTCTGAAACTATTATCTCTTCTATAAAGTCCAAAAGTGTATTTTCATTTTTAAAAGTCCAGTAATTAGCTCTTTTCTTTCCTTCTGCATTACTAAGGCAGTGCTCCCTCTAAGGCCAGGGCTGCGTCCATGTCTGGCTACTCAAAACAAGTCAGGGCCATGAGAAATTTGGAGAAAGCCCCATTGGTCAAACTGGGGGATTGATGGAGAGAAACTGTGCCCTTCCGTCATCACAGTCATGGGCTTGACTTCTGTGTCCCACTGCGGCCTGGCCTTTTCCCACGTACTGGATCTCACCTTCTCCCACTAAGCTTCCATGCCACTCCACTCAGCCCAGCCAAGCTGCTTATAGTAGTTTGAGTGGGGTCTTCTGTTACCTCTGCTTGGAAGGCCCATCTTCCAACCACTTGCTTTCTACCCCCAAAGAACTAGCTTTAGCTTCTTTGCTTCTGCAAAATAATTGATCTTACTTCCCTTTGAACCACCCCTGTATATGTCAGAACCAAGCAGAAAATGTAAGAAAAAATATCTATGTTACAAAAGAAACAAAAGTATAACAAATTTGGAGCAAATATAACAAAATGATATAACATCTTCATGGGGAAAATGATAAAAGCCCACCTGGAAGGACAAGAATGGAGGGAGACATACGGCATTGGTGGATTGAAAGACTTATTTTTGTAAAGCTGTTGGTCTTTCCAAATAACCTGTAATTCACATGCAATTTAAATCCAAGTCATTGTAATTCCTTTATTCGTACGTCCAAATGAAATTATAAAAAATGTGTATAGTAGAATAAAGGCAAGAATAGCCAAGACGATTATAAAGGAAAAGGATAAGAGAGATTTTTCTCTATCAGACATCAAGACATGTTATAAAGCAATAGGAATGGAAGCAGGATGAGCCAGCACAGGGGTGGCCAGGCAGGTGGAGGAAGAGCACACAAGAGACACATGTGGGAGTTTGTGATGTGAAAGGGAAGCTTGGGAGATGAGTGCAGTGGCATGGACTATTAATAAATAATGTTGCTATCACTGTCTTTGCTTATGGACAAAATAGATCACCATTAACTCAGACCACATACAAAACAGACATCCCAGGAGGACTCAGTGTCTAAATTTGAAAAATAAAAAATGTAAAATTACAGAAGAAGATACAGAGGGAACTTTCAGAAACGAGACGCGATTAGCCAATATCAATATTTAAACTCTCTCCATGATCAACGACTCTATAAAAATGTTAATTTTTAACCAATATCAAAAGTTTAGGACTTAACGTATGTAAAGAACTACAAGTGAAAAAGAAAAAATGCAGTGGAAAATGGGTAAAGGATATGAAGTCATCTCATGGATGAGAAACACACAGCTGCTAGTAAACATACACATAAATGTTCACTTTTACTTGTATATCTAAATTGCATATGAAATCAAGATACCAAAACTTAAAGTCATGAGGGAAGTTGGCAAACATTTAAAGTATGATTGTGTCAAGTTTTTGCACAAATACGGGCATTACACGTTGTTGGAGGAGGTTTAAATTTGCAGAGCTACTTGGGAGAGCAATTTGACAATATCTGGTAAAACTAAAAACATGCAGGCCCAGCTACTCTGCAATATCATTTCTAGGCATACAGTTTAGAAGAACATTCCAACAAATGCATACAAACTCATGGACAAAGATGTTAATTGTAGCCTTGTTTCTAATAGCAAAATATTTGAAATAGCCTACATGTCCTTTAATAGAGAACTGGATAGATGACGTGTGGTATTTTCATAAGATGGAATACTGCACAGTATTAAAAGGACAGAAATAGATCTGTATACGTCAACATGAATAGATACTCAGAACTATAGTGATAAGTGAAAAAACAAGTTGAATAGAACTTTGAGTGTGATATTCATGCAAATTAAGCACACACAAAACAATGCATACATAGATGGATTCATATATATGCATGTGAACATAAAAAGGTTAGGAGGGAGGTTGTTTCAGAAAAGAAGGTGAGGCAGATAAGCTCGATAGTCCTGGAACTGGTTGAAAAGTCACTTCTGCTTTTTTTTTTTTTTGAGACGGAGTCTCACTCTGTCACCCAGGCTGGAGTGCAGTGGCGCGATCTCGGCTGACTGCAAGCTCCGCCTTGCAGGTTCACACCATTCTCCCGCCTCAGCCTCCCGAGTAGCTGGGACTACAGGCACCCACCACCATGCCCGGCTAATTTTTTGAACTTTTCGTAGAGACGGGGTTTCATCGTGTTAGCCAGGATGGTCTCGATCTCCTGACCTCGTGATCTGCCTGCCTCGGCCTCCCAAAGTGCTGGGATTACAGGCATGAGCCACCATGCCTGGCACACTTCTGCTTTATGTGTGATTAGTTCTCTACCCTTATCTGTTTTTCTCCCTCCTTCCTTCTTTCCTTACTTCCCTTCTCTCTCTTTCTTCTTCTTCCTCCTCCTACTTTAATAGATACTATATCCATATTACTTCTGTAATTCAAAATGTGTATACATAAAAAGATTTGATGCAAATTAGAGAAAATGTTAATAAGGTCATCCCTTGGTATCCATGGAGGATTAGTTCCAGGATCCCACAAGATACCAAAATCCTCAGATGCTCAAGTCCCCGATATAAAACTCTGTAGTATTTGCATATAACCTACACATGTCCTCCCCTCTACTTTAAATAATCTCTAAATTACTTATAATACCAAATACAATCTAAATGCTGTGTAACTAGTTCTTATACTGTATTGTTTAGGGAATAATGACGGGAAAAAAGTGTACATATTTAGTGCAGATGCAACCATCGTAGTTCTAACTACATTTTTGATCTTGGGTTAATTAAATCTGTGAAGATTTGGGAACCCGTGGGTAGGGAGGGCCAATTGTAATTGTTAATTCTGGATGTTGAGAATATGAGTGTCTGTTCTATTACTCCTTGTACTTTTTAGTATTTTAAACTTTCCTAAAAATAAGTAATATATACTCGTAAAAATTCAGAAAGTTAAAAATATACATAAAGGATCCCTTGAGAAAATGGGACAGTATCTTGGAATTTCGTTGACCTGGAGTCCCCATTCCTGAGTTTCCATTCTGCTCACTGCTGTCCTCTAAATTAGTGTGGACAGCTGCCCTGAAGTGAGGTACAATTGTTCCTCTCGGTGACTCTGTGCCATCCAAAGTGCATGGCTCACTATCATCTGCCATAAGCTGCTCTGCCCAAGGGCGACCACAGCCCCTGAGAATTAATCCATCCTGCCTCCAACAGATGTCACACGCCCAGATGTCCATGTGATTCAACCGGTTTCTGTCAAATCCCTACCACATGCCAGGCACCCAGCTGGAAACAGCAGTCCAAAGATAAGTGAGACTTGGTCCCTGCCCTCAATAAGCTCACTGTCTGGGGTAGCATTTCTTGGACTGGAGTAATGTAGCAACTCCTTTGAAAAGGGGGAAAAAAAAACCAGTCCCCTGGTGTTGTTTTAAATATGTTCTATTTGTGCAAAAACACAACTAGGAGTCAACCTCTGTGTGTAGTCCTATACGTCTACAAAACTAGAGAGTTTTTCTAATGAAGTATGCACCAAACCCAAACCCACTGCCGCTGGAGTTTACGATGATGCTTTGTTGACCCGGCTGTGTCCTGGTGCTGGTGGCCAGGCCAGGCCCGGTGAAACCAGCCTCGTAATCTGCCCTGTCTCTGGAGACTCACTTCTCCCACCAGAGTCCTCCATGTGAACTTCTGTGAAGCTTTCATTCACACTGTGCTTTGCGAGGCCATCTGACCTTTTGCTTGGCTCAACTTCACTCTTTGTGTATCAAGTCGCCTCTATTCTTTTCTCCTAGCCTGCATCCATTAAAGCAGAATTCCACGGTGCCAACACCCCCATAAGCACAGACGCAAACACAGGCACTAAGACGGAGGTTTGTGAGGAAGTGAACTAGGCGGTGCAAGATAGGCATAGAGCAGCGTTTCCTCTAAGATGCTTATCACGAGGAAAATAGTCAACTTTTAACTTTCCAAGGAAGAGCTGCAGATTTGAGAATACTTCCTGGGATCTGAGTTTGAGAAACACCAATCTAGTGACTCTATCTCACATTCTCTGAGTCGATTCCCGTTTCCAACACTCTGCTTCCTTGTCCATGTGCTTGCTATGTGACACGTCTCAGAGGGTTTCGAGAACTGCAGCCCAGACCTGGGTTCTGAGCACCCATCTCGAGTCACCTGTGCTGTGCCTTGGCCTGCGTTCTTCCCTTCATGTGAGTGCTTCTATCCACGTGGGGCTACTGAAATTGCCTCATTCTTCAGGAGGACCATCTCAGATTTGACTTCTTCCATGGAGTCCTCCTAACTGTCCTCGTTCTTCTTTATCCTGGTAATGGCCTCGAATGGCTTCTTGGGGCCCGTCCATCTCAGTCACTGTGTTAACCTCCCCCCCCGGGGACTTGCTCGGAATCCCCTGCACCCCACTGTGCCTGGCAGAGTGTTCTCAACACACTGGTTGCTCCGCACATCTTTGGCGTTAAGTTGGATTTGGGAGACTCTCCTGCATCATGGATGCACCATGGAGCCTGTGAATGCTGTTGTGGGACAGGTGTTGGGGTGGCGGGACAGGTGTTGGGGTGGCGGGACAGGTGTTGGTGTGGCAGGACAGGTGTTGGTGTTGTGGGACAGGTGTTGGGGTGGCGGGACAGGTGTTGGGGTGGCGGGACAGGTGTTGGGGTGGCGGGACAGGTGTTGGGGTGGTGGGACAGGTGTTGGGGTCCTGCCATCATGTCCCTAGGCAGAGTTGCAGAAGGCTTTGCAAGACTGACGTGGTGACGAACACCCAGGACAATTCTTGAATGGAGGTAGATTCTGGCATAAGCTCTGTGTGTGTGTGTGTGTGCGCGCGCACGCGCGCGCGTACATGCGCATGTGTGGGAGAATATGTGGGAGTTTGTTTGTTTGTGACTGTGTGTGTGTTTAACCACATCCTGGAGGTCAGTGTCCCTGCAAGTCAAAGTGAGAATAACAGTGAGATTTCTTTCCCACAGGGAGGTGCCCACACCCAGTTACCCTCATACTCCTTTTCCATCCTGTCTCCTTCCTCCTAAGGGTCAACGGAGAATAAAAGGGGTGGTAGAAGCTCTCCAGAATCTCCTCTTCCTGGCAGTGTCATTTACAATGAATTGTGTGAAATGATTTACTGGGTGAACTATTTTAGGACACCGTCCTTTGATGTAGGATGCCCTAATCACACCCTCAGGGCGCTAAGTGCCTCTCACTCTCAAGTGGTGTGATTATATCTCATGCCATTCACAACCCTCCAGGGTTTTATTTTATTTTATTTTCATACTGGTATGAAGAAATCAATTATTCAAGGCAATTGCTTTGATCCTAACGAGCTTCAGGTTTGTGGTGGAAAACCTTAGCTGTGCAGTTCTCTGTGGGCTCCGCCCCTCCCAGCGTGGATGCAGCCCTTCCTGGGCCACCACGGCCACTGCGCTGTTGTGTGCAGCAGTGTCGAGGCTCCCTTGTGAACGCAGAGCCTTCTGCGGGCTGCAGTGTAATTCCCACAGGCGGCCCATTCGTGTGAGAAGGTTGCTGTGGCCTCAGCTAAGTGGACACTCGAACTCATCTGCACCTCCTTGGAAAGGCCGGGCAGATGGACTTGCTCCCAGCCTTTGAAAGCCATTCTCATGGAGTGCTTCCTACCATAACACTCACACTGGTGGGGAGGAAGGAAGTGGAGGGTCACTTGGGATCTGTATAAATTAACATTTATGTCATATTAATGAGGTGCTAATTGCTCTTGCAGTCTTTTTAATGCAAATTAATCCAGTCCTGTTTGCATTGTCTTGTTCCCAGCCTAATACCTTCTAGCTTCTCTATTGTCGTCAAAGTAATTATCATTGCTCCCATGAACAAGGAACATGTTTTGCATCTGCTCCTATGACACACTAGTGTCTTTTAGAGTGGAAAGATTGTGTCAACGTTGTTAGGGTCATTGAAAAATTACAGACTCTCCCAAAGAGAGGGATGTTTGCAAGGGACGTGGCAGTTCACATCATGTAGCGTGTGCGTGGATGCTGTTAGCCCATGAGAAGCTGTGAACGTACTAATTCCACCATAGGTTCTCTTCCTTGTTCAGTTTCCTGTCGCCTCTCTGTGCTGACTAAATGATGAGCTGTGCCCATGCCACATGGGGCCAAACTGGAGCCTGAGGCAAGAGGAAGCACATGCACCCCCATATGTACTTGTTAGAATGTCCTCCCATATTCTGAACCAAGCAGAAAACGTGAATAGAACCTCTGGAATCAAAACCCATGACTAGATATGAAGCCCAATGTTGTTCTGTCCGCACATGACTTGGTTTGGATGTTTGTCCCTGCTCAAATCTCATGTTGAGAGGTAATCCCCAGTGTTGGAGGCCGGCCTGGCGGGAGGTGTTTGGGTCGTGGGGGAGGATCCCTCAGGGCTTGGGGCTGTCCTCCTGATAGCGAGTGAGTTCTCATGAGATCTGGCTGTTTACGTGTGTGGCACTTCCACCCCAGCCCTTGCTCCTGCTTTTGTCATGTAAGGGCCTGCTCCCCCTTCTTCTTCCGCCACAAGTAAAAGCTCCCCGAGGCCTCCCTGCAGCCGAGCAGATGCCAGCACCATGCTTGTACAGCCTGCAGAACCGGGAGCCAATCAAACCTCTTTTCTTTATAAATTAACCAGTCCTGGGTATTTCTTCACAGCAATGCAAAAACAGCCTAATACAGCATGCCACTGTCAGCCCTCATGAAGCAGTCTCATGGGGACATGGAGGCCATGGGGCCCAGAAACCACAGCTGATTGGAAACAGACAAGCATACAAGCACCTTGTCTTTATTTAAAATGTTGATATTTTGTTCATCATGGATTTTTTGCATTAATTTTTATTTTTAAAAGTATTGCATTAACCATCCCCTCTTTTGGTTCCCCCTCCCCACCATGAGTTCAAAAATACAACTAGATAGAAAGAGTAAGATCTAGTGTTTACTAGCACAATAGGGAGACTATAGTAACTGATAATTTATGGTATATTTCAAAAACTCAAAAATAACTCAGATATTGTATATTTCAAAAAAAGAATATTTCAATAAAAACTAAAAAGAAACTAAAATTCCAATTTCAAAAATTGGAATGTTCCTAACACAAAGAAATGATAAGTGCTTGAGGGATGGATACCACAATTGCCCTGATTAGATCATCACACATCGTATGCTTCTATTAATAGTAAAATATCACACGTACTCTGTAAATATGTACAACTATTATGTATCCATAATAGTTAAGAAAACAAATGTGGCATGAAAATATTATTTATCTTGATGATGGAGATTTTTGGCTCTCCTTAAATTGTATCTCGGTTGGCTGACCCTCATTCTGGGTATCCCTGAGCCGTTTAATGGGGGACTGTGGATTTCACAGCCAGGATGCTAGCCTTGGTGTAGACAGCACTGTTAAAAGAACTTGGGAGTCTGGGTCTGACCTGGATTTCCCACCTTCCTATGCATTTGGGAAAAGTCCCAGCATTTTCATTATCTTCAACATTGAGGGGCATGACTAGGTAGCTGGTGGCAAGATGTTTATAGGAGTAGCTATTTCAGATCTTCTTAGATATAGGTGGGGTATTACATAGAACACAAATAATTCTTCAGATAAAACTTGAGGAATTGGCATCCAAGCACTGTTCAGGATGGATTGTGGACTTTGGATTCAGAAAATCTATGGGGTTTATGTGGCTCTTCCACATTTTAGGTGCATGATCTTAGATAAGTTTTTGAAAATCTTTGAGTCTCAGTTTTCTTATCAGTAAATGAAAATAATGGCTATTTATAGGGTGGTTATAAGGATTCAATAAAACAATCTGTGTAAAGTATCTGGCATGCATTAGACCCTCTATAAATGTTTCATATCCCATTTCATCTGAAAAGAAAACTTTGTTTTTCAGAAATAAATTCTCAAGTTAGTGCCCTAACCAATGGTCCTTTGGTCTTTCATTTGTTCGGTCACATGATTAGTGGATTCCAGTTGCTGAAGGTCACTGTTTCCCCAAGCTGAGAAGCCAAGGATACCAACATGATCTCTTGCTACCGTGGGAACTCAAGCCCAGGAGAAATCTCACTCAGTTATTCCTGGAAGGACCCAGGGGCTCCCATATGGACGGTGGCAGTTCCTCTTCTCTTCCTACGTGGCATCCTCTTTGCCCCCCCCTTCCTACTCAAGCTCCTTCGGGAGACCCATGTACACCACAAAGGTGCTTTCAGGGCTTCACCTACATCTCTGTGGGGCTGTCCCAAAGCCCCAGGACCACCTCCCACTGCTGCACAGGGAGGGTCACAGCCATGAGGCGGCACCAATGTGAAGCCGTCCACCATGTGTCCAAGCTACGCTGTACTTTTTGCAGATGGTGGGCACTGCTTTCTCAGTTTGGGACTGGGCACGAAAGCAGTGCTGCTGACTCCAAGCTCATCCCTTCTTGCTGTGTTCCCCTTGGGGCAGGCTGACTGTTCCGACCTCCATTTCCAATCCCCTTTGCCTTGGCTGCCTCCCAGCTGGGGGTGGCCATGTGGGTACAGCTGGCTAAAGAGATATAAGAAAGCACAGTTTGCTTAGAGTTCCTGAAAACTTCTGCTTCAGGGTTTGTTTCCTCTCTTCTTATGAAAGAGAGGCAGATGTGATAGGTGGCGCAGTTCCCACTACTGGAGACCTTGAAGGAGGGGCCAAGATGGTCTCAGAGACCTCAGCTTTGGCCACTAAGCTAAAAAATAAGTCCCTTATTTGTTTAAGCCACTGTGGTTAGGTTGTTCTGTCACTTTCAGCCCCAAGCCTTCCTCGTGGGTGCACCACCCCCTCCTGTGATCCCGGGGACCCTCAGGAAACTGCGGAGGGTGAAGATATGCCGAGGCCACTCTGTACTGGGGATGCTCATTCCCTTGTGAACCCACTGCACTGTGACTTGAAGAACCTTGTGTTCCTGGCCTTCCAGAACCTTAGGAGGAGTCTCCCAGGAGGCTTTCTGTTTCTGGTGCAAATGGAGTTCTAGAGAGTCCACCCCACGGTTCAGCCAGACCTGCCCAGACGTCTCAATCGGGATTGAAAGTTTTGCCTGGGCTCCCATGGGGCCTCCTGCTTCTGGAAATGCATTATGAAGCTCTTGACTGAGAACGGGGATGGTTTCTGCAGATAAACACCTGAAAAGGAAAGCAAGGTGGGCTTCCTCCACACCATCATCAAGATGCTAAAATATGGCCATTTTTCTAAGAATTTAAAAAAAAATTTACCCCATCCCTTTAAGGTGTGTGACGCAATGACATAATGACATGCGATAACTTGTGTAAAATTGAGGGAAAGGGCATTGCAGATATGACAGAAGTTCACGAGCTGTGATTTTCAAGGGAGGTGCCTTCCAAATGAATTAGGCACAGTGGAGAATGTTCACATTTTCTCTGCTTTCCCACGGGGCCAAGGTGCTGCTATGCAGGTGTGAGGCCGGGTCCTAAGACTGCTCCTTCCGTACCCCTCCCTCTTCGGCTCCCTGGCACTGCCTGGTCCTGGGGTCCCTCTGGACCCTCTCTTCCTCCTTCTAGCAGGGTCCTTCTCATCAACAGTCATGGACAACTGACCTGATCGCTAAAGCCCACAGCAGCAAGAATTATAGCTGGTATATATTCAGCTTCCCAAAGATCCTGTAAGTTTTAACTCCAAGGAGTGAATAGAATTTCAGGGACCAGAATAGACTTGGTTTGGGATGGGGAGGCTGACGGGCACTGGTGATTGGTGGAAGAATGACATTTCTCATCAGAAGGTAAAATGCATAGCCCTCTTCCAAAATCCTGGTTATATATAAGGGTGGCATATGTTTATCTAGAATAGCTTCTGAAGAATCTGCTTTTTAAAAAGCTTCAGACAAAAACAGTCATCTGTAGGTTGTGGCAACTGTGGGTATGCTAATTTTATAATGAGCCAGAAATTGATTGATGGGAGGCCAAACAATGATGGGGTAGAAAGAAGACACTTGGCTCCGAGACAGAGCTGGCCACTCCTGTGAGTGACCTGGGTGGCTGAGGGTATGGGAAGCAGGCAGCACAAACACAGAGGTCAGCGGGTGCTCCAGCCATCAAGGACTGGAGTGAGGCTCAGCAGGGCAGGAGGTCTTGGAAGTCACTCTGCTGCGCCTTCTAGGGTCAGACTTGATGGATTCTTGGATTGGGTGATGGAGAAATAGGAGCCTCTTGAGTGGAGGCAGCAGCCCCAATAACTCAGGCACAAGATGAGCTCTGCTCTGTCCTCCAGAGAGCTCCAAGGGGAACGCTCACTGATCTGGGAGAAGAGGCCAAGCAAGAAGAATCTCATGCATGGATTTCCCAGTTTCATTTGTATCCCTGTAGTTTGCCTACCGTGAGTCATGTGTTACTGAAACGCTACATCAAGGATCAGTGCTTGCATCCTGGGTAGAGAGGTCTTTTCACTTTGGTGTTTCCAGGGGAAACCTGGGGTGCCTATGATGGCCACTCAATAATGTTTGCTGATTGACTGGAAAAACATATTGGTGAGCCGAAGCGAGACAGAGTGCTGGAGTCTAAGAGAGGAGGAGCTGTGTTCCTTGTTGGTGGTGCTGGAGGGACTGGCCTCTGGTTTGGGAACTATCCTGCTGCAGGAGTCTCTTCTGTCCCAGGGTAGATTCAATCCTCCTGTAACAAACTGGTGAGAGACAGACATTTCACTTTCTGGGCTGGGCTTTTGCCTCTGTGGCTGCCACCCCAACAGACAATCACAGCAGTGGAAGAGGGATGATTTGGGAACATTTTTCTCAGGGTTTTTGATGAATTGGTCTTAGATGGGAACACTTGGGCCCCATGCCAAGTGTAGTTTGTTTTTTTGTTTTTTGAGACAGAGTCTCACTCTGTCGCCCAGGCTGGAGTGCAGTGGTGCCATCTTCACTCACTGGAACCTCGGCCTCTTGGGTTCAAGCGATTCTCCTGCCTCAGCCTCCTGAGTAGCTGGGATTACGGGTGCCCACCACCATGCCTGTCTAATTTTTGTGTTTTTAGTAGAGACGGGGTTTCATCATGTTGGCCAGGCTGTTGTGGAACTCCTGACCCCAGATGATCTGCCCACCTCAGCCTCACAAAGTGCTGAGATTATAAGCATGAGCCACTGTGCCCAGCCTAAGTATGGTTTTGAATACACTTGAATTTTTACTTTATCTACTTTTTAAAATGGACCCCACTTGGCTGGGCGCGGTAGCTCACTCCTGTAATTCCAGCACTTTGGGAGGCCTAGGTGGGTGGATCACAAGGTCAGGAGTTCGAGACGAGCCTGGCCAACATGATGAAACCCCATCTCTACTAAAAATACAAAAATTAGCCGGGTGTGGTGGTATGCACCTGTAGTCCCAGCTACTTGGGAGGCTGAGGCAGAAGAATTGTTTGAATGCGGGAGGCAGAGGTTGCAGTGAGCCAAGATCACGTCACTGCACTCCAGCCTGGGCAACAGGGTGAGACTCCATCTCAAAATATATATAAAAAAGGATCCCACTTGTAGAGCTCATTTGCAAGTTTAAATTATCCCCCTCTCCTAACACACACACTGTACGGCATCTATCACAGCACTGATGGGCTTTGTTTACTGCAATGCCCTTGTTTCACTGCTGCTTCCCCTCTGCTAAGACAAGAACATCTTTTTGCCACCCGTACCTTTTGCGGCATCTGGCACATAGTCAACACTCATAAGCATTTTGCTGAAAATGCCTTTAATGCTCAAGATTCCTTTAGAGTATATCTTTCACATATGGTATGAAGTAGATGTTTGAAACATTACCCAGTTATTTCAAACCAAAAAATTAAACTTGACTTTAACAGTCTCTGTATGTTAGGGAAAATTTTATTTTTTACCTGATGCATAACCACCCTCTGCCTCCATTTTGCCCCAGTAAACAACTTATTGGTCTTGCCAGATACGGTGTAGTCTGTAGTGAAGGGTTGTGTGAAGTACTCCCAAAGTAAGACGCACATCTGTTTATAATTCAGTAGTTCACTTTGGTTGATCTCTCTCTGTCTCTTTCTCCTTCTCTCTCCATCTCTCTCCTTCCCTCTCTGTGTCTTGGCCTCTCTCTGTCTCTCTCCATGTCTGAATCTGACTCTGTCTTCCTATTTCTCTTTCTTTCTCTGTCTGTCTTTTTCTGTCTCCTCCAACTCTCTCTTTCTCTCTGTCTCTGTCTCTCTATGTTGACAGCTTCCATGCATGTGACATTACCTATGTGAGGTGGCAACTCTCTGCTGGACTATTTCCCAAGCTTCTGGCTGCTTTGGCTTGCAGATGTTCTCATAAGAAGCAAGATGTATAGAGGTTTAAAAGATTATCCCAGGAAGCCTGGTATGGAAAGGAAAAAGAGAAGTCCATATGTTTGTTTAGCAATATCTTATAATAATTAAAATGTTTTGAAAATGACAGCAAGTTGGGTTAGCTTGAGAATTTAACAACATTAAATCAATTAGCACTTAGTGACTACCTTCTCTGATGGGTGAAAAGATAAATCAGAATGGTATCTGTTCCCAAGAAGTGGATAATTGATTAGAGGGGTAAGACATATTTAGATATAGATACATAAGAGATAATAGACAGATAGATGACAGACAGATAAAGTCTACATTTATTGAGTGTTTATAGTGTGCCAGGCTCTGGGGCCTTCATTATATAATCTCAATTAATCTTTGCAACCACCTCGTGGGGTTGATATTATTATTATTATCCATTTACATCTGAGTAACTGAGGCACAGAAGGGTGGCCCATCTGTCAAAGCTTATGTGACCATTAAGCAGGAAGGCAGAATTCAGAGCTGGCTTTGATGATGTGAAGACAGTGGTTTTTCCCATGTGCCACATCGGCACCTCGTCTTCGCCGCTTCCCTGCTTGCAGCAGGCCCAGCTCTCTGGTTAGTCTAGGATGTGGTTGACGATGGATTGAGAAAGCTGCTGTGGAGAGGCAGTGAGCATCATGGAGATCTGGGTGCCACTGGAGCCTCTGTCTTGCTAGGCTGACTTTCTGGTCTCTTGCCTGCACAGGGCTCAAGGGAAGTGTGGGGTGGGGGTAGGAACGTGCAGATAGGACACCTCTCCCTGGTGGTGGCGCCAGGAGGAGGTCCTGACACATCAGAGGCAGAGCCCAGTACAGTCCCCTGCCTCATAAATCCAGTGATAAAATCTGACCATATGTTGGCAGGGTGAGGGGTTCTAGAGGGCATTTTTTTTTTTAAATTGAAGCTTAGGTTAGAATCAAGTTTAATTAGAACACTGAAAGTTTGAATTCAGGTTAAAGAGCAATTCAAACCTCAGGAACAAAATGGGTCACCCACATGAAGTTAGGAAAGGTTAAAGACTGATTAATTTTCTATTAAGTAAGATTTTGGCGTTGGAGTACAAGTTCTTTGGCAACAGATGTATTAGGGAGGGTAACAATAGAAAAGTTGAAGTAAAAAAGAAATGAAGTCCAGCAGACTATGTAGATCCAGTAAGTGAAAACACTAAAATATACATGAAAAGAAGGCAGCAAAATATCTGTTCCTTAGGCATTCATGCATTATTTGCATTCATGGGCTGAATCATAGTCCACACTGTTATTTTAGAGGCTCTTGAAGTAAGCCTACCTCGAGAACACTAGTACTTTGTTCAACTGCTCAGGATATTTATGAGACTGGCTTTTCTCTTTCCAGAAGATGAGCTTATTCTTATGAACAGGTACTATCATGTAACCAATGTGTTTGCCATGGAGATGATTACAGACTGATGCTTGAAGACGGGCTAGCAGTTCAAAGGGACCAGCTGAAGGTGGCTGAGGGCTGGTAGGTGTGGGTCATGGAGACAGAGAGCTCACTGTCCACTCTGCTGAGGGACTTTCCCTTGTGGAAGAATGGTAGCACCTTTGTAACTGTCTGGCAATGGTGATGTTTAAAAATGATGACCACACTCAGCAGGGCTGCACAACCTCTGATGCAGGAGGGCTACTGGGCAACCATGTGACAGCCCTGACTTACTTCTTAATGTCTAAAGCCAGGACATTTCTACAGAGAGGGAGAACACAGGAATAAGTTCATCCATTCATTCATTTGACAAAGTTCTATCAAGAGCTCAATGAGTTCCTGGTTCCTTGGAAGATGGTGGTCACTCCCAGAGGCACTGGCATGGTCTCCGCCTTCAAGAAGTGCACAGTCCAGTTGTGGAGAAACTAGAGATGAGCAGGGGAATGTGAAATGTAATGTGCAATGGCAGAGGCATGTACAGTGTGAGGCAAATGGCAGGCGTATTGATGCTATTATTAGATCAAGAGTACCATGGCCCAGAGACATTTCAGGAGGCATTGTTGAGCTGACTTTTGCAGACAGCCCAGGAGCTGGTGGTGAGAAAGGACTCTCTTAACCCAAGGAAATATAGCATGTGCAAAGTTCAAGAGGACTGACACAGTCTTCTGGGCTCAGGTATGAATTCTGCTCAGTCACTTGCCTTCAGAGATTTTCTATTTTGCTTGGATTTAGTACTCTAGACTTTGGGATCGGATTATTCTCGCAACGGCTAGACTTGCCTGACTAGCTGGATTCGTATCTCCTGTAGGACACAGAGCATGGTATGGGACACAAAGAAAGTGTTTGGTAGCAGAGCAACTGGAAACTTTTGGATTTTCACTTTCAAATATAAAAATCAGCACAGTCAATACCACCTTCTTATTGGGTACTTACCACCTTCTTATTGGGTACTAAATGAAGCACTGTAAAGTTAACGTTTATTAGACATAGGACCCTTTTCATTTCAAATGGAGTAAGATGACACTCATTTGGGAGAATTTAGGGAAACACCAGTCTGAATAGTAGAGGAATTGAATGAGCTACAGTAACAAAACTAAGATAGAAATGTCGCCTATTAGGAGTCCTTAGGGAGCTACAATTACGAATATTTAACGATGACTTATTTCCTGTAACAATTATTTGTGAGTGAGTGCTTTGGATGTGTTGAAACAATGTATTCTCTGATGCATTTTGATACTTCCCCCTCCACATACTGTTTATACACTTAAATTGCTGTGTGAAAGAAGAAAAGGATTGCTGGGTGTAAAGTTAAACTTCAGCCTAGTGTGAACGATTCCAAATCAGCCGATTCCAAGTTAATGAAATTTTACCTTAGTTCACACGAACAGGTTTAGTCTGCCAAAACGTGAACTATGCTTGGGGAAAGGGAAGTGGTGCAGGCAGTGTTTCGGGGTGAATAGACTTTGTGAGGACAGTCAACAGAAAGCAGAATTCCAGGAGCTTCCATTTTCTTTGTGGGTCACACACCCAGAACACACAGAATACACAGTTTTTAACACAATGTTAAAAATTGGTGGGCTTGTCTGGCACTGAGTGCTCAGCAACCTGCTCTTTGTGCATCGTCTCCATCTGAGATGAGCCAAGTCACAGCTTGTCTCCAGAGGATGAAGGACTTGCTCAAGACCAGTAGGTGTGCTGAGCCCAGAGGGCCAACTGTTCCCACCCAGTGCCGTGTGCCTGTGTGGCTGCCTCGCAGCTAGGCTGCGTCAACTTGCAACTTGGCCTCTGTGCTGGGAGGCAGCCACTCCTTCTTCCCTCTCTGAGGATTTTGACAATGTCTTCCTCATGACCCCTCATTATGTTCCAGCACCAGGAGCATCACTGCGAGGTGGCTGCACAGAAGTGGAGATCTGAGGTGGGCGGGAAGCCCCCTTTCTCCTTTAGGTTTGCATTTGAGGATGAGTCAAGAGGACTTAGGTCTATTTTTATTTTTTTGAGGCAGGGTCTCCCCCTGTCACCCAGGCTGGAGTGCAGTGATGTGATCATGGCTTAATGTAGCCTGGACCTCCTGGGCTCAATTGATCCTCCCACCTCAGCCTCCTGAGTAGCTGGGTAGCCAGGCAGGTGCATGCCACCATGCCTGGCTACTTTCGAATTTTTTGTAGAGATGGGCTTTCACCATGTCACCCAGGCTGGTCTTGAACTCCTGAGCTCAAGAGATCCACACACTCAGCTTTCCAAAGTGTTGGAATTACAGACATGAACCACCACGCCTGGCCATATTTATTAATTTTTAAAATGAAGGATCCAGGAGTAAAATTTTGGCCACTGAACAGAAGAACCTGCTGCAAGACAACACTCTTGATTTTTGTTGTTTGTCTGTTTGTTCGCACTATCTGCTGGGCTTTTTTTTTTTTTTTTTTAACTGTAGTTATCCTGACTTCAGATTTTTCCAGGTGATTTTTTTGGGGTGCAGACTTGAAGAAGGCTTGCCTCAAATCACCTGTCCCTGAAGTAGCCGGCAAGGGCAGTGCTGTGGGCTCAGCCAGTTCTGAAGTCTGAGGAACCTGGGCATTTCCAGTGCCCAGGTAATATATCTGTTTCTCACTTTTTCAAAATCACCTGATTGGAATATATATATATATATATTCATCATATATATAATGCAGAAACACTTAGACATGTGAAGCAAAGCTTCACTTTTATGGGCTTATTTTTAAAGGGTACATGCTGTTGTGTGCCAGATCATAGTTACCTTTGAATGATCGGGTTGTATCTACAAATAGCTTGCACACCTCTTGCTAAATGTTTTCCTGTTGGCAGAAGCCCGCCAGTGTGTTGAAAGACTTTCACAAGAGCTCTGGCCCATCTCTCTCACGGTCCTTCTGTATTTTATTGGCTGCTTTTGCTGATAAGAAATGCCTATGTGATTTGGACTGTAACTGCATCAGGAAAAAGTCAAAGTACTAAGTCCAGAGAGAGCCTCTTTATTTATTTTTTTAAAAGTATGTGTTTGCCTCTACAACCCAGATATTCTTTCTCCTCACCTCAGCAATTTGTTCACAGAGTACGTTACTCAGGGTGAGGTGGCCAGACTCACTTATTTGCCTGGGTAGCGCTGGTTTGCAACGAATTGTCCAGGTGTTGTAAGTAGTAACTTCTCCTTCTGCTCTCAAAAATGACCTTGTGTGGACAATACAGGATATGACCATCCTACTTAGAGTCCCCTTCCCCCACCCCTGACAGTTTCTGCACATTGCATTGACACCACATTTTTTGAAGAGGCACATTTACCTCTGGCTGGTCCTGTGTGTGAAAACAATTCTGTTCATTTCAAAGCTGTCCATGGTATAGTGGCCATGGTTTTTATCCTTGGCTTCTTTAGAAAAAACCCAAATGTACCTGGTTCCTCTTGACCAGTTTTCAACTGCAAACTGAGAGGGGGGAGGCATGCTTCCCTGAATTCTCATTCCCTTTGGTGCTGAGGCAAGGGGAGTACAAATGGTCTTTAAAGAAACAGTTTAGGCTGGATGCGGGGGCTCACACCTATAATTCCAGTATTTTGGGAGGCTGAGGCGGGTGGATCGCTTGAAGCCAGGAGTTCGAGACCAACCTGGGCAACATGGTGAAACTCTGTCTCTACTAATAATACAAAAATTAGCTGAGTGTGGTGGTGTGCCTGTAGTCCCAGCTACTTGGGAGGCTGAGGCATGAGAATTGCTTGAACCCGGGAGGCAGATTGCAGTGAGCTGAGATGGCACCACTGCACTGCACCCTGGGTGACAGAGAGAGACTGTGTCTCCAAAACAAAACAAAACAAAAAGAAAAGAAAAGAAAATTGAGAAGTTTGAAAACGCCTTGATGTTCGGGTGTGCTGGGGCAGCCTTCTCCAGCCTGCCTCTCAAGGGGCTCTGTGATGTGCTCTCCCTCCACAAGGAGCATTGGTGTGGTGCCATGCAGTTATTTGGGAGCCTGTTGTCCTATCCTGCCGTCTGTTGCAGTTTTACAATGTCATTTCCCCAGATTCCTTCAGGAATGTTTCCTCACAAAGGCCTGCTTTTGCAATGCCCCAGGGAGCGATTCTGTCTCATTTTCTTGCTCTTTTTCTTGCTTAGCACTTAATGAACTTTTCTTGGCTGTTTCAACTGTCAGCATTTAAAGTCTGCTGGTGAATGTTGGTTGGCTTTCTCTGTGCTAAACTGGACCATTCAGTGGCGATTATAGTTCTTCAACATCATGAGAAATTTGAGGGAAAGGCGAACCTTCCAAAAGTCTCTCAATGCAGCAGGAAGTGCGTCTGGCAGAAAAAGGAAGGGGAAAAAAAGCCCTCAAGGTCCATTCTCTTCTCATAAGACAGAATGGGGCATGTACTGGAAAGCCCTATGGAAATAAAGCCAAAAGGAAAAAGACAGATGCCACACTGATGTCTTCGCTTGTGTTGTTTGTATGACACAATTGGCATGTGGCCCATTCCTTCGCAGGTTAATAAATCATTAACAGAACGTGGTGTTAGACCGGGCAGTGCTCAGAGACTCCTAGACAAATATGACGTCATTCCTGACTTTAGGAAACTCTGAGATTAGTGGGAAGACCAGCAATAAGCTGATGCCGAGGGAATAACTTCCCAAGTGGGGAGACAGATCTGAAGCACCGTGAAGGCACCGAGGGCCACCATCTCCACCTGGGAAGGGCCTGGGAAGCAGACAATCCAGCAGGGAGCCAGCTAGCCTGGGTATGCAGCAGGCACAGGCCTGTCTTCAAGGGTGCCACGTTGAGGGAATTGGAAATATTAATAGTTCAGAATGGCCAGAGGAATGGTTCTTTCAGGGCACCAAGTGGCAGGTTCATTCATTCATCCATTCTAGTTATTCATGGAGAACCCATCATGCTTTACTAAATGTGAGGCCGACATTTATGGAGGCCTGGCTAGAAAAGCAGGAGAGACCGGGAGGGCCTCAGGTGCCGACCGCAGCACAGGCCTTATCTGGAAAGCCATGGAGGGCCAGGGTGGCTCTCACCAGGACATGGACATGATCAGACGTGTGTGTCGGCCATCGTGTGCGAGACATTCTGGGGACCCCAGCCTGGGGGCACTGGGGCTGGGCAGGTGAGAACGAGTCCCCAGATGGTATTGGGAAGGGGAAGGAGATTATCCAGCCAAGAGGTTCTAGTAAATCAGATCTATTTATTGGATGAAATGAGAGGGCGAGTCTTTGCTGGTGTCTGAGTTCTTTTTTGGGGAAGCATTGCGTGCTGATGTCATCCCCGAGATCAAGGAAGAAGGAGGCACAGTTGAGGAAAGACGATTAATTTGAGGAGTCTGAAAAGTTAGAGGTGTTCGTTGTAATTTTGGGGTGATGCCCATAAGGCTGTCAGACTTCTAGGGCAGGCCATGGGGAAGAGAAGAGAGCTGCAGATGCGGATGTGGGGGTATGGCGAAGTCGTGGGTGTGGTGGAGATCACGTAGGTACAAAATGATCATTAAATATAACAAAAGTTCCTGAGAGCTCGCTCTGGGCTAAATCCTGTACTAAGCACTACTCCATTGACTCTTCAGTGGGACCCTATGAGATTCTGGTTTTAATGGTCTCCATTTTACAGAGGATGAATTTGAGACAGAGCAGTTCAAGCAGCTGCCTGAGGTTGCACAGCCTGTTAAGAAGAGCGGTGGGTGGGACACAGTGTGGGCCATTTACAGGAGGACTGAGAGAGGGAGGTTGAGAAGCCTGTAATTGAACTGAAATCCATGGGGCAGTTGTGGTACGGGAGCCACTGGGTTGGGTCAGCCTCTGTTTTGCCCGGTGGTCTCCCAGAATTCCGGGTCTCCTTGCTGCTCCAGTTAACTGCTGCACTTTTCTGCAGGGCAAGGAGCCGTATCTCAAAGAGATACATCTCGTAAGAGAATGCAGGCCATGCTGCCTGCAGGCTGTGAGCCTCCCCCTTCAAACCTCCAGGAAAGGGAAGAAAGCTCTGCACCTGGCATTGTTAACTTCAGGCTTACAAGAGTTGAGCCAAAGCTAACCTCCCATCTTGGCAAGTTGAAGCCCTACTCACCTTGGAAGGCTCATTGTGAATGGCAACTTCTCCTGGAAGCTCTCCAGATCCTCCCCCAGACAGGGTCTCTCACTCACAGTACTTTGCACAGGGAAATATCTTATTACCATGCAATCTTTTCCACAGTTGTTTGTGTTTGTGTCTTGAAGTCCCGGAGGGCTGGAACTCTATCTATTAATATTTGTGTGTCTTGCATGTAGAAGGTGCTTAATAAATGGTTGCATTAGTAGGTGCTTAATAAGTGGATTCGAATGAAGGGAAAAAAGGTCCTGGAACCTTTTTTCCTCCTCTAATTTTCCCTGTTTTTGGGTGAATTTGCGGCTAAACTATCCTTGTAGTCTGTCCTTCTGATATTTCTTTGTTTCTCTGTAGTCCCATTGTTGATTATTTCTTCCCCATTCATGCATTTACAGGTCTGACCTATATTAGAACTAGCGGTCTCTGGTCTCTGAGTCCTCGAGGGCTGGGTTCCTAACCATCTGTAAGTGCCAAGGCCAGTGCCAGGTCTTTAGTCAAGGTTAATAGATGGCAGCCGGTGAGATAGAATTCCAGCCTCCTGGGAGCCCCTCTCTAACCCTCCTCTGTTCCATCTCCAGCCCACACCCCCTTCTCCCTGGGCCAATCAGCTGCACTATTTCATCCCATCCTAATGAGGGGAGCAGGTGGCCCAGCCATACTCTGGGTCCCTTCTGTGCTTCTCCTTAGTCTTCCCAGCCACTGCTGATCCAGACCCAGACTCACACATGATGTTACGATGATATGGGCTTCAGCTTTGATCAAAGCTGAAAACTGCAGCTGAGACCTGTGCTGGCTGATAAATTAGCAAAGACTGATTTCAGCCAGTTGGGCCAGAGTCTGCAAATAAGTGGTGCCAAGAGCTGTTGGCATAGTTCTAAGTCAGGCCCTTCTAAACTATTCCTTAAAGAACGTCACATCATGGAGGAGGAAACTGGTGGTGTATTGTAGATGTAGGATGGTATCGAAAGGGCCCTCTGTAACCAAGAGGCCAGTAGTTCCCTTTGTCCCTGTTGATTTTCTGCCAGCTTACTCATACTCTGTCAGTAAAGTGGAGGAGAAGGTCATAGAAGAGAAAAAGACAGGGAGGGCCTGCATGTTTCTGTTATTTCCAGTGTGAACATTACAAGCAAGCTCATTAGGGTAATATTTTCAGTGGAAAGGTACATTTCTACTGGGCACAATGTAAGAATATTTTGCTCATGGAATTTTCACTTAACAATAGGGAAAAAAATCCGTTTTCACCAGGCAGCCTGGGCTCCAAGTATGGATTTGACAAGTGTTTCCCCAAATGCCACCAGGTCTGAAGTACGCAGCTGCTATGGAAATTTCAGAACTCTCAAAAGAGCCCCAAATGTATTTTAAACAATCACCAAATCACATATCTAAATTGCTCTTTCTATTGTTGCTAACAACATTTGGGTGTTATAATTAGAGCGACCCCAGAGATCTTGTCTGAGAAATCTTACACATTCATTTAGCTTCTGGACTTTCTGTGCTTTCATTTAGTGTCATGGTGAAATGCAAGGAGTCTGCCTGGCGACTTTCACATCCTATTCATTAGAAGTTTTACTTTCTGGCCCTAAGACGTTGATGTTTGGGTTTTCAGAAGTGTAAGATCATCTTGAATCTGAAACTGTCTTATCTTTGTGTCATTTTTCTTGAAGTCTCACCCACCTGTCTCTCAATCTCATGTCAAAAGTCATCCCATGACTCTTCCATGTTGTCTGATGTGATTTCTGGTTCAGTTTAATGAAGTTGTGAGAAAGCACATCATGGAGATGGAAGGAGGCTGTGTTTTCTACTGTGTGACAGTGTCATTGACTCATCCTAGCGATGCCACTCGCCGCAGGGCTGGAGAGCAGTTGATTGGCTCGAAGAAGAGGGCACATGGATTTATGTAAACCACTTGTGACCATGTTCGGGACTTTTGCAGGGCCTTAAAATTCTATCACAAATGACTCAGCTCTCTTCACAGCTATATTTTTTCAGGCATTTTTCCCCATTCAGGTTTGATAATTTTCTCTCTCAGTTCCTTCTGGTTAATCTTCTTATCTTCAAAATGTAAAACTACCATGCCCATTTTAAAATTAATTTACATGCTGAAGTTTTTTTTTTTTTTTTTTTCCAGACAACTTTCTCCTACCCTTTTTAAAGATGATATCTAACAGGGAAAAATCATGCTGACTTCTTAAAGTCTATTCTGGGATTTATTGGCAATTTGTTCACACACATTAAAGGTTATATTAGAAACTCCCCAAGTACTCACATTAACCAATGAATATAGCATATCGCAGATAACTTGGGCATCACTGTGGGACATAAACAAGGGGTCTCATTGCTTTATAATCTATGTATGTATACCCATTACAGCTTGGTATAGAGTAGCATTGAAAAACAGAGTAAGAATAACTTTTTGCTGGTCGGGCGCAGTGGCTCACAGCTGTAATCCTAGCACTTTGAGAAGCTGAGGTGGGTGGATCACCTGAGGTCAGGAGTTTGAGACCAGCCTGGCCAACATGGTGAAACCCTGTCTCTACTAAAAATACAAAAAAATTAGCTGGGCGTGGTGGCACAAGCCTGTAATCCCAGCTATTGGGGAGGTTGAGGAAGGAGAATCGCTTGAACCCAGGAGGTGGAGGTTGCGGTGAGCGGAGATTGTGCCACTGCACTCCAGCTGTGCAATGGAAGTGATACTCCATCTCAAAAATAAAATAAAATAAATATAAATAAATAATAACAAATAACTTTTTTTCTGTAAATTTTTCTGGATTTTTAGTGTCACACAGCATTTTGGCTCAGTTTTAACTGTTCCAATCACCTGAATTGACATTGTCATCGAGATCTTTATTGAATAAAACTGTGTGAATCAGATTCAGCTTTCTTTTGAGGATTAAAGTAGGCATTGGGAAGTATACAGTATTAGTCAGGGTTCTCTAAGCGAAACGTAACCTGTAGGACATATAGAGATAGACACGTGGGAGGTTTACAATGTTAATGGCTCCCAGGGTTGTGGAGGTCCAGACGTCCTGTGACCTGCCCTTTGCAAGCTGGGGAACCATGAAAGCTGGTGGGGAATTTAGTTCAAGTCTGAAGGCCAGAGAACGAGAAGTTTCAATGTCAGGAGGCAAGAGTAGAAGGATGTCCCAGCTCAAGCAGAGGGAGTGAACTCACCCTTCCTTCACCTTTTACTCTATTCATTGGATAGATGATGACACTCACATTGATGAGGATTGGTGTTCCTTACTCAGTACACTGATTCAAATGCTAATCTCTTCTGGAAACGCTGTACCAGGCAACCCAGAAATACTGTTTTACCAACTATCTGGGTATCTTGTAGCCCAGTCAAGTTGAAACATGAAATTAATGATCACGTATAACTTTGGTTAGACTGGAAGGTACAGAATCTGAAGCTCATAAAGTTCCCACCTTGAGGCCCAGGAAGTACTTTTAGTAAATTGCTGGTTACAGAGAAACCTGGAGGTAGAGTGATGATTTTGGACACAACTTTGTATGCCCCGGGTCTGCCTGAGAACTGAAATACTTCAAGAAAGACCAGGAAGTAATTCAGCTGCTCTGTGGGTGACTTTGTCCAGTATATGGAATAGGAATGAAAACCCCTGGTGAATGGAAAGGCTGGCTTGGTTTTCACACCGTTTCCATGCTGCTCTGCTTCCTGAGGGGCAGTTTAGAAGTTCAAGAGGGCTGTGTCCTCACATGGCCGGGGAGACGGAGCACCAAGCTGGGGCTCTGTGTGGTTCAGATCTGCTACCAACTGCGTGTCATTTAAAATCAGTTCTTTTGTGTAAGGATTTAGAAATAAGCTTTATTTTTAAAATTAATTTGTGTGTGTGTTGAGGGTGGACAGTGCTAATGGCATCATTTTAATTGGGATTTTTTTAAGCATAATTTTTAAATAAAATATTTTCTAATTTCGAGCAAGGATTCCTTTATTGGGGATTTTAGCTTTATCTTTTTTTTTTTTTCCCCTGAGATGGAGTCTTGCTCTGTCACCCAGGCTGGAGTGCAATGGCGCAATCTCAGCTCACTGCAACCGCTGCCTCCCAGGTTCAAGTGATTCTCCTGCCTCAGCCTCCCAAGTAGCTGTGATTACAGGCGCATGCTGCCATGCCTGGCTAATTTTTTCGTATTTTAGTAGAAACGGGGTTTCACCGTGTTCCCCAGGCTGGTTTTGAACTCCTGAGCTCAGGCAATCCACCTGCCTCGGCCTCCCAAAGTGCTAGGATTACAGGCGTGAGCCACTGCGCCTGGCCCGAGGATTTTAGCTTCTTACATAGACCAATAACTATGTTATCTTACTAATAGGCCATATCTAAGTGTTCTTACCACAAAAATGAGAAGTATGTGAGATGTATTGCATATGTTAACTAGCTCAACTTAGCCATTTTACAATATACACATATGATGTTGTGAAAAATATAAATAAAATATAAATATAAGGCATAGACAACTTTTGTCAGTTAAAAAAACAGACCCAAAAGTGTATTGCTTAGATCAATTCTCTAATAAAATCTAGGTGAGACCAAATTTAGAAAGATCACAGGATGCCTGGATGCCAGGTTGTCTCAGATGTGTGAGAGAAGCCTGCCTGCTTCTAAAAAGTAACTTTAAGGAAATGGACTCCTTTTCCTGCTTCCTTATGTAGCGAATTCTCCCATATGCCTCACTTAATGAAACTTCAAATCAATTTATCTTCTTCCTTTAGAGAAGAAGCAATAAGCCTTATGACATATATATGTATATATTTCTTTTGTTTGTTTATTTTTTGAAACACAGTCCCACTCCGTCGCCCAAGCTGGAGTGCAGTGGTGTGATCTTGGCTCACTGCAACCTCCGCCTCCCAGGTTCAAACGATTCTTGTGCCCCAGCTTCCCAAGTAGCTGGGATTACAGGCATGTGCCATCATGCCTAGCTAAATTTTCTTGGCATTTTTAGTAGAGAGGGGGTTTCGCCATGTTGCCCAGGCTGGACTTGAACTCCTGGCCTCAAGTGATCTTCCTGCCTTGGTCTCCCAATGTGCTGGGATTACAGGCATGAGCCACTGCACTCAGCCCATTCTTTCTGAATCCTAAGCTCCCAGCACAGATTTAGCACATTGTCGAGGCTCACTGAATACTTGTTGAGTGAATGAAGGAAGAGTTGAGTGAAAAAGAAAGCGATATTGTTGGTTGGTTGATGTTTATTTACTTTGCTTCTTTCCACAAAGGCTTTGAGGTGAACTTCAACAAAGGATATAGAGATAATAAGCTTTATAAACATACAAGGCACTGGAAATAAAGGAGAAAGGAGGCAAAGCAAATATGACAACCGGGGGGGTTAATTTATTTTTGTGGCTGAGTCAAAATGTGTCTTTGAGCTTCCTACCAGCAAGGGTGAAAAGGAAAAGAGGATTGTTATGTAGTTTTTGTCAGCAGAAAAGAGAAAATACATCTCTTTTTAGGGGAAGTTATTCTCAGGCCTGGAGCTCTTAGTTTGACTATAAGCTAATACAAGAAGATGGGAATTAGTTTCTTTACATCGATGTTAAATACATGTGAATAAATTCATTAAGATTTCTAAAATTGTGGAGGTTCACTGATATTAGAAACAAGAGAAAACAGGCAACGGAATAAAAATAGGGGAGGAAAATATTTAAAATTTCAACACGAGTAGCATTTGTAAAACAGAACAGCTACGCATGCCATTCCTACCAAGGAGGCAGAACGACATGGGAAGGCCGGGACAGATCCTTAGTCTGCCATTCAGTCCCTATGTCCCAGCCAGCTTAGCAAACCTGGTTACTGCTACTCATGGATGGGGCTCTCTCCTTCAGACAGCCTGGTTTCTCCCTGTTCTCTGATTAAGCTCTACCTACTCTTGTCTTACTGCCTTTCCCCAGACTGTGCTACCTGCCAATCCACCACGGTCATTCTTCTCATCAATTTGGTTACTGCTTCCCTTTAAGGCTAAGGTTCAGGTCCAGTCTTACTTTTGTCATGTTTGCATCTCATCATTTCCATGCCCCATTGTGGGCACCACTCCTTGGACATGTAATCGTGGTCTGTTCTCTGTTGCTGCTTTTGTAAATTTTACCTTCACCTATCTATTGTTGGACCCATTATAAGCCTAAGTTCCTCAAGGGTTAAGGCCTCACTTTACTTCGCATCTTCACTTGCCAACAACTGAGGGGCAGGATGACGTTGATAGATTGGAGGAATTGGAAGCTGACACCTGAGGTTTGAGCATAGGCGTGACCAATGATTGGCTGTGTGGCCCTGCTCGAGTCAGGACCATAGTCAAGTGGCTATGGTCCCCACTTTATAAAAGAAAAAATGACTTCTCAGTGCCCTTGAGAAGTCATTTCCTCATTTATAAAGTGGGGACCATAGCCAACTCCTTGTCATTTACCTCCCTGTGACCCAGGGAGACAAGGAGGTCAGACCTCTGGAATTTCTCCAAATTGCACATGCACCAGAGATTTATCCAGCACGCTGTAGGTGATACACAAAGAGGGAGGGAGTGGACGAGCGAGGGTCAGCATATCTTTTCTATCTGGTCTGTTTTGACTTCTAACTGCCATGGAAAAGATAGTGGAGGTCAGAGGAGGAGAGACGAGTGTGTGAGAACAGGTGGAGAGAACAGGCAGAGAGGAAGGACGATCAGGTTGTCCTGGAATGTGGCCAGACAGGCATCCCAGAGCCTGGCTGGGTGGTGCTGGGGATAGGGAGAGCAGAGTTCGCTGGCATGTCAGGGCCAGCAGGGAGGGACTGGCATTGGGGCACGGCCTGGGAAGGCTTTGGGACTTCCCAGAGCCCCTCTTGAGACAGTGAACTATGTTGCTCATGAGGCTGGAAGGACAGTGGACAGCTGAGCCTCACAGGACAATTTCAGAAACTGGGCAAACACAGTGGCTCAAACACAAGTTGAAAAAAAAAATGCAGTCCCTAATCAAAGACTATATTTTTGGGAGGCTCAAGTGGAAAAGGCACATACTGACCTTCACTGCCCCACCTGCTGATACTGCTCCTCAGGGGGAGGAGGGTTAGGGTTGAAAGTAGAGGTGGAAATCCTTAAGAAAGAAAAGGAAAGGGGAAAGTAAGAGGAATTGATAAAACCAGCAAAATCAGGTTGGAAGAATAGATGCAGTTTTAGAACAGCGGACAATGAGTGGTATGAATGCAGTGAATTTCTAGTGTAGAAATTAACTACAGGAGAGAGTTGATCTCCTTTTCTTCTTTTGGCCAGCTTTCAGCCATGATTGATCAAACTAACTGCAAAGCAGTCCTCAACAGACTGCCATTTCTCTTTCACACTGTGATTTTAATTGAAGGATATACTAGTCCATTCCTGCCCTGCTCTAGAGAAATACCTGAGACTTAGAAAGAAGAGGATTAATTGGCTCACAGTTCTGCAGGCTGTACAGGATGCATAGTGGCTTCCGCCTCTGGGGAGGATTCCACCATGATTGAAAGTTTCCTGAAGCCACCCCAGAAGCAGAAGCCACTCTGAATCCTGTACAGGCTCCAGAACTGTGAGCTACGTGGCTGGAGCAGAATGAATAGAGAGAGAGAGAGAGGAGGGTGCCACACACTTTTAAATAACCAGATCTCTTGAGGACTCTATCATAAGAACAGCACCAAAGGGGGAAACCCGTGAGCCTCTCATCAGGTCCCATCTGCTACATTGGGGATTATAATTCCACGTGAGATTTGGTGGTGACATAGACCTAAATCATATTCAAGAACCCAGACATATTGGTAGTGTGAAGTGGCTTTCCAGTTCCATGAACATTGTTAAACTGTTAATTGTCTTCCATTGAACAGTAATGCCCAGATCATTTATCTTTGAACTGTTTAGGACTATAGTTACTTCCCCCTGTTGGTTATTTCTTATGTTTTTCTTTTTCCCTCTTGAGTTCTATCATCAGGTGTGCCAGGTACCAGGATTAAGGCAAGTCACTGGCTGAATCTGGGTTGCTTCTAAAGTGAAGAGCCAGGGTTGGTCTCAGTGGAAGGGCACGTGGTGTTTTGCATTAGAAGCCCAATGACAAGTCAACAGTCGTTGGCCATTTTATTTCTCTCCATCTACTCTAAGTAGATGATATCTGAGCTGAAGGTCAGGGCAGAATGTGGATTAGAAAGGAATGCTGAGATCAAGTTTCCAACTGGTGGATGTGGAGCAGAGGCCCCAGATGTCTGCCCCCACCATTCTGGGATTTTGCTATAGACTGATTCAAAACTAGAGGCTGCCCATTCCAAAAACCTGCTGATGCTCCAGGGCCCTCCAGGCAGCCATGCCATGCCATTTACCTCCAGGAGAAGAGCTGAGAGGCACAGGGAGCTGGTAGGATGATCCCTGGTGAATTGGCACAATTATCATTGACAGTTGCCAGTTGGCACATGACCAGGCACCTGGGTGGAGAGGGCAGGTGGGGCAACATTGACTTTAATGAGCTTAAGCTTTTTAATGGTTTCTGAAAAATATATCAAATTGTGCCTGTGAGAGGCAGGGGAGAAGAGAACTGCATCATTCGGGGGACTCAGCTCCAGTGCCTCTTCCTGCAGAGCAAATGCACCATGCTGGGGCCAGGGCCACCCCTCTCCAGCTGTGCTGCAGCTTCAGAGGTGATCTCAGCCACCTGGAGCAACCCACCTCACCTGGCCAGCTTGCCACAGGGGTTCTGGCATTGAGGTTGTGAGATGATTGCATTGTGGATGTTTTGTGGTTGTAAAAGACAATACCCTCCTCTTCGTACCAACACCTGGGGTCTGCACATTCTTTTTCACAGGAATGGCTGAGCTGCATGGTGTGAGGCCCTCAGAGTCCGTGAGTCCCCACCGTGCCAGGCTGTGCGTGAGGTGTGCCTCCACGACAGAGTGGCCTACAAGGGGCCCTGTTAGGGTGTAGTTCTGGAGTCAAGCTGTCACTGCAGCCAGGGGCCACTGCTTTTCAGGCCCGGATTCAGGAATGGTGCTGGGGAGGCTGCCTGCTTCCTTCCTCCCTGCAGGCCTGGTGCAGGGAGAGGCTGGCAGATACAGGGTGGGCATGCACCAGGATCCTCAGGGGCCTTCCCCCTGTGTGCCTATGCTGGGACTGTTGCTGGAATTTTGAATTCTATGTGGCTGGGGAGTCCTTACAACCATCATTCGTAGCAAGTGAATCCAACCCTCCTTAATAAGTGGCAAAGAATCACGTCGGTGACTGGGGTAATCTGTTGGTGAACTCGGACCTGCCTGTCATTTGCAGTTTCACTGATGGCATCATTCAATGTTCCTAAAAGGGAAAGAAATAGTTCGAATCACAGGTACCAAAGTGAAAAATCAAGGTGTCTTGGCCTGTCCTTGCCCCTAATTCCTGAGCCACAGCTGTCCTCCCCAGCCTGAACCATCACCATCTAGTACGGGCTGCCTGGGCAGTTGGGGTGAGGGGCGGGCTCAGGGCAGCTGTTTAGTAAAACCAAGCTCTGGGACTGTATTTGGTTTGCCTCCTCCCATCTTCATTCCCAACTCCTAATGGTCTCTACTCTTCCCATCCTGGCCTTTCCCCTTCTGCCTGCACCCCGGAAGCCAGTCTGTTATAATGGGAGTGCTCTTAGGACAGCAGTGACTTCACGGGTACTGTAGCCCGGACTGGGCAAAGCGGCCTCCCCAAGCCCAGCAATGCTTCTCCTTCCCCCAGCTCCGTCCTTGTATGATATTACATGTCTGCGTTTGCCCAGGTCTTTCCTGGGACTGCCTGAGATAGTGTATGATTCAGTAGCGGAAACACTGCCTTTAAAACAAATTATAATTTGCATGCAGAACTTTGTAGGAGATGACCTACACAAGTGGCATTTGGTGAGTGCTGCCTTTGGAAGTTATTCTGTGGGGAGCTGATTCTGATGACTTCTGCCTCTTTGTGATCTAGGCGTAGTAGACACTGTACCAGCTGTGATTCTGGTCCAGAAGTGTTAGAAGCTAAATAAGACTCCAAAGTACACAGAAGGCAGGAGCGGACTTGGTCATGAGGTTGTGGGAGAAGAAGGGGAGGAATGGATGAGAGGAGAGCTTTGGTCTACGCAGGTGGCAGTTCGAGAAATTGTCATAAGAACAACTCAGGTGAATTTAGTATCAGGGAGGCGGGTGGGGGCGGGGGACGTGAATCAATGTGGATGGTCGACAGTTCCGTATTTGCGTCCTCCCATGAAATCCTCAGGAAGCCTCGCGAGGCCAGCAGTGCGATGTCCTTTTGCAGATGGAGATGTGGCACCTGGGGAAGGGAAGCCAGGCAGAGCTGGGCTTCTGGTTTGAGTCTACTTGACCCTGGTTGACAGAAGGGCTGGGCTTCCCAGTCTTGCTCCCTTGGGCCGAGTGGAGAAGGCAGGGGAAGAAAGGGGGAGAGAGGAGACCTGTGAGCAAGGAGTAAAACAAGGGCTTAACTGGTGCCTATCTACGGAGTTTGCTAACTCCCAACCTACAGAGCCCAGGGCTCACGCCATTCTGGTGCCAAGGCAGTGGAGCCCATCGCCCTGTGGTGCCAAGAGGCACCAGCACTCCTGCCCACACGCCCCCCGCCTCCAACCAGCTCCGTGTTGTCTTTCAAAGCTGTCAGACACCATCCAATGGTGGTCCCAGAAATGAAAAACTAAAGACCCGTTCCCATCCCAGCAGGTAACTGTCATTCATGGGCTGTGCAAAATACATCTCACATTTTTAAGTGCAGAACAAAATGAATAAAGTCAATTTGGAATTTAGTAAAAACTCCCTGGTATGCATTTTAAGACCTTGAGCTGTATACTGCAATGAATCTAAATTTAGAGACGGAAAATTAGAACAAAGCCACCTATTTATTAACTCAGCACTTTACAAGGAGCTGTGGTTGTGTTTTGGGTAGGATCACTGGACAGTTGATGCACGTTACTGTCCTTTTGAAACCATAAAAGTTACGTTTTCTTAAGCATCTGCCTTTGATGAACTTTCCTACGGGCTCTATTTTAAGAGTTGTGTTTCCCTCTCATCCTATTTCTATACTACATAGATATTTCCAGGGTTTTACACTCTTCCTTTATGGAAACAACTTGATTTAACCATGATTTATTTCAGTGTTCCTCAGGTACAGCAGAATTACTGGCTGCCAATTATCCCTTTATTAAGGGATACTCCATGGTTTATTTTAAAAGCATTTCTCCTTGTAGTGAAGCTGATACAACAAAAAGGCCTTTGTGGTAGTCAGGGTGATCTTAAACAAGAGGTATGCTGGACACTAAAAGCCGAGTGGCTTCCTTACTTGGAAACAAATGGTGAATGTTGCAAAAAGATATGGACTCAGAAGTGGTCCTTCTTGCTACTGACTGAGATGGAAGAACATCCATTAAGTAGTATGGCGCTGAGAGGTGTGACCCAATGCTTAATCAGAATAAAGATGGTGAAAGTGGGCATGTGTCTCCCTAGGTAGCCAATTCTTGAATTTTGCAAACTTTAAAAGTCAACTAAGTGTCTGAAGAGGGCAAATGGAAAGCAGAAGTCTTCATTCATTCATTCATCCATCCATCCTGTTTAAAAGATCTGTCCTATTGTTATTTAGGTGACATTGAGATTAAGCCAGAGTTTAGATATTTACTCATGTTTCACTGCAATTCCTCAACATCACATAGTCAGTGGGTAAGGAACGGTGGACCGAAGGGTCAGATGGCCACTGTATGTACTCATTCACCTTGGTCAAGTTCTTTAGTGTCTCTAGGGCCTCAGTTTCCCTGTCCTCAAGTTGCTCATAGTCCAGTCTGGGAGATAGAGAACAACCAAACAATGACTCAAAGAAAACAGACCAAATTGCAGCTGCTGAGAGCTTCAGAGGACCAGAGCATGGTGCTCTGAGAGGCTGCCACAGGGATCTGGTTGGGAGAGCAGGAGAGCTTCCAGGAGGAAATGATGCTGAACTGAGATCTGGAGGACAGGTATGAGCTAAGGGGGAAAGTGATCAGGAAAAGGCAATCTCAGCCAAGGGAGGAGCCTCGACAAAGGTCCTGTGGTCAGAGGGGGAAGATGAATGTGAGGGATGCGAGGCCAGTGTGTCTGAAGGGCTGAGTAAGTGGCAGGGACCAGAATGCATAGGGTCATATAGGCCAAGTTCAGAAGTTTTTTAAGAGCCACAGAAAGCCAGTGAACAGGCCTCAAGATGTGTGTGTGTATGTACGTGTGTGCATGTATGTGTGTGCATGTGCATGTATGTGTGTGCATGTGCATGTATGTGTGTGCATGTACACGTACATGTGTATGCATGTATGTGTATGCATGTACATGTGTGAATGTATGTGTGTGCATGTATGTGTGTGCATGTACGTGTGTGCATGTATGTGTATGTGTGTACGTGTGTGAATGTATGTGTGCACATTTAAGTGTGTGTGCATGTACATGTGTGTGCATGTGTGTGCATGTACGTGTGTGCATGTATGTGTGTGTATGTGCATGTGCATGTACATGTGTATGCATGTATGTGTATGCATGTACGTGTGTGAATGTATGTGTGTGCACATTTAAGTGTGTGTGTATGTACGTGTGTGCATGTGTGTGTGCATGTACGTGCATGTGCATGTATGTGTGTGCACGCACATGTGTGTGCATGTAAGCGTGTGCATGTGCATGTATGTGTGCATGTATGTGTGTGTGCATGTATGTGTGTGCGTGTATGTGTGTGAATGTATGTGTGCACATTTGAGTGTGTGTGCATGTACGTGTGTGCATGTACATGTATGTGTGTGTGTGCACATGTATGCGTGTAGGTAGGCTGGGTGAGGACCCGAGAGCATGATGTAATGCATGCTTGGTAGAATCACTGTGGCCACAGGTAAGAGAGAGCTGAGGGGAGGCAGGCAGATCTGGCAAGAGTCTCCTCAGCTGTCCAGGTTAAAGGTAACGGTAACTTGTGCAAAGGTGGTGGTATAGGATTGGAGAGAAATGCATGGATTTGAAGACGTTTGAAAGTCAAGCTCAGGACTAGTTCATGGTTGGATTACGGGCAGCCGGGAACTGAGGGGTAAAGAAGACCTGTGGGCTCTGACACCAGAAGTGGATAAATGTGGGGCCATCCCTGACCAAGCCTGGGAGACCTGGAAGTGGACAAGGATTCAGAGAAGGAGATTAGGTGTTTGGGTTAAGTGTTGGGTGTTTGCTGAGTTGCCTTTGGGAAGCCCTAAAGAAGAGGACCTGGGCTTGAACCTTGAGTCGCTGCAGCGCTGACTGGCTTGGAGAAGGTCTGTGAAGGCTGCAGACAAGGCCAGGCCGGTGAGGTAGCTGCTGGACAGAGTAAAAGAGGGTTTCTCAGGGGGAAATGTGGTCCACAGTGTTGAATGCCACCAGGAAGTTAAGTGAGATGCGGGAGAGAAATTTGGGGTTGGAGGTAGAGATACTGAAGACTTTGGCCATTTTTGATCATACCAGGACTTTATACAACACAATTATCAGGTCATATCAGAAAAGATTGCTTCTGATGGAGACAGGATTAAATAAGACAACCTCAGCAAAGTGCTGGTACATTGGAAACACTCAACACTCATACATAGAGAATTATCTGTCTCTTGTTTCTATAAGAAAGAGAATTCGTAGCAGGTTTCTGCCAGGTCTGTTCACCTTGGCCCTGTGGACATCCTGGGCTGAATGATTCCAGCCTGGGGTGTGCTGTGCATTGTAGGATGTCCAGCAGCATCCCTGGCCTTATCCAGGAGATGCCAATACATGCCCCTAAGATGTGGCACAAAAAGTGACATTGAGAAATGCCTCTGGGAAGGAGGCGCAAAATTGCCCCCAGTTTATTTGAACCACTGGTTTAAATAAAATCATTTTTAGAAATAAAATTAATAGGTTCATTTTTTGGTTATTTTTATAAACAGTTGTAAGGGCATGGAACCCTTGGTATGTCTATTATATTACAAACGTAAGTCATGGGCCGTGGAGAAAATCATTGATTTAGTACCTGAACATCCTAATTGCCACCAAATATGCAGCTACTCTGAGAAACAAAACTAAGATTGTGGAAGTGCTGACTCCAGATGTTTTCTAATTCTCTCGGAGGAATGAAAGCCTATAAAATTGATGCCATGCAGGAGAGAGAAGCCAGTTCTCCCCGGGGATGGCACAATCCATACCTGGCGGGCATGATCTGCCAAATGACACCCCGATTTGGGACTTATACTTTGCAACACAATTCTGTTAATATTTATAGACAGACGTAATGCCCTTTGGTATAAGAAATACATCTAAATGAACTTCACTAACAGGATGGTGCCCTGTCTCCCAAAACATATAATCTCCTTTTTGGGGTTGGCAAAGTTTGCAAAATAAATCTCATCCAGTGCCACACACTGAGTGCAGAATTTCTCTCTGACACCCTGTACCACTGAAGTGCCTAACGCCTTATAGCTGACTTCAGCAAACACATTTAGCAACCTAGTTAAAACCAAATAGTGTTATAGAGATGCTGTAACTTCTTTTTTAAGTTATAGCAGGACAGATTTAGGAAGGCAGACAATAAAAGTCCCGTGGTTGCTCATGGACTGTATGTTGCTGCAGAACATTAATGCGAGCACGCCAACCTAAGTGGCAGCCCGGGACAACTGGGCCTTCAGAATCCAGAGATCTTTTCACTCAGCGCTCCTTTGTGCCAGAGCAGAAGTCACTTCAATGTCATGTTATACTGTACAGTTTTGCAGGGTCATGTGTTGAATTATGTTTTTTCCCTAAATAAACTATAACAATAATTTCCCTATTAGGCTCTGATGGGATGCTCTGAGGAAGGGATGGCCTGGATGGGTGTTTCTCCCAGAGAAGCTGTTCACACCAGCATGGGAGCTGCAGACCCTTCAGGTGGACAGCTTACACAGTAAAGCTCTTGCACCCTTGAATGAGCAATCACATTGCCTTGTCTTTCTTTCTCTTAAGTTAGTTTAAAGAAGCCTTTCCCTTTTGTAGTACGAGGTATACACTTGAGCTAGTAGCTTATAGCTCCTTCCTTCCTTCCTTCCTTCCTTCCTTCCTTCCTTCCTTCCTTCCTTCCTTCCTTCCTCCCTCTCTCTCTTTCTCTCTTTCTTTCTTTTGTGACAGAGTCTTGCTCTGTTGCCCAGGCTGGAGTGCAATGGCACAATCTCTGCTCACTGCAAACTCCACCTCCTGGGTTCATGTGGTTCTCCTGCCTCTGGCTCCTGAGTAGCTGGGATTACAGATGTTTGCCACCATGCCTGGCTAATTTTTGTATTTTTAGTGGAGATAGGGTTTCACCATGTTGACCAGGCTGGTCTCGAACTCCTAACCTCAGGTGATCTGTCCGTCTCGGCCTCCCAAAGTACTGGGATTATAGGTGGGAGCCACCACACCCGGCCTCATAGCTCAATTTCTGTGTGGCTTCAGCCTCAGTGTATTGGAAATACAGAACATTCTGTATGGAAATCATGGGGGATCCGCTGTAGGATTAAAGGCAGAATAGCAAAAGAGAGGTGGCAGGAAGGAAAGAAGGAGGAATGGAAGAAAAAAGAAGGGGAGAGAAGGGAAAGGAGCAGAATGGAAAGGGGAGTTGGAAAGAGGAGGGGAAGCTATAGAGAGGATGTGTGTTTTGCAAACCTCGACTTTGCAGCCGCTGCCCAGCCTAGGCGGAGCTCTTCACATGTCTCTAGATTGGCATTCCAGAAATTGTCCTCATTCTCATGAGGACAGCGGTAACCCCCTCATGGGGTTGTCTGGACCAGGTGGGACATGAATTAATAGTCTTTTGGGAAAGCTGTTCCCATTCTGGGAATATCAGGATTTCTCCCTGGAATGAAGGGCTCCTTTCAACAGTGAAACTTTAGAGAGCCTCACAAACCTGAGGTCCACAGAGATGGTGTGACTTGCCCAAAGCCACATGCTATGTAGAGGTAGGCAGGAGGAATGAGGACCTAAGCTATGGACTCATCACAATAACACCTTGGGTTGATAATTTGATGTGGCCTTCCTAAAAGACAAAATGACAAGGGAACTCTGGGGCCGGCTGGCCATGCCGAGACAGCCAGACCTGGGAGCTTGGCCTGCCCACTGGTGTTGCGGCTGTGTAGCTGGCCTTCCCTGTGGGTTCCCTGGGACTGGCCTGAGATAGAATTATGAGGTGGCAGTGCTGCCTCTTCTGTATCCCCAGTGAGCTACCTACCCACACCTGCCTGTTCCCTATTCTCCCATCAATCTTTGCCTTAGAGATATCAGCTATTCGCGCCTTAGGGAGAGCTCAGGCCAGTTACCCCTCTAGGAGGCATTTGCACAGGAAGCCTTCCTCTGCATTTCATTCTGGCATTGACGTGAGCCTGGGAGAGCAGCCTTAGGGAGGTCCTTTGTGTCAGGTGCTGGGCAGGGGGAAGGTGAAGGGCAGGTGACCTCTGAGAAGCAGCAAGAGGCCCTGAAGCTCCCAAGCCCAGCTTCCCTGTGGCTCCCCACTTCCTCCTTCTCTCCTGCCTGACCTCATCAACTTCCCCCCCAAACAGACCTGGCAGCTGGAGACCCTCAGAAGGCTGTGGTCTGAGCTCTTGGCCTGTAGAGGGGGAAGGGAGCTGTGGGAGCGTTTCTGTTTCTGGAAGGTTGGTTCCCTTTGGAGCTTCTGACAAAGGACCACGCGTTGTATTCCACGGCTTCTCAAAGAAAGGCCACCCCACAGGCAGGTGCTGGTCACCCAGGAACAATGAGGTTGTCACCCTGCTTTTTCTGTGGATCAGCCATTGGAGCAAAAGCACAGGAAGGTGTTGGCAGCGTACAAAGTGATTTCCAAAGAAAGCCTTCACTTCGCATTTCCACATGCACAACAGTGAGCCTATTTCAAGGGAGAGACTCTTTGCTTTGCAAATGTGAATTTCTTGAAGAGAAACTTCTAATTTGTCAGATCCCTTTATTCTGGGGCTCTTCTGTATTTTCAAAGAATTTTTAAACATTGGCAAATATTTATTGAGCATGTAATACAGGCTACCTATCATGGGACCCCAAAGGAGGGTGACACAGGAGGTCCACAGGCAGTGCCTTCTCCAGCGGAGGCAGGAGGCCAGAAGCCCCTCAAGGCGGTGCTAAGCCACAGGCCTGAAGCCTTGCAGATCTGAAGCTCCAGAACCAGTTGTCTCCCCGCTGCCCCCACTATGGGGAATGGAGATATGACATCCTGGAACTCAGTTCCATCCAACCCAATTTCTTCAGGCCTAGCCAGGGTCCAGGCTCCAGAGCTAGGCCTGCGGGGTCCAGTCAACTCAAAGACCTGGAATCTCAGACAGACGCTGCTCACTCACTGACTGAACTGCTCGGGGACACCACTAGCATTTAAGTCACGGCTACCTCATTATGAGTTGCTTATGCTGGGCTGCAGTGTAGCTTTCCTTTGGATTAGAAACCCCATGAAGACAAGACTGCACACAGAAAGAGGTGCACTTCAGAACTAAAGTGCACCTCTTCCTGTTTCGCCTGCAAAGAAAGGGAACTTTCTTTTCCCTCCATTTTTTAATTTGCACAGTATTGGTTTCCATCTTAGAATTTGCAACTGTTTTAGCCTCAGAATAGTCTTGTACTCCTTGAAGTCCCTGGAGGTTTCCCAGAGCCTAATCCTCCTCCTCCTCAGTTGGTAACTGGGACCTGAGATTTGTTTCATGGAGTCTGTGATAGAACTTACATGAATGTGTTGATGTCTATGCTCCAGAATCATTCCAGAGCAATGGCCCGGGCCACTGAGTTTCAGGTAGCAGGACAGGTGGTCCTGGGGAGGGTGACAGGCCCTTCAGCTCACACCTCTTCAAATAAGTGGCTCCTCAGGTTGCCCTCCACACATCTTTCTCAATGGCGTCATTTTCTTTCCAGTGACAGTGACAGGGACTGGGAACCTGGGAGCTTCTCAGCATCTCCTTTTCACACTCTGCCTCTGAGCAGCTGGGAATCCTTACCCCTCCAATCTCCTGACTGCTCATCTCCCTGGAGCCAGGACCCTGAATCAGTATTCACGGCCTGTTAGTGGCTTGCAAGGCAGAGCAGACAGATGGACGTGCTCGGGAAGCCTATTGATCAGCCCTTGGTGTGACCTGCCCAGACCTGGTTCTGTTTCAAGCACTGATCACGTGGACAAGGTATGTGCAAGGCCCAGAAAACACCAAAGGGCAAGTGTGAGGCGCTGGATCAAGTCCCTTGAGGAGAGCAGGGCCAGGCGGGCTCTGGCCAGAGCCCCACCCCACGCTGTCTTGGGGTGTCTCACTGGCTCACAGGAACCTCCTGGGCAGGAAATGTCTGTGTTTGACCCTGCAGGCCTGGCCCTGGAGCTTGGACCCTGGTAGGGCCTGAAGGAATTAGGTTGGATTGAACTGGGTTCCAGGACCTCACATCTCCATTTCCCATAGTTGGGGGGCAGGGAGGAGACCCCTGGTTCTGGAGCGTCAGATCTGCAAGGCCTCGGACCTCTGGCTCAACACCCCCTTGAGAGGCTTCTGGCCTCCTGGCTCTGCTGGAGAAGGCATGGCCTGTGGACCTCCTGCATTCCCGAGGCAGGCTGCGTGGCTAGCATTTGGAGGCTGGCAGAGACTGGCTGATTCCTAACCAAAGATGCTGTTGGTGTCTTCTGATGGAATGTGACTTTCTTTGCCTAGTAGGTGTTATTCACAGGGATCCTTTAGTTAAGCAAATTTGCCTAGGCCCCCTGTTGGGTCGTATTTTTCTTTTTTCTTTTTTTTCCTTTCTTTTTTTTTTGTTTCAGGAGTCCTTAATTCCTCTCAGCACCATTTGAGATGAGCAACTACACAAGACAAAGACGAAAGGCTTTTTCAGCTCAAAAATCCTGTGATTCTTTGATTCTAAGAAGAGATTTTCTTACAAGGAGTTTGCCTAAGGTAAGAGAATTCTGACTGCCCACAGTATTAGTCACTAAGGGGTTTCCTGGGCAGGCTGGGCCCCCACTGGGACCCCACACATTAGCTCTTTTTGGGAGGGAGGCCTGTTCTTAAACTTCCTCAACACCTTCCTTCCCACAGTGTCCACACGGCTTGTGTCTCCTCCCAGCAGCCGGCCTGCTGGTGTGTGTGCTGTGTGTGGAGAGTGGCCTTAGGCCTGTGTTGTGAGTGATGTCTGCAGAGCATGGGGTTGATTTGGAAGAAGGTGTGATCCGAAGTTGTGTTTGACCTGAGCTCCTGTCACCCCTGAAGGCAGCAGAGGATCTCCTGTCAGTGACCCAGGAGGACAGCTTTCTGAAGGACATTCTGCCCATTGCACAGAGGGGCTTTTGTGATTGGTTTGCCCAGATGTGACTTTTTCCCCTACCTTTGAAGGCCTAGATTGGGTTTCCCATTTCTTGGCCCTTTGGAAAGGCCAATGGCTCCCTGTCTGACAGGCTGCCCTGAGCAGCAGGTGCTCCATTTAGACCCAGGCTGCCCCAATCCCAGCTCTGATCTGACTCTCAGCTCTGAGGCTCCATTGAGTCCCTGGGCCTCAGGGACCCTGTTCAGGCTTTGCTGATGGTGGCATCAAGTGACCTCCGAGCCACCTCCACGTTGGCTCAGACTGAGGAAACTGGTGATCTTGTCTTGCTGTTTGCAATACTTGAAGACAAAAACAGAACTTGTGCTGCATTCTCAAGAAAGAAGAGACAACTGTTCCTGTACCTCACTCTTGTAGATATCTGTATGAAGAAGCAGTGATGGGTGCATGCAAGCTAGGGAGCATCAAGGCTCCCACTGCGTGGGCGCCAGCTGACCCCTGACCTCGTTTTCATCTGTTGCTCTGGTCATGGCTCTGAGATCTGGGCAACCTGAGCCAGCTTGTGCATTCCTTACCCTTGTGCTTTTGCACTATCCATCCCTGTCCCCTAGAACTCCCTCCAGTACAGTCTGCTCCACCCCATCCCATCCCATCCCATCCCATGCCATCCCATCCCCTCACCTCACTCCATCCTACCCCATCCTACCACATCCCACCCCATCCCATTCCATCCCAGCCCACACCACCCCACCCCACCCCACCCCATCCCACCTCACCCCATCCCATTGCCTCATCCCACCCCATCCCATCACATCTCACCTTACCCCATCCCATCCCATCCCATCCCATCCAATCCCATCCCATCCAATCCCATCCCATCCCATCCCACCCCACCCCATCCCATCCCATCCTACCCCATCCCACCCTACCCCATCCCATCACCCCATCCCTCCCTATCCCAGATTTCCCATCCCATCCTACCCCAGGGCATCCCATCCCATCCCATCCTGCCCCATACCAGCCCTTCCCACCCTATCCCACCCCATCCCATCCCATCCCATCCCACCCCATCTCACCCCATCCCACCCCATCCAAAGGTATGTATTCTTGGGCTGCTACTGAACCTCTTAGCTTCTGTCTTCTCACCTATAAAAGGCGAATTGGCAAGGTCATCCCCTTTGGCAGGTAAGTAAATGCGGAGGACATAGTCCACGTTAAATAAATGACAGCGACTGCTGTTTCACTGGTTGTCATGCCCATGAGCAAGTCAGTACCTGTTCTCCCCACCAAGGACAAGCTAACCCTGCTACCCAGGTCCTGCTCGTGTCCTGAGCTCCTCCTCATACGTGCCACCAGACTTGGTTTTGTATCCTACCTGGGCTTCAGGAGAGAGAATTAAAAAAATCAAATTAGGTAAAATTGGAGTTAAATGATAATGATAACTTCTCAGCTACTTCAACCTCAGTTTCTGCCCTTTTTGAACTTGCCAAGCAGTGGAGGTATCTTAACAGGCCCGTTCTGTGACTGTTACCACTGTTCCCATTTTAATGCAGCTATTTGTGTACTAGGTACCTCTCTCCCATGAAGCTGTGAACTACTTAAAGCACAATAAAGAAAGGAAAGAAGGAAGGAAGGAAGGAAGGAAGGAAGAAAGGAAGGAAGGAAACAAGGCAGGCAGGAAGGAATAATTAATGAATAATACTGCATTCAGGAAACTAGACCCAGTATTTTCAAAGTGACTCATACCCAGCCATCCTCTCCTTTGCCAGTTAGCATTGATAATCTCCAATTGCTCAACCACTTGTTTCTTTTAATTTTAACAATCTTACAGCTGAAGCTATCTAAGATTTATTCAGGAGAATATATTTTGTAACACCTCCTTTTTCCTGTAAACATTGAAGGAAGGTTCGTGATATGGACCCTTGGCTGAAATTTGAAGGTGAAAAAGGACGGCTCCGTTCCTATTTATGGTGTGGGAGTGACTTTCCTTCACCACTAGCCTGGGTGAAGTTTAATGACTGACCAAGAGGGAAGTAATTCATTCTTCCTGTCATCCTATTTTATTCCCCTGCCCCTCACCTTGTGCTCTCTTTTCCTGCTCAGCTCCTATTCTGATCTTTCTTTGTCAAGGATGTTTCTCATGATTAAGTGCTTATATCTTCTTCTCCCCAGCATATTTGTTTGGATAGATTTAGGACAGATAAAATTGCTGAAAATTGCCTGGTTTCTGTTTTCTCTAGAGAGAAAACCCTGAAAGATTTTTAGCTAATGGCATTAGACCAGTTTCGATCACTGTAAGATTCTCTGGCTTTAGTTCTATAACCCTCCAGAAGTCTAGATCTTTTTGATATTAAAGAAAACATGCACACTTTGAGTGAGCTACTGAGTTCCATCGAATTGTTTCCATTTTACAGAGACTAAGGACAGGGGACCACTGGGAAGGCACATAAGGAAACAAAAGGGACTTTGACCCAGAGACTGGACCCTGAGTCTATATGAAATAGGAGGTGATGGTGTTACTAAGAATTTCTTGCTTTGAGCTAGTTTCATTCTGGGTGAAGTCTGTACTTGAAGTTCCTCTCCTAACCTAACGATGGTTGCAGGTGGGGCCAAAGTTAATGGAGAACCTGGACTAACAGCCTCACCACCTTGGATCACTTTCAGTAACCACCAGGCCTACCTGGAAGTGCAACTCTGGGTCATGTGGAAGTGAAAACTGCAGTGGTAGGCATCCAGTGTCTATTCTGGGGGCTCTGACTTGGTTCTCCGCTCACCTATCTGAAGGGCTGGCTTGGCATGGACTTATTTAGTGTCTTTCTTTATGGAACTCAAAAAGCCTTTATATGTAGCCTTATCTTTCAGTTGTCCCAAGAAGCTCTATTGGCATTAGAAGCAAAGATATCTGCAACTGAAGTTTTCCATAACTTGCATTTTTGTCCCAAGTTTTATGGCCCTTGGCAGAACGTCACTGAGTCCTGGTCTTATGGCCAGAATACCTGAGTCTTAAAATCTGAGACCAGGGGCTTCTGATCAGATGGGCCTGGGCCCCTGGCTCAAATCTTACCTGCTTTACCAGCAATAGATGGCAATTCCTGCCCCCTTTCTCCTCTGTCCTTCAGAAAGGGCAGGAGCTGAAGTTGAAAGAGCTGAAAAGCTATAAAGAGTTGTCAACTGCTTTTTTTCCAATTCTGGTTTTTAAATTATCTCTTATGAGGTCCAGTTAAAACATAATGCAGGTTCAGTCAATTCCGCTTCTAAATCTCAGCCATGAAGGAACTGGGAAGGTGCTCAATAGCCACTATTAACAGTTGTTCCTTACAACCACATGGCAGCACTGTTGAAGATCTGTCCTGCACAGCCCGGTGAACACACATCCATTGTATTGATGCCCTTGTTTTCTCCATTTCTGCACAAGCTGAGATTGTGGTCTATGTGTGGCCTCCCAGGGTACAGTTCCCACAGTTCATACAGATAGGCTTAGCCAAGCTTTCCCTGCCACAGGACACAGTGCTTGGGTGGCTATGTTTAGGAGTTACCAGCACAAGCTATGCTGGGAGCAGCCCTTCTCAACAAGACTTCAGGCCTTGTATTGAGTCCAAGCCAGCAAATAAACTCTCAGTGACTTCCTGCTCAATTCCTCTTGGGAATCTTGGGACAGGGACACTATTAGTCTTGACAGATTCTCAATTTTGAATGTCTGGGTCTGTCTTTTTTTTCCTAATAGGCTTTTGGCTTCTTCTACAAATTTTTCAACTCCCATCTTCTGTGGCCAGTTCTTCATACCCAGGGGAGGAGATATTTGCTTTTGTTCTAATATAAAATGTTCATTAGATCACCAACCCCTATCCATCACTGCAGCCACACTTACACAACACTTCTTTGTCAGAATGGATGTATGAAGTTGCTTCAAAACCCATCTTCTTCGTTCAATGAAGAGTTAAGTGGTTGGTGAGGAGCAAATAGTTTTTGGCATTCAGCTACGAAAGACTCACAACCACTTTAAAAACTTTTTATTTTTAATTTTTTTGAGATGGAGTCTCACTCACTCTGTTGCCCAGGCTGCAGTGCAGTGGTGCAATCTCGGCTCACTGCAATCTCCACCTCCTGGCTTCAAGTGATTCTCCTGCCTCAGCCTCCCTGAGTAGCTGGGATTACAGGTGTGTGCCACCACTCCCAGCTAAATTTTTGTGTTTTTATTAGAGATGGATTTCACCATTTTGGCCAGGCTGGTCTTGAACTCTTGATCTCAAGTGAACCACCCGCCTTGGCCTCCCAAAGTGCTGGGATTACAGGTGTGAGCCACTGCACCTGGCCACAACCATTTAGAAAATGGTTTGAATATAGCATTCATGATCTGTGGGCTATGGAAACCTTAATCTCACTACAAACTATTCAATATAAGAAAGTCTCACTAGTTGTCTGGGTGGGGTGGTTTATGCCTGTAATACCAGCACTTTGGGAGGCCGAAGCAGGTGGATCGTCTGAGGTCAGGAGTTCGAGACGAGCTTGGCTAACATGGTGAAACCCCCGTTTCTACTAAAAATACAAAAAATTAGCCAGGCGAGGTGCTGCACGCCTGTAATCCCAGCTACTTAGGAAGCTGAAGCAGGAGAATCACTTGAACCCGGGAGGTGGAGCCAAGATTGCATCATTGCACTCCAGCTTGGGCAATGAGCGAAACTCCATCTCAAAAAAAAAAAAAAAAAAAAGAAAATCTCACAGGTAATTTACTGGTACATTGACCTATAGTTCTAAAATTCGAAAAGTGGTTTCTAAAATGTAAGCAATTTATTTCAGAAAAATAAATTCTTCAAAATTTGGGGGAACATTTTTTAAATGATTTTAACATTTCTATTGTTAAAAAGTAATCTATGTTAAACATAATTTTTAAAAAGTGTTAAAATCACGGCTTATACAAACACGAATGAATGGCTATCAGAGCTTTACTTTAACTCATTTATTAATAAAAGAACCAATAAGATATTACTACCAGTTCAAAAGAGAATTTAAAATATGCATACGTAGGCAATCAGGGACACTGAAGTAAATTTACAAATAGATATAAAACTGGTCAATATCCCAGGAGAAGTAACCAAGTGCATCACCACCAAACACAATTTGCATTTCTATGGACACAAATCACCTGCATTACTATCAGTTTTCTACAGTTTACAGTTGTAAAATAGCTCAAAGACAAGGAAAGTTTGTGAGAACTTGGAAGGGTGAACTAGGCAAGACAGACTACAATCTTTTTTTTTCTGGTCCATTTCAAAGTCTTACACAATTTTTATAGACACTTGCCTGATTATAAGTTCAAAGAAGGGATAATGGAGAGCTAGTAGAACATCTTAACAATGATCCCTTCCTTACACCTTATACAAAAATTAATTCAAGATAGATTAAAGATTTAAACATAAGACCTAAAGCCATAAAAACCCTAGAAGAAAACCTAGGCAATACCATTCAGGACATAGGCATGGGCGAAGACTTCATGACTTAAACACCAAAAGCAATGGCAACAAAAGTCAAAATAGATAAATGGGATCTAATTAAACTAAATTGCTTCTGCACAGCAAAAGAAACTATCATCAGAGTGAACAGGCAAAATACAGAATGGGAGAAAATTTTTGCAATCTATCATTTTGACAAAGGGCTAATATCCAGAATCTACAAGAACTTAAACAAATTTACAAGAAAAAAACAAACAACCCCATCAAAAAGTGGGAGAAGGATATGAATAGACACTTCTCTAAAGAATACATTTATGCAGCCAGCAAACATGAAAAAAAAAGCTCATCATCACTGGTCATTAGAGAAATGCAAATCAAAACCACAATGAGATACCATCTCATGCCAGTTAGAATGGCAATCATTAAAATGTCAGGAAGCAACAGATACTGGAGAGGATGTGGAAAAATAGGAACGCTTTTACACTGTTGGTGTGAGTGTAAACTAGTTCAACCATTGTGGAAGTCAGTGTGGCGATTCTTCAAGGATCTGGAACCAGAAATACCATTTGACCCAGCAATCCCATTACTGGTTATATACCCAAAGGATTATAAATCATTCTACTGTAAAGACACATGCACATGTATGTTTATTGTGGCACTGTTCACAATAGCAAAGACTTGGAACCAATCCAAATGCCCCTCAGTGATAAACTGGATAAAGAAAACGTGGCACATATACACCATGGAATACGATGCAGCCATAAAAAAGGATGAGTTCATGTCCTTTGCAGGGACATGGATGGAGCTGAAAACTGTCATTCTTAGCAAACTAACAGAAGAACAGAAAACCAAACACCGCATGTTCTCACTCATAAGTGGGAGTTGGACAATGAGAACACATGGACACAGGGAGGGGAACATCACACACCAGGGTCTGTCGGGGGGTGGGAGGCTAGGGGAGGAATAGCATTAGGAGAAATACCTAATGTAAATGACGGGTTGATGGGTGCAGCAAACCACCATGGCATGCGTATACCTATGTAACAAACCTGCATGTTCTGCACATGTACTCCAGAACTTAAAGTATAATAATAATAATATAATAATAATAATAAAATGATTATAATTGAGTTTAGTGCCCAAAATTTAAATTAATGGGTAAGTAATCAAAACAGGAATTTCCGATATGCTAATTTCAGATTATTCTTAGCCCTCTCTTGCTACGTTCTCTGTGGTTTTCTTTGTGGTGTAGTAGAAAGGGCACTAGACTTGCTGGTGGAGGTTGTATTCTCAGAGGTATGATTTACCTGTTGATGCGGCTTTTGTTGAATTAACTCAATCTCTCTGAGCCTCAGTGCTCTCCCTGGAAAATGTGGATAATTATTTACTCTACAAGACTCACCATATCACTGCTTAGCAGATTCAGTGAAAGGATGCATGGTGATGAACCATAAAGGTATCCCTCCTTCAGACCCTGCCAAGGAGGTCACATTCACACATCACTGTCTGTTCTGCAGCTCCACTTCAATGTCCTAGGGTCATCTCAAAACTAACCAGGCCAAAGCTCTGCTGTTGATTCCCACTTTCATCCCTCAAAACTTATTTTGCTTCATGGCATCACCATCCACCCAGTTTCTTATTCCAAAAACCCAGGGTTCATTGAGGATTAACCACTTCCTTTACCCTCACATCTAATCTAACACCCCACCTTACTGGCTTTACTTTCAAAGTATCTTTCTAGTCTCACCATTCTCACAATTTCCAATGTTACCACCCGGGACCAAGCCAATACCAGCTATTCCCTGGACTTTTCCGTTATTGTCTCTTAATCTTGAGTTGGCCTTTCTACAACCAGTCTTTCCCACCTAAATTCCTTTCCCCCAAAGCAGCCAGAATGACCTTTTAACAAATGTATATCAGAGCATATTACCCCTCTATTAAAAATCTCCCAATAGATTTATATTGCATTCGTAATAAAGATGAGCTGAGAGCGGAGGCTCACGCCTGTTATCCCAGCACTTTGGAGACTGAGGAGGGAGGATCATGAGGTCAGGAGTTCGAGACCAGCCTGTCCAGCATGGTGAAACCCTGTCTCTACTAAAAATACAAAAAATTAGCTGGGCATGGTGGTGCATGCCTGTAGTCCCAGCTACCCGGGAGGCTGAGGCAGGAGAATCACTTGAACCCAGGAGGCGGAGGTTGCAGTGAGCCGAGATCATACCACTGCACTCTAGCTTGGGTGATAGAGCGACACTCTGTCTCAAAAAAAAAAAAAAAAAAAAAAAGGTGAAATTCCCCCACGCCTCATATCTTAAAAGGACTACCTCATGTCCTAAAAGGATGACATGTCCTCATGTCCTAAAACAACTACCTACCGTGCTATCTAACTCTCTGCCTTTGTGTCTTTGTTTCCCTTTGGCTGCCTGTCTCCAGCCACACTGACCTTAATATTCTGTACTGGGCCATGCCCCTTCCTGCTGCAGGGACTTTGAATTTGCTGTGTCTTCTGCTGAGAACATTCCCTCTGAAGATTCAGAACCCTTTATACTACTCCAACACCAAATATTTAATCTGTCAATCTAATCTTGGATATTTGAAATCTTCTCCATACATATCATGAGATATTCTTCACCAGAATAAGCTTTTGTTTCACTACCAAGAGGTGAGTGCATTTTGAAATCCACTGGAACCTCACAGGTATTGAATCTCTTCTGTGCACATTTGGATGTGGAAAATGGAAACTTGTAAGTCTACAGAAACTAAACCAGAGCAGGTTTTATAGTTGGGCCTAAAATACAGTTCCTAGGGTTCAGTTTAAAAATATTTTCTATTTTTTCCTGGATTTTATTGCAAATGTTTTGTCGTTGTTTTGATTCTGTTTTTGTCTACACCTGGGTTTAATTCCTCCACTATTAGGTACTCACTGTGCTGTGATGGTTTGAATGCAGGTTTGGCCTCCTCTCCAGCCTGTGACTACTGGGAAGACAGGGCACCTGTCCTATTCACCTTTGTATCTCTGGTGTCTCACTCAGGATCCGGCACAGGTACATGTTGTAGTACATGTTCAGTGAATAAATGATAGTGCATCTCAATGATCTATGGTTTAGAGGCCAACGTGGACATTTTGTATTTCAGTACTTAATCAAGTTCAGTCTGTGACCTGGGAAGACACACAGTAGTAGTAATATTTTCCCTGTGTTTTTGGTTATGATGTGTTAATGTTGCTATTTATGTTTGGAAAATGTCCAAGGTTGCCACTATAATGGAATCACTTTCATTTGAGAATAGGCTGAAGGTTGGATGGAAGATAGGATGAAATAGACAGTGTCGTGGGGGTGCTGATAGAGTGAAACCCGTGAGAGCTCACTTAGGCTAAAGACCGCACAGTTACCCTTCAATCTGCCCAGACCTCAGGTGTGCTGCCTGCATCCAGCTGTCTTGCACTCTGTCGTGCCCAATCCACAATCCCTAAGGATTAGACTGCAGGACTTGGAGGAAGGAAGGATAGAGGCAACTGTGGTGGAGTGTGATGACTTGGCTTGTAATCAGAGGCTATAGAACCAAGATTTTGGACTTCTAGTCACACAAACTTGAACCCTCAGCAAAACAGGAATAGTACTGGTGAATTCAGAGGTTTTTTTTTTGTGTTAAGTAAAATATTACAAGCTGGACAACAGAGGCTCTGACCAGTGGCCAGGCCAGGTGATGGGCCTTACATTTTTGTTAGCTGTTTTCTCATTTTGTTAATGAGTGTTGTATTTATTCCTCCACAAATTCAACAGTGCTTGCCAAGGACCTGCTATGCGCCAGGGGCTGCTGGAGCTGGGAACCTAATGATCACAGTGTCAGCCTCTGCCAGCCTTTGTGTGTGTGGCAGGGGTTGTTTTGAGTCCCACCATCTTCCATCCCTGATGCTTGGAGAAGCTGAGGACACACAGGGTAAGTGATAGCCCAAGCTGGGAGGAACCTGGACACTGGGTCTGAGAGCCTCCTTCAGAGAAGCTATTTGTGGCATCTTGGTGATTTAAAGATTCTCCCAAATCTTATTAAAAATGAATGGATCAGCTGGGTGCTGTGGCTCACACCTGTGGTTTCAGCACTTCAGGAGGCTGAGGCAGGTGGATCACTTGAGGTCAGGAGTTCGAGACCAGCCTGGCCATCAGGGTGAAACCCCCGTCTTGAAAAAAAAAAAAATTAGCTGGTTGTGGTGATGCACGCCTGTAATCCCAGCTACTTGGGAGGCTGAGTGAGGAGAATCTCTGGGACCCAGGAGGTGGAGGTTGTAGTGAACCGAGATTGTGCCACTGCACTCCAGCCTGGGCAACAGAGCAATACTCTGTCTCAAAATAAATACATAAATAAAAAAAAAAAGAATGAATGGGTCCTGTGATCTGGGGTCAAAATAGTGTTGTTTTTGTTGACCTCTTACCTGTGTGGATTTCTTACAGATTTTGTAAAAGAATCTTATTCCATCAAAAGCAATCCTTAGCTTTATTTCAAGATTTCCCTTAGTATGTAAACCAGAGCAAGACACAGACCTGTGAGATGCTATGTGAAAAACGGTAGGATGGTCAAACAATTTGGGTAAGGTTTCTTGCTCCATCCTCCTCCTAGAGAGTCCTGGTGGACCTGAGATTTTGGGAAGATGCAGACATACCAAACCCTAGTGTTATTTACCTCTGGGGCTGGTATTGGAGTAACGAAGGTGAGGTTATCCATATTTAATTAACTAACCTCTGTATTGTTTATAAGGAGCATGTATTTTTTTTGTAACTTAAATAATCCTATAAAATAAAGAAAACAATAAAAAAAAAAAGAAGACCCAAAAAATGTTCTGAGAAGGCCTGCCATAAGGAAACCTAGTATGTCCCAAATGTTTCCCACTAGGTAACACTTAACTGGTTCTTACACCAAATTTTTGGGGGAGTGCTTTCCTAATAAACATCAATCTTCCTTGATTGCATACATCTCAGAATAATTTAACTTTACAGCTAGAAGTAAGTTAAAACATGGCCCCTATGCTCACTGCACTAGAAAATAAAGTGACGCCTGCTGAGGTTGTGTGGCTTGCCCGAGGTGACCCAGTGGAGGCCGACCAGAGGCTCCCATCCCCTTTAACAGGAAGGTGAAGCTGCCCACCCCTCACTTTTGTTAATAATGACACTGTTAAATTAAGCTAAATGTGGCCTGAGGAGGCCTCCCTACTTTGAGTCCCTGGGTAACAAATTGCAAGGTAACTTAGTATGTAAACTCACTGAAAGCCCACCTTTGAAGTATACTTTTGTATCATAACTGAGTCTCAGCCAATCACAGCAGCTGAACTTCAGTCAATCCCAGACCGCCAGCTGTTCAGACCACATTCAAATATGGCAAAGGCTGCCTGTAATCAGTCAGGCCCTTTCTGTACCACACTTCTGTTTTCTGCCCATAAATGCTGCCTGCGCACTTGCAGAGTGGAGAGCTCTCTGAGCCTCTCTTCTGGTTCCAAGCGCTGCCCAATTGGAGAATTGTTCTTTGATCAATTAAACTCTGTTGAATTAATTTATCTAAAGTTTTTCTTGTAACAATACCATTACCATTATAACAGCCGTTAACAACAGGGCAATATATACAGGGGATGCTCCCAGCTCTGCTGTGCGTATTGTACTAGGAACCTTTAACATCTCAAGACTTCAGGAAAGATAAATACGTTTTCAGATCTGGGCTCAGGGACCTGCTGTCACTACCCTGGGCTTTAAGAACATGTTGTCACCCTTTTCTCTCCTGACACTGCCTACTCCATCAGGAAAGGGTCTGGTGAGGGCTGATTTTAGCTCTCCCAGGCATGGCTGCTATCCTGAGTCCCTGCTTCCTTGACACGCCTTCCGCCTGGCTTCCTGTAGGTCTCTGAAAGTGGCAGGGAAACCAGATGCACGGGAAATGACGGACTTTGAGCATTTCTCCCCTAAGACCCAACAGAACACTTCATGGGGGAACTTCTGTGGTTATTAGCCAGCTTCCTCTGCTGAATGAGAAAGCCGGCTGCCCCCTCGCACTCTAGGCTCTTGAAAGGTCAGACTTCTGACTCTAAAAGTGACCCAGATGAGATGCTGAAAGGCATGTTGGTTACAAGGGAGGGGACAAGAGGCACAGCTGTATTTCCATAGATAGCAAATACAGGGGGGCAAAGCCATAGATTTTAATTTTGACACTCCTTAATGTAAAAAATAAAACAAAACAGAACACAACTGGCATGCTTGCAAACACAGGGTCTGAAGTCCCTGTGGGAATAACCAGCCAAGGAAAAGTGAATGTGGGAAGGAAGAATGGGATTGTATCAGGCTGCTTCACAATGGGAGGTCACCCCACATCATTTATAAAAGGTAAGTGCTGGCACAGCCTGGCGGGCCCTGAGCACCACGCTGCAGGTGTGATTTATGAGGGAGAGACTGACTATAAATCAACACCCTTTGTTTTAAGTAGTAGTTCCAGTGCAGTGGATTAATTTACATGCAAAGAGAATGAAGAAAAATTGCAATGTATTATAATCTACACGTATCACAGAATTAGATTCCAAATTGGAACAAAGCGTTCCCACTGGCTATTTGACCACGACTGTAGAACAAGTGCCCTTGTGTGACGTTCTTTACGGGGCAGGGATGAGATAGTGACCGTTTGGGTCTTCAGGTCACCAGGGAGAGTGGTTTGTTGGAATCCTGAGTGAGAAGCTTCAGTGCTGGAAACCAAAAAAATTAATTCCTTTCGATGTTGGCGTGGCCTGGTTGCCAGGCTCTCAGGGTATCTTTGTTAGTAAAAAATCTTGCATTGTCATCATTTTTGTTACCATATTTGAACTTTGGTGTATTGCTGCTCTTGGTGTTAATATATTATAAAAGAGGGAGACAAGATTCTAGGCCAGTTCTCATCAGCCATTGTGTAGCTGGGGATGAGAGAGAAGAGCCAGTTTGAGCGTGTGCAACTGACGCTGGGAATTTCCATCATACGTGTATTTATTCTATTTATTTGGATCTTTGATTATCCTTACTGTCTTAATGGCTCATGGTTATTTCACATATGTCAACCTTGTACTGCTCAAGAGACAAAAAACTTCCTGAGAGCAGAGCTGAAATCTTTGGTTCTCTTGTATTTCTCAAAATGCCTAGCACTTTGTATGGGAAAGAATTGATTCTCAGGATGCACTTGTTGACTTGAATCAAATGTCTGTGAAAACAGGAGAGAGCCATTGCCATGAATAATCAAAACCCTAGGGTTATTCAAAGCCCTCATTTCAGCTCTTAAATTTAGCTCTCTTTTCCCTCAAGCCTTTTATCATAAATACCATGAGGGGGAAGGAAAGAGGATTATGATTTCATCTCTATTTGCCTCTCCTACCCTCCTGCTGGTACTGAAATGATCAAGAGAGTAGAAAAATGCCCAAAAACCAACAGAAGGAAAGAGATGCAAACGGCTCAGAGAACCATGCATGGGAGGCTTTGCCTAGAATGACTGAGACAGACTGTCATCTTGTAAGCTACTACCTGTTTTTGGTTTGGTGATGATTTTGTACCCATTAGTGTGTGCGGTTTTGCATTTGTGTACTTTGCGGTTTCAGGTGGAACTCGAAGTCTATTCTTTCAAGGACAGAAGGGAATTCCTAACAGTGCGCTGACAGTAAAGTTCATGACAAAGAACATCTGCATGCTATTACTATCGATTTGGGTATTCTTGGATATTTTTATCCTTTTTTTCCCAAAACAAATTATTTTCACTGAATACCAAATGTTCTGTTTCTACTCAAATTATAAATCATGATATGAATCTATTAGAGAATGATATGGCCTAAAGATGTCCTACCGATTGTCAGGATTTTCTAGATTTGCATATAGTTGCTGGTAGCACTGTAAGCAGTGCTTAGTGGACTTTAGCTAAGACAGTGGCCATGCCATAGAAATCCCAGGGGGAAGCTGAGGTTGAGCCAGGTGGGTAAAGGGAGAGCCAGAATGTTTCTGAAACTGCTCATTCATTCCTTCATCCACCGTTTATGAAATACCTCTTGCAGTCCAGGCATTGTAATTGGTGCTGAGAATATAGTGATGAGGACAATGGAATCTATGCCCTCAAGGAGCGGGGGCTTCTCAGGAAAGAGAGACTCTGGTAACAGAGCATGTTCAGGGCTATGGCAAGGATACCCCAGAGAGCCTAGGCCCTGTACCAGCCAACCTAGTGGAGTTGATGGGGGCATGGAGGGGTATTGGGACAAGTTTCTGAGGAAGACATTTGACCCACTTTTGATTTGTTCTTTAGGCAAAAAGTAGAAAAGGGTGTTTCAGTGACACAGATAGAAACCAGGATTTGTAAAGACAATATCTGAGTAAGATATGTTTTCCAAAATGCAAAAATGATACAAAATTAAACCTTCCTTAATTGATATCTTAGAACATTGATTATTGAGGCACATTAGAGGGGGTGCTAGGCTGAACTGCTCAAAAGAATGAACTCTGATATTGTTTTCCATACTCAATAATTAGCACTATTGCCTGGTACAGAACAGAGGCTAAGTTCGTGTTTGCGGGAGAATCAGTTAACTCTTAAATTTTTATTTCCTTGGTCCCTTTTTAACACTAAACAATTAGTAGTAGAAGAAAATGTAATTGTAGTTTGTAATTTAATGGCTATCTTGGATATAAGGATGATCTTTTTACAGTCTCTAGTTAAGTTTACTCTGCATTGAAAAAGCCTATTTTTTCTTTGTATACAAATCAGCATGATTCTTCTAAAGTGAAAAATAATTTTGCTAAGTGATCCACTGCCTCGCTGACCCAATGGAAGAAAGCAGTGGTTTCTGTTTTTGAGAATTAGAATTTTAAAATAGGAGGAGCCCACAGGCTGTGGGTACCCTTTTTGCCACACTCAGAAGTAGGGCACGCGTTTCTTGCTTTTCAGACTTCTTACCTTCCCACACAAAGAAACCACAAACGGGGAATTAGGACGGAAAGAGTCAAGCGGCGTGGGCTCATCTTCCTCAGCAGGGCCATCTAAGAGGGCATACCACTTTCCAAAAGAACTGAGCTGAGACCCCAAATCTGAAAAACCATCCTAGCTGCACGTCTATACCATTTACCACGGGCTGGTAACTTGTGCGGTGTTCTGTGAGAATGAGTTCACTCAATGTCCACACAACGGCCTTTTGAGAGGGAGGCTATGATCATCCTTATTTTACAAATGGGGACTTTGGTTAAGAATTTGCTCAGGGTCACCAGCTTGTAGGTGCCAGCACTGTGGCTTGAGTCCTGGTGATCTGGGGGGCAGGTCCCATGCAGACTCATGTTGTTTTCACCCACTGCCTCCCTCCCTCCATTCTGAGGAGGGCAAAATGCCACACAATGGATGACACAGTCACATTATAATGATGCTGAGATGCTTTGTGGTTAAAAGCAACATAAAAAGATATAAGGCTATGCTTTCAGTTTAAAACAACTTTAAATGTTAGAATCAGGATTAGAATAGTTATTGTTTTTCTCAACAGTTTCCAAGATATAAATTTTGAGGCCCAGAATTTTTAGGAGTATTTTAAGACTCCAAAGATAAGAATCCTTAAGAACTAACTGTGGAATGAGAAACACTGCCAGTAAGTATATATTTCCTTCATGTTGGTCAAAATATATTTTATTTATATTTTGGACAGTTCTTATATGCATATGATACAACACTCAAAAGTATAAAGAGAGGACAGTGAAAAGGCGGCCTCCCTTCCATATCTGATTCCCTTCCTTAGAGGCAACCAGTGTTAGGAGTTTCCTTCTATAGATATTTTATGCATATGTAAGCTTATGTGTCTACATAGGTTATTTTCAATTTTTTTTGGTGGGGAGGGCACAAAAGTATTTATTTATTTATTTATTTGAAACTGAGTCTCACTCTGTCACCCAGGTTGGAGTACATTGGTATGACCTCAGCTCACTGCAACCTCTACCTCCTGGGTTCAAATTATTCTCCTGCCGCAGCCTCCCAAGTGGCTGGGACCACAGGCACCTGCCACCATGCCCAACTAATTTTTTGTATTTTTAGTAGAGACGGAGTTTCACCATGTTGGTCAGGCTGGTCTTGAACTCCTGACCTCAAGTGATCCACTCGCCTCAGCCTCCCAAAGTGCTGGGATAGCAAGCATGAGCCACTGTGCCTGGCCAGTAATTTACTATGTATAAATACTTCAGTGCTTTGCTATTTTCACTTTAAATTATATGCTGAAGTTCAATATGAACTTGGTCTATAGCAGCATATTGAATTTCATCAATCTGATCATGAGTTGGAAAGTGATTGATTTCTTTATATAAAATATGCATCCAGATATTTTACTAAATTATTTGTTTGTGATAGTTTTTCAATGATTTCCTTTTATTTTCCAAGCTAAAAGTCATATAATCTGAATTTCTTTTTCCAAGTTTTATACTTCATATGTATTTTTCTTATCAGTTGGATGGCCAAATACCTGTGAAACAAAGTCAGTAGTTGTGTTCATGAGCTTTCTTATCTTTTTCTTGACTAAATTGGAAGCTTCTAGCTTTCCTCTATTAGGAAGTCTGACTTTTAGATAACACACACCCGCACAAACTAAATATACACAAACACATATTTAATTGGCATTTTAAAATAAATGTTATATTTTTATATCAAATTGAGGAATCATCTACCTATTACCATATTTAAGAATAATTAATAGAAATGCCACACAATGGATGACACAGTCACATTATAATGATGCTAAGATGCTTTGTGGTTAAAAGCAACATAAAAAGATAGAAATGGGTGTTGACTTATGTAAAATGTCTTTTCCATCACATATGGAGATGATCTTTTGATTTTTCTTTTGATATAATGATTTATATTAATAGATTCAGTGATATTTAATAATTCTTATATTCTGAAATTTATATTGCTTGGTTGTCATATATTGTTCTTTTAATATTTCTGTTAAGGATTTTTCATTGTTCTTCTAAAACGAGGTTTTCTTGTTTTGGGTCCTCTTTGTTGTTGTTCATCAATATAATGCTTGCTTTAAAAAGAATGGAGGCTGGGCACGGTCGCTCACACATAATCCCGGCACTTTGGGAGGCAAAGGTGGATCACTTGAGCTCAGGAGTTCAAGACCAGCCTGAGCAACACAGTGAGATCTCATATCTACAAAACATCCGGAAAATTAGCTGGGCGTCGTGACATGTTCCTGTGGTACTAGCTCCTTGGAAGGCTGAGGTCGGGGTATTGCTTAAGCCTGGAAGGTGAAGGCTGCTGCAGTGAGCCATGATAGCGCCACTGCACTCCAGCCTGGGCAACAGAGCAAGACCCTGTCTCAAAAAAAAAAAAAAAAAAAAAGAGTCTTTTTATTTTTTCACCATCTAGAATAGTTTGAAAGAATGCTGGAGACTTCTGTTTTTTAAAGGTTTCATAGAATTCTCTTGTGAAGCTATCTGAACTCACTGCTCTGGGGAGGTATTAGCACTTTAACAATTCTATTTCTTCTAGAGTAATTGGTCTACTTAGAATTCCTAAATTTTTTGATGAAAGTTTTGGTGATTTATCTTTTCTAGAAAATAATTTCACCTACTCAGATTCTTAGAGTTACAGAGAATTCAGTAAAGTGATCTCTTATGAGTCCTAAAATTTCTCCCTTTATCATGTCTTACAGTGTTTATTTGTGTATTTTTTATTTGTTAAAATTAGGTTAGAAAATAATTAACTTATATATTTATATATTCAGTTATTTATAGCTCTTGGATTTATCATTACTATCATTTTTTAGTTTCCTAATTAATTTCACATTTTATGCTTACTAATTCATTCCTTCTGTTATTCTTGACTTTACTTGATCTATTTTCTATTATTTTCCTTTGGATGAACTGTTCAAATATTTTTAGTTTTTTCTGTTTATTAATATATTAATGTATTTGGGGTTATGGGTGTTTCTCTGAGTTCCACTCTAGATGTAACCCATTGGTTCTACTGATTAGCATTTTAATTTTTGCTATTTTCTAATTATAACAAAATTTCAGTTTTGATTTCTTATTTAGCTATGAATTGAGAAAAAGCCTTTAAGTTTCCAAGTGGTAGGAATTTGTTTGTTAGTTTTATGTTTTAGTTTTATTAGTAATTTCTAGCTTTGTTCATTGTGATCAGGGCATTTTATTATTTCCAATTTGAGGAATTAATTGAGGTTTTCTTTGTGACCTAATATTTTCTTATCTGTGTGTTTGTTTCCACAATTTTCAAAGTTTGTATTTGTTTTAATGTTCTCTTTTATTACTTTATAGAATACACTTAGTCTTCAATTTCTTAAAATTTTTTTTGACTCAATTTTCTCTGGGATATGTTTTTTGATTCTGTAGATTAAAACATTTTATTTTTCAAAAGTTTTCCTAATGTATTTAGATATATACAAATATAAACATATTTTAACTGTTTCATCTCGGAGATACCAATTAGGCATATGTTGGATCTCTTGGTTTGTCTTTCTTATCTTTCATTTTCTCTCTGGCTCTTTTAAACCTTTGCTTATTCTAACTTTATTTTGATTGATTGCATTTCTCAGTCTTTTGATTGCTATGTCTTGCTAGGTTACCAGTTTCTCTATTCCTCAAAATTGCTGTCAGTGGGGCTTTTGTTTCTGTGATGGTTTTAATTTCTCTTCCAAATATTTGCTGAGTACTACCAACTCGTTTTATCACCTGTTGTTGGTGAAATATAGTTTTCCTGAGTTCTTGCAGCTACTTTGAGATCATATTCTGTCAAGGTGATTTGCTCAAAACACACGGTTATATGTTATAGATCACACTTTTGAGCTTCTCCATAGTAACATATTTCTAGTTGATGTTTGTCTTTCGTTTATGTAAGATTTACTTCTTTTCCTGCAGTATTTTTTCTTTTCATTCATCTGGGTGCTGGCTTTTTTTTTTCTTATAATTATATTTGAATGAAGCAAATTATTTCTGGTCCAGTTAATTGCAGAGTGACACACTGGAGGGCAGGGCCATGAATGCGTTAGCAGGAATTCTTCATAGGACACAGCCTGTTTGAGGGCATTCTTTCCAGCCTTTACTCTGAAAGTCATCTGAAATGTGTAGATGCAACCCTGCCCATAATACTATTTCTTCTGCCTCCTGCCTCACTGAGAGTCTGCTTCCTGCATTTATGGCATGTCTGATAGATTTCCCATCTAGCTCACCATGTCTTGCTTTCCTTTTCTGCGTCCGTGGAAGACACCCACTCCCCACCTCTCCCTGCTGTCCCCAACAACGGAGGTTCATTTGACTCTGTGAGTATGCCATTTCCTTTGGGACCTTTGGCTTCTAACCCTTGTCTAAACTCTGTAGCCCTGGAACCCTCTCTCCTGTTTGAGTGTAGACTCAGCTTCTATTCCTCATATGTTATAGTTTGGGTTGCCTAAGCCTCTGAGTTTTGTCACAACTTGCCGATTGGTTTTGCAAGAGGGTTAAAATAGCTTTTTTCTGTTTCATAGTAAAACTGGAATTCTCCATCATATTTTAAGTCTTTGTATTTTAAATATGGAAGAGTCCAAATTTTGGGAAGTGTCATGTTGCAACGTGTGTGATATTTGGTATTCTCTATTGGCATTTTTTTGGCATTTCAAGGGTTTTTTTAAATACATAATTGTATATGGGTTATTCTTTATAACTTAGATTATCAAATAAAATGTTTTGATATGAAGAAATAATGATGTGATTTGTGAATTCTTATTCTCAGTTTTCCTTTTTCTATATAAATATAATTTTGATAGATTTTACATGAAAATCTTCTAAATTGATGCCCCATCCTAAAATTCTCAAAATATTTTGTGTTTTAAAACATATACATTAATATAATAAGACATAATTTCCCTTTCTGTGGTTCAAATATTAAGACCCATTCCCATCTCTCTTTTGTACCATCAGGTGGTGCTAAATATGTCAAAATCTTGATAAAATTTTCAGGAATATTCTCTATGTATAGTTAATTGAGTTAGGATCTTTGGGTTGACTGACATGATTATTGCATAAAAATTAAAAATAGCATAATTAGAAAGTACAACAGTTTAATGTCATTACACAAACTACAGAGATATATTAAGTATCCACAGCATTTTTAATGTTTCAATGTGAATAGCATCATATGCAAAAGTGAGTCTGTGGCCATGTGTAAAGAACTGCTTGTGAGTACCTTATCCAATATTTAACACAGAAATTACATAACCTTCCTTCAATATCATTTTACCCCTTTGTTCTTTGGTAAGTTAAAGTTTGCTTAGTTTGTTTATCTAGCATCAGCATATGTGATTTCTCCATGTCGTATTTGATTCGGGCTTATTGCATTAGCCTCGACCCTTGGATGGAAAATGATTTCTGTAATTTGCTTACATGAAGAGCTTGGATGAGGAGCTTCACATAACTGTGGCCTCAACACTTTTTTTTCTTTTACATTTACACATCCGCTCATTATGGAGGTAGAAATGTAACAGACCTTCCAAAAGGGAGCAGGTGACTGTTAGTGTCTCTTGGTTGAATTTCAGTGGCCAGATAGTATATCGAATAGTTTGCATTTCGCAGCAATATAATTACTAAATTTCTTTAGAAAAAAGAGAGAGGGTCTATGTTATTCATTTCCAAATCCCTGGGGAGTGTTTACAGTTATTCAATGCTATATTCTCCTAACAGACTTTTCTTTTTTAAAAATTAAATATACACTTCTTAGATTACAAAATGATAGTATAGCCATGAATGCAAATATTTGGTGATTCCACCTTTTATCATTTTTAATGTGTCTTTAAAATCATTAAAAGGCTTTCATAACTTTCTTGTTCAACAATCACTGCCAGGCAGTAGAGAACTGGATGTGTAAAGTGATGATACAGGGAAGTAATTGCTGGGGCAAAGTAGGAGCTGGTTTGAGGTAGAGTGGAGATAAGAAGGGGTGGCTGGTCTTCTGCAGAGGTGGCTCATACAGAAAGCATGGGATGAGACTTGCAAAATAACATCTCTTTATTCTCATAACCCTTCCCTGGCATGGCCTGGGCCATCTTAGCCTTTGGCTTTTAGCACAGCCCCTGTGGCTCTTGTGTCCTTCCTGCCTCTTCTGGCTCCCTCGGCACTGGGTCTCAGTCACCTTCTGAAGGGACCGGTACAGCATTCTTCATGCTGACCCCTGGGATGTGCTCATGATGGTGGAGGCCAGAAAAGGCCTGGCGCTGCCTTGAATCCTGTGTGGAATGTGGCATGGCAGAGGGGAGAAAATGGAAGGAACAGAAGTAAGCAACAGAGTGAGATCCTACTCTGTGTGTGCCCCACCCTGTCCTTGCAGGAAATGTGCTTGTTTTACCCCTCACCTGCATTTAGGCTCTGGGGACCAGAAGGTCAGTGAAGACATCTATGCATTATCTGCTCAGTAACTGAGAAGGCTGGGTGCCTGCAGCTCCAATGATGGGGACTTTAGTTCCAGCCAGGGTGTGCTGGGGGGCATAGCAGGGAGATGTTTGGGGCACAGTGTCTTCATAGCATCCTTTAAATCACACTCTTGGCAGCTGCTTGCCCACTTGAGGAAGTGGCCCCCTCATCTGTCTGCTCTCACAAGGAGCTTTTGCAGCAGGTGGATCTGCTGGGGAGTTCCTCCCAGAGGAGTTGATAGCCCAGCTCCGGGGTATCCCAACAGACTCCAAGCCTGGCCCTCTCCCAGGGGACATCGGGCATGTGCTGGCCACTGCATTACAAGCATGCAGAGTTCACTTTTTTTTTTTTTTAAGTCCATGGCTTTATCAATTCTCCCTTCTTGAGACACATCAATGAATTAAGTATTTTAGTTATACCAGCTTCTATGGAGTGTTTCTGCATCCTTGATTTTTTACATCCATCTGTTTGGGGGCTTACTTCTTAAGCAGAGAATGGGGGCCTTCAGAGGGACTCAAATTCTGTGTGGCAACTCTTGGACCAATACGAGACCCTGACGAGGGGGTGGGAGAGGTGGTGACATGTCCAGCTTGTGCAAGAAGAGGACTGGATAGCCCCTGGGCAAATGAGGGAGGAGATCGGGAAGACCAGGACAGAGAGCATTCCCTTGCAGGCTGGGGGGGGAATTTATAAACAGAAGCTCAGACTTGGCAATTTCTAGGGAAGCTGATGGGTGCTGGCTGAGGTTATCTGGAGAGGATGCATGGAATTAAACTTGAAGGCCAGTAGGATTAAGGTGGCTTCTGTTTGGGAGTTTCTTCCCTCCCACGCTGTGGGTGGGAGGAGGAAATGGAAAACGCGGCAGAAAGGAGAGGCCAGTGGCTGATGGCGGAGATCAGGGCAGAAAGCCACCCAGGCTTGGGTGATAGTGGGTTTGGGGGTGGACGTAGAGTAGGGAAACTTGGAAATGGCCACCACTTGATAGCTTTGGATTAGGTGGAGTCCAGGTTTGTCTTGGCAGTTAATCAGCTGGCTGTAGTGGGAAGAGGGTTCTTATCCTCAGCACTGATCCTGTATACAACCGTGGAATAGTTTCACGTTTTCTTTGGACACCTCCACTTCTCCTTCTGACTGGTTGTCTGTCAGGGGTTCTCACCCTCTTGCAGCCCCAGGGGTGAATTCCAGGTACTGAACTGGCGTTTCTCACCTTCATCAACCTTGTTAGGCTAAACCCAAACACCGCATGTTCTCACTCATAGGTGGGAATTTAACAATGAGAACACTTGGACACAGGAAGGGGAACATCGCACACCAGGGCCTGTTGTGGGGTGGTTGGAGGGGGGAGGGATAACATTAGGAGATATACCTAATGTAAATGACAAGTTAATGGGTGCAGCACACCAACATGGCACATGTATACATATGTAACAAACCTGCAGGTTGTGCACATGTACCCAAGAACTTAAAGTATAATAAAAATATATATATATAAAATAAATAAATAAAAATAAAAAAACAAAGTAGTCAAAAGTATTCCCCCTTTAGGTTTAAAAATAAGGGATGCATTTCTATTGATAAAGAAAACAGATGTAGGCCTCATGCTGGGGAATGGGGAGTTAACTTTTGATGTCGGATTTCTCAAAGCCAAGGGTACATCCAGGTTGTGTGGAGTCAAAAGCTTGTACAATTTTTGGTGCTCTCTTAAAAGTACAGATTTTAAATACACAATGAGGAATGGGCATAAAAATTTATTTAGAATGGGGAAAAAAACACGACAAATTTAAAAATTGACAAATATCACTGTCGTGACAGAACCCCCCACAAATAGCACACTATTGCTAGTTAGCTGCCCAACACACCTCTATAGTATATATTTTTTTCTCCAGATTTTTGGCTTCATGTCCTGTGATTGCCTCTTCATATGACAACAGTTTTGTAAGGTTATTTCCTTTTGAGTGAGTGGGAAGAATTCAGTCTTTCTTCAGGGATGGCTGGTGGAGCTTGCTGTGGATTCTCGGTTGTTTAGGGAAGTCCCCTTCACCTGCAGGACTCTTCACTGCGGTCATTGGGACCGCCCCTGCCATTTCTTGCTTGTGCAGAGCTGCTTCCCAGAGATGACCTTGGGCAACTGTCAACTGTGGGTCTCACTAGGCATAGGCTGTCACACTATTGCCTCAGTGGCTGGTGCTGCTTAGCGAGGTCCATGCACCACCCTGCCCTCCAACCTCCGCCGTTGTTGGGGGTGAGTTGGCCCTTGAGAGTGAGATTGGGTGTGATACCTCCAAACACGGAGCAGGACCAAAGCAGCTGCTTGTTCAGATTCTTCCTGTTAGGGTCAGAGACAGGGGCTGGACACTGGTGTGGTGTAGAGACAGCGCTGCAGCCTATCGACTCTGCCCCATGCTCAGGACCATCGCCAGGGCGAAGAGGAAGACCCCAGGCTGGGGCAGAGCTGCACCCTTCCTTCTCCGTGCCCTCCTTTCTTCCTTCCATGCCCTCCAAGGAGAGCATGCAGGGCCGTGGAAGGGGCCTCGGCAAGTAAGGGACCTGCTGCTTCGGCTGCATCAGCAGATGGCATCTGCTTGCAAAGCCATCCTTGGCTGTCATGACCCTTTCTGAAAGAGAAGATGGATGAGGGATGTTGTTTTTCTTTCCTGAGCCTATAATACAGCAACAGAGATGAGATGTGTAAATGTCTAGGCTAGAGTCTGTCTCATGGTAACTATTCAATGACTGGCAGCTACTGTGGTTATTAGTAAATTACCATCTGCTTTAATCATTCTCCTGTGAGTTTCATCTGAACCTATTAGTTTCCCAGAGCCAGCTTGCCCTGGGGAGAAACCACAAAGCTAAGAACAACTTTATGGCCTCCAGACTCAGTCACTGATGCCTGTTTGCTAGAATATAGAATATTTTGAACCAGGATATGGGTCCTGCTCCATGAACATGGTGTGAATTACCCTGTAAAGTTATAATCAGGGTTGTTCGTCCTCCTAGTGAGTACTTGCTGCGTGGGTCCTTCAGGGCGCACTGGACAAGGGCCAGTGGAGGACACAGGAAAAGATACATGGCTTCACCTTAATTGATTACCCCAGAGTTGAGTGGATTCAACACAGTGTTAATTAAGATGTTTTGATTGCAAGTGACAGCAATTCTTTTCTATAGCTTAAGCCAAAGAGGGAATTTGTGGGTTCATGCAATTGAAAAGTGTCAGGGCAGAACCATCTGGTTCCAGTGAGCAGAACTAGAGCAGTGGTTACTGAAATCATTGGGACAGAATCTGTCCCCTTCCCGTGGCTTCATACTCAGGGGCATGCTCCCCACATAGTGGATCCAGGAGACTTCAGGCTTCTGTCCTCTCAGGTCAGTAAGCCAATGGAAAGCAATCTTCAGTTTCCTGTTTGTCTCTAGCGTTCTCAAGGTTGATGCTCTGGCTCTAATCGGCCCATATTGGGTCACATTCTCCCTTGACCCAGTGGCTGCGGACAGAGTGATGGAATGTTCTCATTGCCTAGGCCTGGGCATCCTATCCTTTCTAGGGGTCAGGACTGCTTGCCAGCCCCACCCACACTATCTGGACTGAGAGTGGTGAGAGGACCCTAAAAGGTCAGCATGGTCCTTTCCCCCACAGGTGTTAGATAGGCAAATATTGCAATATACACAGCAAAGCAATGCACAGTCAGAATATTATCAGGCTGTCATCACTGACTGTGGCATTCCATAGAAATGATCATCGGTTCACAGTGCGTCGCAAGTGATCAATGTTTCCTGATTCGATCTGCCATCAGACTAGAAGTTCTGGGAACATATGCCATTGTATTGTGGTCATCTAACATATTGCTTAACATATACAGGGTTTTAGAAGCATTCAATGAATGAATTTGCTGTAAGATTTCAGAGAGAGGAGGCATATCAAGATGGATTCCTTTGATTTGGTTCCCTGGGAAACTGAGAATATAAGGTTCTGGGGTCACAGGGCTGTATTCCTCTGGAAATACAATGCAGATGTTTTCCTCTGCATTTGTAAGTTTTTAAATTAAAATTTGAAGGGAGCCATGAGTTTGTGGCCTCTGGTAACAAATTGCCAATTCAGTGAGTATTTGCCAAACCTATTTATTTATGATGTCATGTGAGTGCTTATTTTTTCTTGTATTTTTATACTGATTTTATATTGCAGAATCTTCTTGGAGACCATGACAGATGGATTTCAATATATGTTCCCTTATACAAACAGCATGCTAATTTTTCCTGAAGTTATCAGTTCTTTCTGCCTCCTATCATCCCCACCTGTCTGTACATCCAGATCCCGTCTCCAGTTCTGCATCAGCAGCCACATGGCAGATCATATCAAAGTTAGAGGTGGTGCTTCCTCCTGAGGGTTCTTATAGCATCTTCATCCTTTGCCATGACCTTTCTCACACTGAGGGCCACTTGTTGGCCAACTAGGCCACGAGGACATACTGACACCTGCACCACCTGTACCCAGCACCAAGGTCCGGCACATACTAAGCGCTAAAGGAAATATCCACTGATTGAACGCATGAATAGGGCTAGTTTGTGGAATATTCCCTTTGAAAGATGGTGAGGGGACAGATAGGGATTTTCTTCTTTGGGAAAAATTCTGTTGAATGAAAGCAGAGCGGGTAAACGTGTGCTAGACAGTAAACAAGCAGGAAGTCCTGTTTACCGAGCATTTATTACTCAGCACTCTCAGGTCCTGTGGCATCCCAGAATCTAAAATGAGAGGCTTGCCTGGTTCAGGAGCTCAGCATTTGATTGAGAAGGCATTAGGAGAAAGCACACAGTAGCATGACTCTCAATCCACAATAGAGCCAGGCAGGGGCTGCTTTCTCCTTTCACCGAGTGAAGAGTTCTGCGGAGGAAGCGGGCCATGAGCTGGCCCTTGAAGGCTAATTTATAAGTCAGGATTCTTCCAGAAGCAATGACAAGAAACCTAATTCAAGCAGATTTAAAGTAAAAAAAAAAAAAAAGGATGGAGAAAGGGCTTTATTGGCTTTGCCTACTGAAATGTGCCAGGGAGTCGGGAGCGGAGAGCTGGGTTGGCTGGCGTCATCGGACCCATTTGTTCTCTGCATCGCATGGCTTCGGCTTCCTCTGAGACTTTGTTTTCAGGCTGCCCCCATGTAACCCCCAGCAGCAAATATCCAGGTTTAATTCCAGTGGACTTTAATCATGCCTGGCCCTCATGAAACCCCAGAGGACGCCGGGCTAGCATGCTCACTCCCAGAGCTGGGGCGGGGTCAGCGTCTCCACCTATCAAGGATGCGCACTGAATAATGAACACATGAGTGCCTGAGTGAATGGGCACATTGATGGAAGGATTGATTGGGATTTGGGGAAAGCAAAGGCATAGTGTGTAGAGAGAAAAACGATCGTGGCTTCTGTGGCTGTGAAGGCTCTCACTTGAAACCCCAGAGGAGGTCCAAGCACCGGCTCTTGGATGCTCTGCCCCACGTGGTCTCCAGCGCTGAACACACAGAGGGACACGGACTTGGCCCAGCACTTGGCGCCTGTGGTGCCTGTGGATGGAGGCCCACACACTTTCTTTAACTGAGCAGGTACAATATCCACTCAAGGCTTAGGCTTCTGGACCTCAGTTGCCCCTGGATGCCTGAGGCCAAGAGCGGGCTCAGGTGCGTTACAGAAAACAAATAAGGATGTGGACAAGCTGGGCTTTAAACCCTGAACTCCAGACAAAGCCAGGCCTATGTTCCTGATGAGATGGCTGAGATGTGTATGCATTCCCCAGTGTTAGCACCCTAGCCTCATCTGCACATTCTTCTGCCTATATTCTTGTCTTCTAAAACTATAAGCTGTGACCTCATTTGTTCCCATCTGAGTTGTTGACTCAAGTCTGGTTCCTGACAATGCCTAGGATGGACTTTGCCCTGGCTTACCAGAAATTCTGTGATCAGCACTCCAGTTCAGTTAGGCAACCAGTTGAACCTATATTTTCTTTTATTTTCCAGAAACCCATAAGAAATCGTGTCACATTAATTGCTGAATGCCAGAAATGATTGTGTAGAGTGTAGACTTTGCCATATTCCAGAGTTGGGTTTGAATCACAGCTTCCTGACTATGGACCTGTGTGAGCTTGGACATTGGGAAGGGTTTCTCAGCATTTCCAGACAACCTTGGTTTCACGCTGGCACCACCAAAGTTTAGCCAAATGACTTTTGCTAAGTGTTTGTATCATGGAATACAACAGGGGTGATAATAACTATAATTTGTGTAAATCACTCTGGAAATGTTGCTGATAAAAAACACTTAAAAGTGTTACTTTTTGTTTTGGTTACAATTATTATTACTTAACCTCTCTATACCTCAGATTCCCAAGTGAGAAATGGGACTATTCTGCTAAAAACCTGCCTAGGGCTGTTGTTAGAGAAATATGGGGAAGTTTCCTAGCCAGCTCCTAGCCTTTGTAAATCTTCTGTCAGAGGTACCAGTTAAATTTGTGGTACTCACCTGTTCTGTCATTTCAGTAACGTGATATAAAAAGAAATGATATGAGAGTGGCGGGATGGTGGTGTGTGTGTGTTGTGTGTGTGTGTGTTGTGTGTGTGTGTGTGTGAATGCTCTATTGTAATAGATTTCCTCCTGTGTTTTGAAAAATGTAATGGCTCATTGATTTCACAAGTTCAATCCCTTCTGTAACCTCCCCCCCCATCACAGGTTGGTAATTACAACCTTGGCAATTGGTATTCCCTAGAGATTAATGTTTGGTGCCAGCTTTAATGTTAGAGACATAATTAGAATATTCATTATGCTAATAATGTTACACCATTCATCTGATGTATATTTATGTATGAGAAGATATGATAATTCTGTGTGGCTTACTTGGGAGCAGGTAGAGTGGTGTATCACAGGAAACACTCTTTTCCTCATCAGCAGAGACAGGAAGGAGGAGGAAATTAACATTAACGCAGGACCTGCCATGTTCCAAGACCTGTGTCAGGTGCTCTGAATACAGGATTTCACTGAATCACATTCCTATTCTCTCCATTTTATGGGTGAAAAAAAAAGGAGGCTCAGGACAGGAAGTAACTCACCCCCCTGGCACGGTCACTAAATGGGGCTTAGGTCAGGGGTTGATCCCAAGGCTGCCTCCAACATGGTGTGAATCAAGACGTCGCTTCTCTGTGTAGCTGTGATAGAGGACCTGGGAGAAACACCTCTGCTTCCTTCTGTTTTCCTCTTCTCCATGGAGAGAATGGCAAGTATCATTTTCACAAAGCAGTTGGGGGTTTTCAGCAAGAGGGAGGCTGAGACAAACATGAATTGTTGTTCAAACACATGTGGAATCTCACCACGCAAGTTCTTATCGAAAAAAATGGAAACGTCTTAACGGGTACCAGCCGGGAGCAGGGCTCAGGGGAATGGCTGAGTTCCCAATTTTGGTAGATTTTCAGAGAGAATGCATAGTCATGTAGTTTTTTTTTCTTCCCTGTGAATTTAGGATAAAGGAGGGGAAAGAACAAGGATGAAGGGGACTGAGAGGGAACTCATTGAAGATTGCGGTCTTTCCTCTTCCTGGGAGTGAACTCTGAACATAGGGCATTGGTTACCTCGAGCCCACACAGGGGAAATGAGTGGCAGGGTGTAGCTAGGATGGCCCTGAGCAAGTTTGGGAGCCCCAGACCCCTTGCTAGGTGGCCACAAGAAGTTCCTTTGCCTGTCTGGGCTTCTCTCCCCTGACTTGTAAAATGAGACTATGTGAGTCAGAATTCGTTCAGATGCAAGTGACAGAAACTCAGGTTCTGTGAGCTTGAGCTTCTTTATGTTGGCCTACAAATCTGCTTCCTTTAGGCAAAGAGACATGGCAGCAGCCTCCCACCCCAGGGGAGGCCACTTAGAGAAAAATTAGCTCTTTCCTCCAAGTATCCTTACATCAGATTCCAAGGAAGGATTCCGATGGTCTGTCCTGGGCACAGGTGTACTCATTTGACTGTGGCCAAGGCGATGAGATTCTCTGGCTGATTTTCACTGGATGAAGCTGGAAAGCAGGGATGCTGGGCAGAAGTCACAATGGAGTCCTCCAGGGAGAAAGCGCAGTCACTATGAATTCAAAGACCTGTTTGCCATCCAATCGGTTAAACACTTACCAGTTCCTCCCAACCCAAACGTTCTCCTTTCCTTCTTTTCTTCCCTATTTAGTTTGAACAAAACTGTTTTCCCAGTAGAAAGGAGTTTTATCTCCCTGTTCCACATTTCTTCCCTCACAGCTTGTTTGATCCCTGGCTGCCTTCTCGTCCCTTCAATGTGTGCAGAAGATCACCTGCTGAGCTGCACGGCTCATGCCCAGGAATCAGGACAGACTCCCGATGCCTAAAGACGGCCTGTGTGAGGCTGCTCTTGCATCGCTTTAAAGAAATACTGGAGGCATTTAGGTAACTTACAAAGAAAAAAGGTTTAATTGACTCATGGTTCTACAGGGTGTACAGGGAGCATGGTGCCAGCATCTGCTTCTGATGAGGCCTCAGGAAGCTTCCAATCATGGCAAAACGTGAAGTGGGAGCAGACACATCACATGGTAAGAATGGGAGCAAGAGGCGAGGGCGGGGGAGGAAGTGACACACTCTTTTAAACAACCAGATCTCGCGTGAACTAAGCGAGAACTCACTCATCACCAAGGGGATGGTGCGAAGCCATTCATAAGGGATCCACCCCATGATCCAATCACTTCCCACCAGGCCCCACCTGCAACACTGGGGGTCACATTTCAACATGAGATTTAGAGGGGACAAACACGCAAATCATATCAGGGCCCTCTCACTGCCACTATCAAAAGAAAATGAATTTAATTTCTCCCATCCCCACTCTCATAAAACACATACCCAGGTTAAAAGAAATCAGATCTAAAACTTTGAATTTTATTATATGATTCTATTTTCAAAAGCATCTGAGGCTTTTTTATATCTTGAAATACTCAGTCACACATGCCCTTATAATATACCTACAAATGGAACATCAACCAACCCAAAGGGTAGCAATAATGAGAACTCGCTACGTTTAACAAAGATAAAATAGAAATTTTGGGGAATAAAGCAGGAAGCAGAGGGTGAAACATGAGGGTGGTAATAGTAAGTAGGATTTGACATCACATTCAACTCTGAGGTTCCTGGCAGCCAGGGCAAAGAGAGAAACCATCTGACATTTGAAAGCAAATCAGTTTTTCAGGGGCAATAAAGATTTCTCTGCTCGGGTAGGCACTGTTATACCTATCTTTTCTAGCATTATATTCTAAGAGAGTTTATGTCCTAATTTCTGTATGAACATCTGTGAATGGGTAAGAGACTGTTTCTTCAACAAGTAGACTGCACGTGGCAGGTTCCGGGACACCTATTTATAGGAAACAGATGTTGAGTCTCAGATCGATGAGGATTCATTTGGGGGGATTTGGGGGACATCTATTTTATAAAATAAGATGTATTGAACATGTCTGTGATGGGCAGTTCAGGAAGCAGAGCTGGAGAGTGAAGCAGGCTGGGGCCAGGTCGAAAGAGCTCTGGAGGCCAAGCTCAGGAATTTGGGCTCTGAGAGGCTGGAGCTGGTCAAAATTCAAAACAATAATAAAAGGACGTCGTCAGGTTGAATGGCGTCTCACCTGCTGACTATACGAGTCTGATGGGAAAAGCACGCTGCTTCCTCCATTCCCAGCGGGATCAAATACACTGAGCGCATCACCCAGCCTTGTAGCCTTCCGCATCCTGGGGAGAGGGGTCCCAGCCAGCACTCGTGGTGAGAACAGAGCTCCCTCTCGGGACCCCGTTATGCTGACCCTGGCTTCCACTTCTAGGAGAAATAAAGCATAGAAAGTCCTGTTGGTGGTAAGATTGCTTGCTGCTTTCTGTGGCCAAAACGTAGGGGTTCCATCTGCCAGCATTTTGAAATAAGTAGGTCTTTTTTTTTTTTTTTTTTTTTTTTTTTTTTTTTTTTTTACATCTGGTCAGAACCCACCCAAATGGTGATACACAAATGTAAGTGTTAATGATATTTTATATTGTTGTTGGGGGCGTGTGTGTGTGTGTGTGTGTGTGTGAAGTTGACTACTGTGGCAGCCATAGCCAACCTGCTCTGAAAGAATTCATGTCAAAGTAAAGATAAAATGCTTATAAAGAAGATTCACAGGCAAAAAAAATGACCCTTTTTGTTATGAGAATATTTTCAGGCATTTTAGAATGAGAGACTTCCAGAAATGTTTGAAACCTATGCTGGGCATGAAAGGAAAACCTCTGTTTCAAACTGCATATGGAAGGCACATCAATCAGAAATATTTAGTATGATTACGTGCAAGTATTTATTAAAAACATGGGGCTTTATTTTAAAGGATTTCTGGGCTTATTGTGCCTAATGTCAGCCAATGTTCGCATGTCTAGCTCTACCTTTCAGGGAAAGGGCTCAATGGTGGGCATGTAGCAAGATCTGTGCACCTACATGCTGCAGATGGTTTCGTTTTATAAGAGATGAAACTGCATTTGGTGGAACTGATTAAATATAAAAACACCACCATCTGCCATTTATTCTAATATAAAATGGTTTGGGCAGATGCTGACATCTTTCGAGATGATTGATTCATCCCTGACAAGAGAAGACTCTCAGGGGGTTCCAGCTGCCCACCGCTCAGACAATACCGATTTGCAGGTGCTGACGCCAATCCCGCCAGTTTGATTTGGACGTAGCAGGTGAGCCGAGAGCACTTTAATAATGAGAAGCCGGGAATTTCTAAGCACATCGCTATCTCCTCCCCACTCCCCACCTCCCCTGACTTCTGGCCTACATTTAATCGGGAGAACATTTTATCCACGTGCTCTGTCCCATCCTGTGCCTGATTCTCCAGCGCCGGGATAACCGGAGGAGTGTTGTTTTCAGAAAATAGTGAGTCTATTTGCAAGTTAGTGTTGAAAACTTCCAAACGCTCTCTATATTGGCTACTGCTGGGTTTAAAACGATCTTTTCTAAGTGGACTAGGGGGTTTCGTTAAACAATGTATTGTTTATAAAGAAGCCATGGCTCCTGTTGCAGACCAACTTGCAAACAGCTGCGTGCATGTTGCATGTCGGTGGGTGTGCTCATGCCCTTTGCAAAGTGGTAGGAGATTGTATGTCTCATGTAGAATATTTTCCTAACCTTTTTTTTTTTTTTTTTTTTTTTTTTTTTTTTGAGACGGAGTCTCGCTCTGTCCCCCAGGCTGGAGTGCAGTGGCGCAAACTCGGCTCACTGCAAGCTCCACCTCCCCGGTTCACGCCATTCTCCTGCCTCAGCCTCCCGAGTAGCTGGGACTACAGGCGCCCGCCAGCACTCCCGGCTCATTTTTTGTATTTTTAGTAGAGACGGGGTTTCACCGTGATAGCCAGGATGGTCTCGATCTCCTGACCTCGTGATCCGCCCGCCTCGGCCTCCCAAAGTGCTGGGATTACAGGCGTGTGCCACCGCGCCCGGCCTTTCCTAACCATTTTTTTTTAACAACCTAAATAATTTCAGGAAGAAGGTGGTGTAGGGATCAAGATATTTACTTGGTGCTATGTTTATAAAACATCTATTTAGGTCATGATTGTTAGATGTAAAATAAATGTTTTTCTCTCATAGAATTAAAGTCAGAGGTGAAGCTGGGTTTTCCCCATCTTGTTCATCACATGTCTAAATATTTACATTCTTTACTAATAATTAGGCAAAGTGATTTAAGAATATTTCTTGATATTATTATTATTCTTGTTATTTGAGCCAGGGTCTCACTCTGTTGCCCATGCTGGAATGCACTGGCCTGATCACAGCTCCCTGCAGCCTCAACCTCCCGGGCTCAAGTGATCCTCCCACTTCAGCCTCCTGAGTAGTGGGACTACAGGTGTGCAACACCACATCTGGCTAATTTTTGTATGTTTTGTAGAGACTGGGGTCTTACGATATAGTCCAGGCTGGTCTCAAACTCCTAAGCTCAAGTGATCCTCCCCCCTTGGCCTCCCAAAGTGCTGGGATTACAGGTGTGAATCACCATGCCTGGCCTTGATATTTTAAATTAAATGCGGCAAAGCTATGAATATCACGATGTGTTTGTGCTCTGATTACATATATTCCTGTGTATATAATTGTGAAGGTTTGTATAGATATGTTTCCATTTTGGTGCTCACAGGAAATTCTGTTATTTTGAGTCAGAGCCCCGTCCACTTATTTTCTTTCTATTTTCTCTTGTGCATTTATTATCCTAATGCTTTCTAGTCTGGTAGTCAAGGTGGGAGGATTAGATTTCATCTCTTTCCCTCGTGGCATTTTATGTGATTCCTGCACTCAGTGTGCTGGGGACAGCAGCTTTCAGTTCCCATTCTTAGCATCTCTTCCCTGCCTCCTCTCTGCTCTTCTACTCACGCTCCTCTCCAAACCACTTTTCATGTCTTGCCAACTTTCCTTTCTCTATACTGTTATTATCTTGTTTGTTTCTTATTCTTTCAGATTACATATGGAGAACTCTAGGAGCCGCCTTTTCAAAGTTGCAGCAAACTCTGACTGGGTGGTTTCGTTCCTGCTGAGCCACACTGAGTCGGCACCCCTCTTCCCTTTTTTCTCTCTCCCACCCTCCATCTCCTGTCTCTCCCTTGTGGCCTTCCCTCCCTACTCCTCTTCCCTCCTAGAGCATCTATTTGCCAAGACCTCCTTCTGACTTTCTACTGAGCTTCTTGTAGTTAAAGAGTGCCCGCCGCTGTCTTATGGGTCCTGCCTGCATCCTTAGTTCCTGTACAGTGGGGGCCTTGAGGGCAGGGATGGTACCAGTATTAGTCTCCCAGGCTGCTGTCAGAACCACAGCCTGACAGATTCAACCGCAGACATTGATTTTCTCACAGTTCTAGAGACCAGGGTAGAAATTGAGGTGTGAGCAGGGTTGGTTCCTGCTGAGGGCTAAGAGGTGGGATCACAGGGAAGAACAAGTCTCTGCTGTGGTCTGAACTGCTCTCCACCCCAAGTAAATCCATATGTTTGAATCCCAAGGCCCAATATCTCAGAATTTGACTGTGTTTTAAAAGAAGGTCTTTACAGAGGCAATTCAGTTAAAATTGAGGTCCAAGATGGGCCCTAATTCAATATGCCCAATGTCCTTTTAAGAAAAGACAATTTGGACAGAGACACACATAGCGGGAGATGATGGTATGAAGAGACAGGGAGAAAGCCATCTCCGTGGCCAGGAGAGAGCCTGGAAGGGCTCTTCCCTCACAGCCTCACAAGGATCCAGCCCTACTCATACCTTGATTTCCACTTCTGGGCTCCAGAATTGTGAAAAAATAAATTTCTGGGGTTGAAGCTCCTGTCTGTGATTCTCTCTGACTGCAGTCTAGGAGGCTAATACAGGTACTGTCCCTGCCCTCAGGGGCCCTGCTGCACAGGAGCTAAAGATGCAGCCAGGCACCCTTACGATGGTGGCAGGCAACCGATCGGGCTATAAGATGCTTGGTAGAAAGTCAGATGTGAGTCAGGGGAAAGGCCACCTGAAAAGGGCAGGAAGGCTTCTTGGAGGAATAAGCATTGAGGTCACAACTTACATGGTGAATACGAAGTTTTCAGGCAGACATTCAGAGGAAAGCTCCCTGGGCAATAGTGAACCCTTGTGCAAACTTAGGAGGGTGTGGGAGAGCTGCAGTTGTGGAAGAGTTTTGTCTAGTCCCTCAGGCAATGATGGCGGCCCAGATGGTACCAGTTCCTGCAATCCGCTACCCTTCATGGTATGACACTGCTACCTCCTGCTATACTCTGCTTCATTCTGAATGAACAGTCTCTGTTCAGTGAGCAAATGCCTTTGCCTCTTGACTCCAAGACAGTGTTCAAACCTTGGATGTGAAATATGAGGGGAACATTGGTCCTTCTATCTATTGCTGTATGCTATACGACTTAGTCATATAAAACAACAATGTATTGTGCGTCTTACAGCTCTGTGGCTCAGCTGAGCTCAGCTGGGCAGTTCTGACATGGAGTCTCATGTCCTTACAGTCAGATGGTGACTATAATTAGAATTCATCTGAAAGTTTGTCTGGACTGGGGTCCCAGATGACTTTTTCTCTCATATGATTGGCACCCAACTAAGATGGCTGGAACAACTGCGGTTGCCTGGGCCTCTCTCCATACTGCTCCTCCACATGGTACCTTGGGCTTCCTCATAGCATGGCAGGATCAGGATATTTAGGCTTCTTGCATAGTGGCTGGCTTTCTCCTAAATAAGTCTTTCAGGAGACAAATGCAGAAACTTGCACCCTGCCTCAGAAGTCAAGCAGCATTGCTTCCATCATATTTTATTGGCTATACCAGCCAGCCAGAATGTGGGAAGGGCTACAGAAGGACATAAGTATTGGGAGGTGTGGTTAACTGGCGGGGGGACACCTTTGGAAAGTAGTTTCTAGAAGTGTGTTTCAGGCAATAATATCGAGTTTGCACTGAGTTCCACCTTCCTCATGGTTAATGATATGACTTTGTCAAGAACTTGATGATTGTAAAGAACTTGAACTGGCAATGGCACCACAAAATTTATTTTCTTTGTGTAAGAAAACTGGACCAGAGGAGTGTCAGATTTAATACCTAGGTCCCCTTAACAAGAGCCGGGATGACTATGTACAAATGTCCAAGCCTAGATCTCCCCTGACAGCCCAACCAGGGGCCAAAGTTTCCCAGTAATGGGGGCTAGGAACACATTTCTGACCAATTTGATTGCTGCAAAATGATTTAAGAAAGGATGCCTTTTATAAAGCCTTTAAGCCTGACTTTAAGACGTGAGGGCTTATTTGCACAACTATTCCGCCTCCTGATTAGGGAGTACCCATGTCCTGTCTGGCTCCTTGACTCATGTGTCAACTTGTGAGGAGTATTCAGGGAAGTCCTCTCTGAAGCCAGAGCAACTGAATATAAGTTAAGGTAAGAAATTAAACTGGCTGCTCATTCCTTCTCTAGGAAGTTATCTTTCAATCATAGTTAAAGGATGGCTTCTTCAAAGCAAGCCACGTTGCTTGCTAAATCATTGCCAGAGACACACACATCACCAGGGAGCAGGACAGCTGGATTTTTAATTTGCAGGCAGGAACCAAGCGTGATCTGCACTTCTGCATGCAGCCTTATTCCAGGAACTTTCCCACCATGCCCTGCTCCCTAGCAGTGGTTCCGCAGGTTGGTACTCTTCTGTTCACAGACCCACGAATGACTCTCTGCCTAATTTGTGCCATTTTCCCTGCAATATTAGTTTTCATTTTTTTCTCCTGCAAGCAGATTTCTTCTGCCATATGCTCATTTAATCCTAATTGTGGTGCATGAACATCTTGTGTACTTAGTGTCTGGGTCCCTGGAGGCTCCGTGCAGCTGAGTGCCATGTGACCCGTGAAACTGTGTCAATCTCATTGGGCAGCTCCTGATAACTTAGACCTCCCATTCCTGATTAAAAGTAGGGGAAGTCCAGATTTCTTTTTGTACCTTCCATAGGAATGCTACACTGTTTGATTGCTCCCAAATTACATCATGCGTTAGGGAAAAATATTACTATGGTTTGAGTGTTTATGTCCCTTTAAAATTCATGTTGAAACATAATCTCCAATGCAATGGTATTAAGAGGTGGGACCTTTGGGGCAGTGATTGAATAGGAGGGCTCCACCCTCCTGAAGGGTTAATGTCCTTAGAGACATGTCCCTTCTTGCCCTCCTGCCCTTCTGCCCATGTGAGGACGTAGCAAGAGGTGCCTCAGTGAGGCAGAGAGCAGCCCTCACCAGGACCACACCTGTCGTCACCTTGATCTTGGACTTCCCAGCCTCCAGAACTGTCAGCAATAAATGTCTATGACTTCTAAATTACCTAGTCCAAGGTATTTTGTCATAGCAGCCTGGAACTGACTGAGAGGGCCATGTCATGTGTTTTTAGCAGTTCTGTTTCTCTGAGTTCAGGACTCCAGAGTTTGAAACTGGCAAGTAAGGGCTGAAAGAAAGCATATCCAGTATCAGGAAAGTTGATTTTTAAAGTCCTCGTTATGAAGAGTAGAAGTTTCTCAGGCCTAGCAATTTGACAACATGACAACAGCATGACAAAAACAGTCCTTCCCAGTAGGTCTTTTGGGGAACAGCCAAGGCATGCTTGCTTTCAAATGCACACCGTGTCAATGGGAAGTTTGGCTTCCATCTGCTCATCATCAGCCTACCTGACACTGATGGTGAAGGACGAGGAGGGCTGGGCAATGAACAGATCTTCCCTGCCCAGAGATGCTGTGTTCCCTCCTCAGGGCTGGACAGTGAGGGTGATTTAAATTTGGGGCAGAACTATAGCGTCTCTATGTGATGACCACCTTTCGTGGTCTCTACCGTCAGAGGGGTTTGGTGGCACAACTTTGGTTTTTGCTCAGCCCAAGGTGGCTGACTCAAGGCTATCAGTTCAATATGTTATATCATTAATTTAATGTGGGGGTGTATTTTTAAATTTATTTTGAAATAAATGAGTACCAGATTCTTTCAGACTTTTGGGGTATTTGTGGGTTCTCTGTGCCTCAAATGCTCTCCTCTCCTCTGTGTATCTGAAAAACTCCTACTTATGCCTAAAAACATCCCACAGCCAGAAGATGCCTTCCCTGAAGGCTCTGTTTGTATAATCACCACTGAACCCACAGAATTGATCAACAAATGGTATTTTAAAAAATGTTCTCCCTTTTCATGTACCATTTAGTGTCTTTGCAGGCCTCAATCAGTTCAGTCTCAGTTTTCACTGTTCCAGACTCTACTTTCACACAGAAGCTCCTGTAATCTTTATTATTTTTGTTGCCTTTCTTCTAGTTCTCTAATCTCTTTATGTAGACATATTCACCAGAAAAGAATGAGGTATATCATGGGGAAATTAATCCATTTACCATTTCACAGAGATTTAATCTCATCTTTTTTCATACGAACTATGGATCATCAACTCTGTAAAGGCTGAGAAATGCTTTTTGCTTACATTTATGGTTTTGTTTAATAGTTTGGCTTGCTGTACAGGACAGCAGAGCACTCTGGGCTTTTGAGAAATAGTCTACACCATTCCTTAAAACCTTCCTTGGTTGTTAAACAGCCCTCCTTCAAATCAGCCACAGTAGGAGTATTTACACCATGGGAAATGGCAAACACTTCAAATCAGGTTGTTTTTTTTTTTTTCTTTCTTTTTTAATGGTGAGCCAGTTTACTATCATACCACTGGTTATAAACAAGAATTCTGGCAGCCATGGTTGCATATGTGCAATTCAGATTAACTTATGGTTCATGAAACATTGGTATTCTGTAAGACCATACTAGGTACTCATTTATAAATGGGTTTTTAAATAATTGTGGGATAAACACAATTAAAGATGATTTTCCTAATCAAAGGACTTCTTATAGGCTTTAAAAATGATAATGTGCATTGGGAATATTCTAGAAAGAGAGGGAGATATTGAAAATGAGGTGTTTCTTTCAATTATTGATCCAAAGAACTGTCTTTCCCCAGAATATCTATCTATTATTATGTCGCTGGCCCCTATGAAATCCTGGCTTAGATTATTTCTCCTGAATGTATTATCTTAGATGCATCTTGCTTGCTCCCTCCTTTCTTTCCTTTTTTCTTTCTTTTTTCCTTCCCTCCTCTCCCCTTCCCTCCCCTCCTCTCCCCTTCCCTCCCTTCCTGTCCCCTTCCCTCCCCTCCTCTCCCCTTCCCTCCCCTCCTCTCCCCTTCCCTCCCCTCCTCTCCTCTTCCCTCCCCTCCTCTCCCCTTCCCTCTTCCCTCCTCTTCCCTCCTCTTCCCTCCCTTCCTCTTCCCTCCCTTCCCTTTCCTCTTTCCTTTCCTTTTACCCTTTTTCTTTCCTTTTTTCCCTCCCCTCCCCTCCTCTCCCCTCCCCTTTCTCTTCTCTTCAGCTTTGGGAAAGCTTCCTGCAGACCAGAGCCCTCCATGGACTAAGAGATCTCAAGGACTTCCTGTTGTGTTTCCTCGTTCAGTCTGTATTCGTCTATGCCTGTCTTTCCCAGTTCTTACCCAATGTCACATTTGCGACAAAAACATTTCTATTACTAACACACAGTCTCTGAGACTTTGTGAAATATCTTTTTTGAAAGTCTAAATAGACTGTAGTCTGTCTTTCTCCCCCAAGTATCTTCTCTTCTCTAAAATTCCAGTTAGGTATTGCTGTAAGAAGAAGCTATGTGCACCCTCCCCCATAATTGCGCTTATGTGTTGGACGGCTCAGTCCACATGCAACGTGCACAGCAGCTCCAGTCCAAATGCAGTGTAGCACGTGGCTTCTCATACCATGACTCAGTGCCTCTGCTTGCACAAGGCTAGGACTATTAATACTGCATAAATGGAATCAAATAATGAGGGTGATATTAAATGTTTCTTGTAAGACAATTTTTTGTTATGTTATTAGATTTGTTTGGTGGCCCATTGATCTGAATTGTGAGAAACAGAAGCCATATTCAAATAGAATACTAAAAATTTCCAAGAAAAGATTTTAATATGGAAGTAAAAATGAATAAAGACACATACATTTTCCCAAGAAGGTATGATTTACACGGTTCTTGGGGTCTGTGCTCTGGTGAGTTGCAAGTGTCATATTGAGATCTTACCTGGGGGGGAAGGGAGCTACGAGTGACTTGAGACCCCTTCTGAATGACCTAAACAAGTGACATTCCAAGTGATAAATGCCCTTGAGGTATTAAAGATGGTGGTGACAGGATCCTGGACCTCTCACATAAATATTCATGAGCGTGCAAGCTGCTACATGGAGTCAGTTTGGCAATACGTAACAACTAAAAATGGGCTTAGATCTGATGATTTCACTTTCGCAAACTTAGACTGAGAAAATAACATACAGGGTGTTTCCTGCAGCACCATTTATGAATTCAAAAAGGTGGAAAGAAATGTTTAGCATTGGGGGATTTGTAAAGCACATTATGCTACATGTATAAAATAAATACTATATCAGTTATGCAAAATAATGAATATTGATCTATATTTATGGAAATGGGAAAATATGCATTATATATTGCTAAGTTTAAAAAGCTGGTCATGAAACAGCCAGTTCATATAAATACATTTTTTGGATAAAATTTGCATATTGATATATGTAAAACCCACAAATGTATATGTGTGTATATGTGTGTGTGTGTGTGTGTGTGTGTGTGTGTGTGTGTATATAGGAAAAATCTGAAAGTTTATATATCAGGGTGTTAATGATGGATATCACTTAGGAGAATCAATATGGGTTAGCTTTCTTTTTTGTGTTTTTGTTTATTATCTGATTATTTTCTAAACAACATTACTGTTATTTTAGTATATATAAAAAAATAACCTAAAGCTGTTGGTTTTGTCTCTCAGGCCTGGGCTTATTTCCAAGACCCTGAAATCTCTTACTTCTCAGAACCAGGAACCACCTTTTTCTTCCTGCTGGCCCAACTGTCTGTTCCCTGTCCCCAGGGCCTGCCTGACTGTGGGCAGAGGCCCATGAGCTAGGTTTTCTGGGTCTCCACGTTCTGGAGCTGAGTTTACAGTAGGGCTGCTCAGTTTGCCTTTCTGGAATTCTGCCTTGTTGCTAAGTCCCAATCCTAGTCCTTGATTTTTTTTTTTTTATTGCCGATTTCTGTCCTTAAGTCCTTGCCTTTGTAATCTACCAGCATCCCAGGTCTCCCAGCACCATCTCCTCTGTTGATCTTCCCTGGTGTTGATGTGTGCCTCCCACTCCAGGTGTGGTCACAGAAATCCTGCAACCTGCTGACAGATGCTCTGCAGAGCTCCCTTCCTGGGGTCTGTCACACATAGAGATGGTGCCCTCACTGACCATCTACCATGTGCTGTGACCAGCAGACTGGACTGTCTCTCTGTCCCTACAATGAGTTCCTGACCACATCACCACTGTGCCTACCCATGCTTATGCAACTCCTTACAGCTTAGGCCTTCCCCAGCCTGTCCAGGAATGGTGTCCATTCTCAGGTATGAATCTTGGAGATTCCATCTCCTTCTAGGCTCCGGACAATTCAACCCAGGACTGTTGCTAGGTAGGTGTTTGCATAACCATCGATATATTTGGATGAATCCAGCTGGTTAGGGGAATTCTGTGAGAATCAATGATATGCTGGGTGCAGGGAATCTTATTTGAGAATTATTAGGATAGATTTTTTTTTCACATGTAGTTATTATTTTTTAAAATTCAGTAGTTTTTTGGGTTCAGGTGGTTTTTGGTTACAGGGATAAGTTTTATAGTGGTAATTTCTGAGCAGTGTACACTATACCCGATAAGTAGTTTTTTATCCCTCATCCCTCTCCCACCCTTCCCCTGAGTCCCCAAAATCCATTATATCATTCTTATGCCTTTGCATCCTCATAGCTTAGCTCCCACTTATAAGTGAGAACATACGATATTTGGTTTTCCATTCCTGAGTTGCTTCACTTAGAATAATGGCTTCCAGCTCCATCCAAGTTGCTGCCAAGGCCATTATTTTGTTCCATATTATGGCTGAGTAGTATAGAATGACGGATCTTTTTGAGAATTTGGTGAAAGGTTTCGTGCCCTGGCATTTTAGGGTGTGATGAAGACTTCTGGCTCTCCCATCATTTCCCCTATCCCCATTCCCTGTGGGGGCTGCTTTCTGATAGGGAAAGGAAGATGCTTTGCCAATGGGCTATTACTGCCTGGGAGGGTTTGTCTGTGAACAGCAGGACTTTGAGGTCGTGTTCCAGCCCCAATTTAGGCTGTTGATGGCAGGAAGGCATTTCTAGCCTAGTGTCCATTTTCACCACCTCTTCCTTATTCCCACTGTGGATAATCATCTACTCCGCTTTTCCCTGGGTTGCCTCAAAACTCAGACTTCTTCGTAAGTGCTGGCTTCAGTCTGTGAGCTCCACTTTCTTTTGGTGCTTTCTCCCCTATCCCATCTTCATCTCTGGTGTCTTCACTGTGTTGATCCTTGTTATGGTTTGAGTGTGCCTCCTCCAAAATTCAGGTGCTGCTAATGTGATGGTATTAGGAGGTGGGACCTTTGAGAGGTGACTAGGCCATGAGGTTGCTCTCTTGTAGATGGTGGGATCAGGTCCCTTTACAAGGGGGCTTGATGCGGGGAGTTTGTTTTCTCTCACCCTCTGCCTTCTGCCATGTGAGGACACAGGAAGAAGGCCCTTACCATATGCTGGCACCTTGATCTTCGACTTCCCAGGCCCCAGAAGTAAGGAATGCATTTCTGTTTTTCATTAATTGCTCAGTCTCTGGGATTCTGTTTCAGCAGCCCAAACAAACAGAGTCCTTCAGCCCCCATTTCCACGAACGGCAAAGATTTATGGGGGTGGGGCCATAATTCAATCCATCCTCTGGCCCCTAAAAATTCATGTCTTTCTCACATGCAGAATGCATTTCTACCCATTTTTTTTTTAGATGGAGTCTCACTCCCAGGCTGGAGTGCAATGGCACAATCTTGGCTCACTGCAACCTCTGCCTCCCAGGTTCAAGTGATTCATTCTCCTTCTTCAGCCTCCTAAGTAACTGGGATTACAAGCATGTGCCACCACACCTGGCTAATTTTTGTATATTTAGTAGAGACAGGGTTTCACCACGTTGGTCAGGCTGGTCTTAAATGCCTGACCTCAGGTGATCCACCCGCCTCGACCTCCCAGAGTGCTGGGATTGCAGGTGTGAGCCACTGCGCCTGGCCCATTTCTACCCATTCTGTTTGCTCAAACAATCAAAAGGCCCCAGCTAACCACAGGAGGCTCTGACAGGTACCTTGTCTGCAAGGGAGGCTTTTAAAGACAGGTTTACAAAATGCAGAATCCTTTTGCACCATGAACTCAGTTGGTACAATTTCAGGCAGAAAAATCAGGCCTGACACAGACAGATAAAATAATAATGCTGTTTTGAAATATGAAAACAAGGCCCAAAGGGCTTTCGTGAGAGGGTGAAAGTAACAGAATTTGTGGAAGAGGGAGTGGGGCTAGGTCACGAGCCCTTTTTGGTATCTGCTCCTCCCATTCTGCAACACTCATTTGTCTATGTCTTGTCTAGCAGGAATTGATTTATTGATGTGTGGCCTCAGAATCAATGCATTTTTTTCCAGTAAGATGTGTAATATGCATGGTATAGTGCAGAACAGATGAAAACAAGTAACTAAAAAAATCAGAACCTACCTAGAAATAACCATTTCTGGTTTTCATAACTGTCAGTATCTTCTTTTTCCAGGCTGTTTGGGATTTGATTTCAAGGATTCCATTGTTTTGAAATGAGCTTGAAAAGCACACGAATTCTGCTTGTAGAGGGGATGGAGAGGTCCCGCTTTCTGTCCAGGAGAACCTGGGAGGATGTTTTTGCTCTCTTCTCCCAGCTCACTTTGTCACTCCATTTGTGTCACAGCTGGGCCAAGCAGGGCTGTAACTCCCTGTGCACGGTGGCTGCTTTTTCCTTTGGCTTGGTTGAATATCCTGATAAATAACATGCAGTCTTCAGCTGTTCAAATGACGTTCCTTTTCCTAAGCAACACTTCTGTGTCCATTTCCACTATTGTAGGCTTTGCCTCAATAGGTAAATAATGTACATGAGTACAGTGGGACTAGGTGTTAGGTGAAGTTGAACAAGAGGCAGTGGAAAGAGAGCGTGAGGTGTGAGATGCCTTGGAGTAACTAGGTTCTCTTCTTGCTGGGACCCAGATACTCTTTTGGCAGGTCCAGCATGCAATTTACTTAAAATTATTTTCTCTCTCTCTTCCCATCCCTTTCCCTTCTAAAATTCATTTTGTAGATCAACACTGTGTCTCCTGTGTCGAGTAATTGATACAAATGCCTTTTCTCATTTAGAGACCACTTGCAAAAGAGAAAGTTATTTTTCCAATGGAAATTAGGCTTTAAAATTTTTGCCAGGGTGTGAGCTATAGAAATGGTGCTATTAGAGTATATCCATTGTAAATTATGCAATTGTACCATTTAAAGCTTATTAAAGTCACGCTTTACTACACAAAGCAATTTTTGGTTATCACAAATGTGACTTATTTGTTTTGCATCACTATGAGGTCTATGCTGTTGGGTGATGTTCCCTAAAGAAGTCTTGCAGTTAGACTCACAGAGTGAAAGCGAACTGTGCATGGACACCTGAGAGATTCTTCTTGCAAATACAGAGTTATTTATCATCTACTAGTCAGCAGAGAGGGAAAACATAACAGATCACCCATAGAAATTTGGAGTAGAAAGCAGGTGCACCGAGTCCTCATCTCTGTTTTTTTCACTGTCTCAATGATTCACCCTGTCACTGGTCACTGTAGTCTATCCAGCTTCGTGCCTCAATTTCCTAATCTGCACGCGTCATATGATTGTTGGAGGGTTAAGTGAAGTAACACATGTAATGTTCTTAAAACAGAGCGTGGCATGCAGTAAGCACATCATGATTGTTAGGTATTATGGTTGTTATAATGCCATGAACAGTCCAGACTGAAATTGGATCCTAGTCCTCAAAGAGAATGCTCAGCTGAACAGATATCATGAAAAAGCAGGCCTTCCACAGCCACCACATGCCCCTGGGAGATAGGGTGCAGTGCGTAGGAATGTGGATAGCCAATTAGGAAGGACTTACAAAGTGGATATCATGCTTCTTGGAGCCTGAAGGCCATAAAATTTGCTTGAAGAAAAACCCATTAGGAGTGGCCAGGATAGTTGGAATCAGATGCCTTCCAACAATATATGGTGAGATGAGGTCCTGGCAGAAATTGCATGTATTTTGATCATTTTACAACTAAACCTCCCAGATTGTATGACTTGAACCTCATATGTCAATCTTATTACTAGACACACTGTCAGCTTAGTGTCACAATGCTCATGATGATGTGTTTTGACAGCAACATCTGTCACCCCTCCCATGGCCTCTGTTTATTTGGCTGGTGTAGCTGACGTTGTGGGGATCCCCTTTCCTTCAACTCTTTCTTGTCCATTTCTCCCAAACTCCATGGACTCTCTGAGGAATTGCTGCTTCAGATGGAGGAGGAAGGACCTCTGGCGCCAGCTGGTTTTGCAGCTATGACCTCTAATCACATGCTTAAAATCCATGTGTCAAAGAACATGGGGTTGCTTTACAAACATCAAAAAATATTTGAGTATCCGTCACACACAAGGCCCTTGGGAAGAGTAAATGTGCAGGATTTGTAACGAGACTCAGTTACAGTTGCAGTAAAGGTGAGAGTTGCAATAAAACCCAAAGCCAAAGCTCGTTTCTCTGAGAAGGTGCAGCAACCTCTCCTAACCACACTTTTACCAGCATTGTTAACAAGTCCATCTACGGGTATGTTCTGGTTTCATTTGTAGTAAGATGATGCATGAAGCTTTTCTCGTGCAACTAAGACCCATAATTGAAAACAAAATGTGTTAAGTGTTCTCATATTCTAAAGAGAGTGTTAGAAATTAATATTGGACACCTTCCATAGGCCCTATAAACAGCAGCCACCATCCTGCCACTGCCATCCCCAGGAAGTCGGGTGGCTGGCGTTCTTGGGTACATGGAGTCTGGCGGTGGGGGAGTCCCACAGTAGAGGTGGTGTCTTTCCTTGAAGTCAAGGGCAGGTCTCCAGGGGAATTATTAGGGCCCATGGAAGTGTCTGCAGCATGAGGAGCCTGGCAGCTTTCTCCCTCTGGACACTTGCTGAGCTCCAGAAGTCCCGGGGCCCGTCTTGGTGCTGCTGTCAAAGTGGAATCTGGGGGAGTCTTTAGGAGAGCTTCACACAGGTTCCCTGCAGTTGGAGGATGTGCTCGGCCATAGAGGCTGTTGTCTATTTTGGGTCCAGAGATTTCTGAAGGCAGGAGGCAAGCTGAGACCACAGTATTATATGCCTGGGAGAAAGATGCAGGTCACCCTCACCCCATTCCAGGTTTCTGAGTCCATTAGAAGGTGTAGAAGAGGTCTCAGGTTCTTGTGGCTCCATGTGGGAGAGGATGGAGGTTACTGGAGGCATGGGATCCTTGAGACTGTGGTTACAGGGTGCCCAGAGGAGGCATGGCTTTCCTTGCTTAGGAGGCCAAGGTGTAGCTGAACACCATATGCAGGAGACCACACAAACCAGCCACTGGGAGGGCACCTCTTTAGCCGAGGCACAGGCACCAGATGATTCCCTTGGAGATGATTCCCCTGATGGCCCCTCTCCCAGGGCCAGACCCATCTCCTCATCACCCTTCAGACCCAGGTAGCAGCTTCCTGCTGCTAGTTTCTGGGTCTTTAAGTCACCCTGTTGGTTCCCTTAACCTGTTCGCCCCTCTGGAAACAGTCTCTTCAATAAGCTCTTCCATAGCCCTTGGATGCGCCATCTTGGTCTGCCAGGACCCTGACAGATGTACTAGCCTCCTCACTCAGCCTTCCTCCCCCTGACCCAGCCTTCCAGACCTGGCCACGGGCCAGCGGCATTAGCACTACCTGAGTTTGTTGGCAATGCAAAGCCTCTGGCCTACCCTGCTCCGAGGGAGTCAGAATCTGTATTTTCAGAAGACCCCTGTGACCTGTGTGAAAATTTGAAAAGTGCCTGTGGGAAATGGGGAGGAGGGGTATGAAGGTGAAATCACCCCCCACCCTACATTCCATGGCCTGTTTCGATACTAGCCAGGCAGGCTCCCCAGACACCTGCTACCCACGTTCTTCTTTCCTGTCTCCCATGGGCAGAGGCGCTGCACATCTGATGTGGACTTACGCTGCCTGGGTTTGAATCTTACCTGTCTTGCTTGCTAGCTGTGCAGTTCTGGGAGAGTTCTTTAACCCTGTCTGTTTCCTTGTTTGTCCAGTGGGGATAATAATTGTGCTGGCCTAACAGGGTGGAGACGATTAAACAGCATGACACATAAGGGGCAAGGGAACTAGCCATGTGGCTGTGTGAGGGAAGAACAATCCCAGCAAGGAAGGCCAGTGAAGGAGCCCTGTGAGTGGAGGGCAGTGCCTGCCACAGTGTCACTCAATGGCTGCTGAGGAATATTGGTAGCAGTGGTGTCATTTTGGGTAGGAGGTAACATACAGGCTGGAAACTCCAATTTTCTATTTCTACTCTTAAATAGAAGACAATCACCTCAAATGATAATCACGGCAGCATTTGTATTTACTTTAGATTCAGCAAGGCCCTTTCAAAGACACAATACAGATACTTAGAGGATAAGAAGTAAAGCCATGGAGAGATCACTCCACCCTGCACTCAGTCAGATGGAGCACTTCCAGAGTCAAGTTTACTGTAAATGAATCCCTGCTTCCAAATGTAATTCTGCAGATGCACTTTGATTTCACAGCCATTGATCAATAATTCATTTGGCTTGTGACTGCCGATGACATGATTTAATATGTCCAGCTAAATTATGTTCCCACAGGAACACTCATGCATACCAAAGGAAAAAATTACAATTATCGTAGTGCTGGCGTCTAATTGAAGCAGGCCCGCATGCAGGACTAGACTTGTTATTTGAAGAAATAAAAAAAAAAAAAGTCATGTGATCAAATCAATAGGGGACCTAACTGCAGAGAACTCTTTATGAATCCAGGACTATGGAGGGGCGTTCTATTAATGTCACTCCCTAATCAGGAGCAGCTCGATTGGGCACTGATATGGTTAGGCTTTGTGTCCCCACCCAGATCTCATCTTGAATTTTAATGCCCATAATCCCCAAGTGTCAAGGGAGAGACCAGGTGGAGGTAATTGAATCATGGGGGTGCAATTTCTCCCATGCTGTTCTCGTGATAGTGAGTTCTCACGAGATCTGATGGTTTTATAAGGGGCCGTTCCCTGCTTCATCAGGCACTTCTCCTTCCTGCTGCCTTGTGAAGGTGCCTTGCTTTCCTTTCCGCCGTGACTGTAATTTTCCTGAGGCCTCCCCAGCCATGCAGAACATTGAGTCAATTAAACCTGTTTCCTTTATAAATTACCCAGTCTCAGGCAGTTCTTTATAGCAGTATGAAAATGAACTAATACAGGTACTGTTTATAAATACCTACTACCGAGATTAGGACTGGAAAGGCAAAGGTGACAGGCACCCAGGAGAATTACAATTGTCTGTAGTAATCCCAAATACTCACTCCAACTTCCCAAGAAGAACCGTCCTCGTTTTTGCCCTTGGTTATGATCTCTGTTTAGTTCCCTGCAATGTTCTCTTGGCCTCTCCTTGTCTAGAGGTTGTGAGAGATGTGGAGTGAAAGGGCAGAAGTAACCAGGCACAGGTTTGAGGACACCTTAATGGTGGGAATGTTACTTGATTCCAAGGCTTGGTTTCTATTAAAAAAGGGAATCTAGTATCCAGGGGATTTTGTATGAGGCTAGGTTAAACACTGGAAAGAGCCAGAATAACACAGCTCCTCTGTTTTCACTGTGGTTAAACACTTTGTGTCATGTCTGACAACTTTTTCCTTACATTGGGATTTCTCTTTCTCTGCTGCCACTGTCCTTGAAAGTAACAGCAACCCCAGTATAAAGTAGTAGTTAAAAGCATTGGACTTGGCATCAGACTGCCTGGTTCAAATTGTCATTCCATTGCTCACTGGCTGTATGATCTTGGGAAGTTACTTAACTTCTCTGTTTCAGTTTTCATATCTGTAAAACAGGCGTAATTATATCGTCTTGCCCCTATGGTTGTTATGAAGAGTAAATGAGTTTTAATGGAATTCTGTTCTTAGTGCAGTGCTTGGTATATATTATACTTATGATATAATAAATGTTAACAATATAACAATATACATTTATTATTGTTATTCTTTTTACCAGTGGTTTCCTAACTGGTCCCTCTACCTCCAGTCTTTCTATCCCAGTCCACCACTGTTCACATCACTGCCAAAGTGAAATTCGTTCAGCCACATGGTAATTGGACTCTACCAACCTCCAAACCCCATGTCCTGTGCATTCAGCTGTCAGAGGGAAGCAGAGGGCGGCAGGGTGAATTGCAGGGGCCTGGGTCAGCAGGGGTAGAGATCAGTCTTCTATTTGGTCTATGGACCAAAGAGTCACATGGTCCTAGTTAACTTCAAGGGAGACTCGAAGTGTAACCTCTCTATGGCACTAGGAAGAAAACAGATGAGGTTTGTGACAGGTTCTGATCTCTGTCCCAGGTCTTGAGGCAGGAAGAACTTGGACTGTTTGATGAACAAAAGGAAGGCCACTTTGCTTAGAGTTTAGCAAGCAAGCGGGTGAATGAAAACAAATGAGGACAAAGGTTAGGCTGGAACAGCTCCTGCAGGCCACATTAAGGAATTTTGACTTTATTCCAATATAAATTGGAAGTCTTTATAAAAAGTTTTATGCCGGGGATGATATGAACATATGTATGTCTTAAAGAGACCTGCTGGTGTGAAGAACTAATCAGGGAGTGGATTAGTTTCCCATTGCTGCTGTAATAAATTACCACCAGTTTGGTGGCTTAAAACAGCACATATTTCTTCTGTGACTGTCTGGAGGTCAGAAGTAGAAATCGAAGTGTTGGCAGAGCTGTGTTTCTCTTAGAGGCTTCAGGAGAGAGTCTGTCTCCTCGATTTTTCTGTTTCCTCGAGGCCTCCTGTGTTCCTTGGCTCATGGTCCCTTCCTCGGTCTTCAGAGGACAGCACTCCAGCCTCTCATTCTGTTGTCCCGTCATCCTCACTCCCTCTGACTGTAACCGACTGCCTCCCTCTTATATGAATCTGTGATTACATGAGGCACACCCAGATTATTCAGAAAAATCCCCCTACCTCAGCAGCCTTTATTTAATCACAGCTGTGAAGTCCCTTTTGCCAGGTAAGGTAACAAATTCAAAGAGGTTCCCGGGATCTGAAGGTGATACCATTCAGCTGGCCCAGGGACAATGATGGTGGCAAGATGACTGGTTAAAATATCGTCATCACTGTCCTAAACCATGAGGGGGTAAAGAGAAGGGCATGGCCTTGAAAGCAATTTAGGAGGCAGGATCCACAGGTATTGGTCCTTGACTGGTCCTGGGAGATAATAAAGAAGGAAAGACAAAGAAAAAGCTTGGGCCTCTTGCTTGCATGTAATTCATGAGATAATGAATGGAATCGTTCAAAGAGTCTATTCGGCAGCTAATGATGAGTAAAAATTCTGAAATTGTCTGTAATTTATAAGGTTTATGACAAGGAAGGAACTCATAATTATAAACTGGTTATCACTGGATATTATACACTGATTTTGCCTGAATCATTAATTAGCAAATGAATCAACAGCTGCTGATATCTCATAAACAAGCTATTCTAAATTATTCTTTAAAAAGTACCATGCAGTAAAAGGAAAGACCTATCGAGGTGAAGATTGAGAAATATTCCTTAGAATTATTCTTAAGTTTCGGGGCATATTTTTAAAACTGTATTTGTGAATTATCAACTTTCACTCAAAAAGCCAAAGTAAAGGTTATAATAAATTCAACACTTTAATTTAAAAATTGATGTGGAATAAACAGTTGTCTGTTTTCCAATGTCTCAAGGCCATTTTGTGATTTTTGTTACCCTCCAATGGTTGTGGGCCTTAGCTTTGATTTCACTTTTCCTCCTCCTCTTTTTTCAGTTCTGTTCCAGTGATCTATTGCTGCATAGTAAACTACCCTGCATGTATTAGTCTGTTCTCATTCTGCTATGAAGACATACTCTAGACTGGGTAATTTGTAACGGAAAGAGGTTTAATGGGCTCATAGTTCCACATGGCTGGGGAGGCCTCATAATCGTGGCAGAAGGTGAAGGAGCAAAGGCAGATCTTACATGGCAGCAGGCAAGAGAGAGCATGTGCAGGGAACTGCCCTTTATAAAACCATCAGATCTCAGAGACTTATTCACTATCACAAGAATAGCATGGGAAAATCCTGCCCCCATGATTCAATTAACTCCCATGGGTTCTTCCCACGACACATAGGGATTATGGGAACTGCAATTCAAGATGAGATTTGGGTGGGGACACACCCAAACCATATCACCACAATGTAGTGACTAAATACAATAACCATTCTTTAATTTTTTGAGATGGAGTCTTGCTCTGTTGCCAGGCTGGAGTGCAGTAGCGTGATCTCAGCTCAACAAACCTCCCCCTCCTGGGTTCAAACCATTCTCCTGCCTCAGCCTCCCAAGTAGCTGGGACTACAGGTGCACCCCACCACGCCTGGCTACATTTTGTATTTTTAGTAGAGACAGGGTTTCACTATGTTTGCTAGGATGGTTTCGATTTCTTGACCTCATGATCCACTGTTTCGGCCTCCCAAAGAGCTGGAATTAGGCCTGAGCCACTGCGCCTGACCAATAACCATTTTATCATGCTTTATGATGTTGTGGATAAGGGTTTCAGGAAGGGCCTGATGAGCCTTCTGTTTCACTTGGTGTGGACCAGGACTGCACAGTGGAGTTCACTGGGGGCTGGTCTGACCATCCCAGACAGCTTCATTCCCATACTTAAAGCCTTGGCAGGGTGGGCTGCAGGGTTGGGCTCAATGGGACCCTCCCTACCTCCCTGTCCCCTCAAGTCTTCTTCACACAGTCTCTCCATCAGGGCAATAGAGACTCCTTACATGAGAGCTGAGGACTCCAAGGGGCCAAGGTGAAAGCTTCCAGTTCTCCTAAAGGCAAGTCTTGGAACTGGCCTAGAGTAGGGTTGCCAGCTTTAGGAAATATGAGAGAATGCCCAGTTCAGTTTGAATTCCAGATGAATAACACTAATTATTAGTATAAGAGTGTCTCAAATATTACATGGAACATACTCATGCAGAAATTGTAATTTATCTGAAATTCAAATGGGGCTGGGTGTTCTGTATTTTCTCTGACAGCCATAGCCTCGAGTCACTTTCACTATCCTCTATGTGTCAAAGCAGCCCCTGGTCAGTCCAGATCCAAGGGGAGGGAAAATAGAACTCATCTCTCCGTGAGACAAGTGTCAAAGAATGTGTGGCTTTCTTTAATTTGCCACCCCCACTGAAGTTCTCCTGAGATTTACTCACTGTTTGGGACCTAGAAACTAAGTGCTGTTGCTTTCTGTGCCTTCATATGTGGTCTTGAGTGCTTAGTGACTCCAGGCCACCATTTGCCTCAAGTCACAATAACCTTAACACAGCAGGCAGCATGGCACCCATGGAAAGTTCCAGATAGATCTGCATGTGAATCCTGCATTGCCTGAGGTGAGTACCTTAATCTCTTGGAGCCTCAGTTTTCCCCACTTGTTTCATGGTTATCAAAATGACCACACAGGTCACAGCAAGGATTTGTACCTTTAAAAAGGATCTTTACTTTTAAAAAGAGGTAAAAAAAAAGGAATAAAAAACAAAGCACCCAATAACAAAACATTTTTTTCCACCAAAGGGGCACCTATTCCTATTACTTTTTAGCTAGTAGAAGAGATATGAAATTGGAAGAGGTGGATACTAATAGATAGTATCATTAGAATACTAGTGATAATAAAATTTAGGAGTTGAGCAAACTACTTGAACCCCACAGACTTCTGGCTCCCTTGCAATGTTGAAAATGCCAAATTATTGAGTGGGTTTAGCATAAAAGTGAATACAACTTTTCCAGCCTTTGACCAAGGAGTCTCTTCAGGAACAATGTTTTAAATGTTTTAATATTTTTAAACCAATGTCGATGACTGTGGAAAGGAAGGATTAGATGGGGCAGTCACCTCTTAGAGGACATCAATTTTCTGTAAACCCAACCCAAGCCTTTCAATGTATCCTAACTTGCTATAAATATTAAATTATTTATCTTTTTAACATTTTGAATGATTTTATCTTGTCCATCATACTGCTGTTTATAGGCTGCAAATTAAAAATGGTAAAAGGCCATTTATGTGCACAAAAGTGCATTTCCACGTGGTTGCTTTGGTTGTGATTGCAAAGCTCATGGATGTACCCTGGACTTGACTGACACCTGCCTGTTCTGTTCTTACCCCGTTGAGCTCTGTATACAGTGAGTGCTCTTCCGATCCTTGGGAAGAGAACTGGGGAAGCATAGCCGGATTTATTTGGAGTCTAAACATTCATTCATTAGAGGCAAAATATTTGACAAAATGCATTTTGAAAAATAAAAATGAGTTTCAGGACCTGTCACAGCCAATAAAATTCACTTGGATGAAAGGCCCGATGTGTAATAAAAATGTCTCATTTAAGAAATTAAATGATCCTGTCATTTGTAACAACGATTAATAGAATTTTAAAATGGAATGAGCTCAGATGAAGCTCGGTGAGTCACAGTGGCCTTTCACATTTGCAATATTCCTAACATAATTATTAATTAACACACCAGAAATGATTTTAATGTAACATTATGGTGCAGTTTTAAACACCCAAATGGAAAATGCTTCTTATTAAGGTTTCTCATCCTTTCTTAGAATTAAAATGCTAAACTAATTAAAACCAAGGTACTTTAAAAACAGTTTGCTTCCAAACAGATTTTTAATATATGCCAAGCCAAGTATTAGCCTAGAGCTATTTTTTTTTTGCTAGAATCAGAAATCTATTAAAAATGGAATTTCTAATAAATGTCCTAATAGCCTCTGCTCTATCTCCAAGTAATCTGTGTGGCATTCATGCCATTAAAGAAGAACTTGGGGCTAGAATTTGGAGTGGTGTATTTAAAAGTATTAGTCAAAACTTTCTGAAAGATAAATCACACTTTCTGACTACTTTGCTTGAAATATTTCCATGAACTTCCATTGCCCTTAGCGTCAATTTCAATATCCTCACTATGACCTAGAAATCTCTATAGGATCTGGCCTCTACCTGTTTTTTCTCCTTCATCTCATTTTGGATGTTTTTGTTATGGTATTTCAGACATTTTAGACTTATAGTTTTGTTTTGTTTTTCCACGTGCCTAGCTTATTCCTGTCCCAAAGCATTCTTGTATTTTCAATTCCTCCTGAATATTCTTCCAAAACTTGTCACACAGCCTGTTACCTTCTCCCCATTCTGGTTCTAGGCTGTACTATGTAGTATAATTCCAGTCTAACTCATTACCTCTGTTATTTTCTGCCCCTTAAAACTAGAATGCAAGTCCCATGCAGGCAAGGCCCTTTTCCACCTGCTCAAATCTGGGTCCTAGGTACCTACAAAAAAGCTCGATAAACATTTGTTGAATGAACAAAGGCACTTATGCCATCTCGAAATTGTACAAGAAATGATTACACAAGAGCTGGCTAAGAAAAAGACATCAGTTCTTAAAGAAGCTGCTGGTGTCTCATTGTGAGACCTTGAAGAAATTTAGATAAAAGTGTGTGGTCAGGAAGTGGGAAACATACATATAATATGCTGGGCTAATCTCTGAATCAGAGAAAGAACAAGCAAAAAGGATGACATTGAAATGCACAGCTCAGAGCAACGCCAGGCTTGAGTGGCGATAGGAACTGCTTGGTTGACTTGTCTCTTTCTGCTCCTTCTTTTTCTAAAGGCCCAATTTATTTTATTTCTAGGTTTGAAAGTGCTCAAAAAATGCTTGTTAAATGGTTATTTGGGAGTCCTAATTTTCTGTTTTGTTTTTTTTTTTTAAATTGCTCATGGTTAATGTTGGTTCACATTAGCTCATGGTTGTGAATAAAGGACTTATTTATAAGTTGACAAGATTGCTCTATTTTGCCCTGTCCCCCTCTCTTTTATGAAAGAGTCACTCTAGCCTCACCCCATCACCTCTACTCAATCCAGCTTTCTGATCGGCAGCATCTGGTACCCAATGTGTTGATGAACCTCATGCTTCTGTGGAAGCTTGCTGGAGTTCTGGAGGAACATTCTACGGAAAAACGTGTCTTAGCAATTTTGGTGAAATTTTAATTTTCTATATTCTAGGATAATGATTGCCCTTTTTCATCCTCTGTCTAAATTACTCATCCACATATATCCTTAAATTATGCTTTTTTACTAATTTATAAGAAAGGTCTAAACCAGTAAGCAAGTAGTACATGTCATCATAAATAAGTTAAAATGGGACTGACATGTTAAAAAAGGGCTCAATATGTGGTACCTGTTAATAATAATCAATGCAAATAAAATGTCTAAAGGAGAAAGAAAATTTCATTATGGCTCTATAATTTTTCCATTGGCCTTACCAGATTAACAGCAATTACTATAGATTTCCTTTAGTGTTATTCTAATATAATTTGAAAAAATAAATTTTAATCAAAGAGAATCTATTTATCTATATATGTATATACATATAATACATATACTTAATAAGCAATTCAACAAATGTATATTGAACATCTCTGTGAGCCAGGACCATACCAGACCCTGGGGACACGTGAATGAGTAACAATTCCAGCCCCTGGGAAGGTCAGCCGTGTCCAAGAATATACATGAATAGGAATTAGCTCTACCACTTCTGAAATCTTAAAAATGTAATTTCTGATTCAAAACATTGAGCGACCACTCTCTGTTCACCCTTAATCAAATTTTTTTTCAAGAAGACAAACCAACAAAGAATTTATAAGAGTAGCCTGCTGCGAACATTCTCATATTGTTCATTTCTGAACAACGGTGGCAGGGATCTGGGGACCCGAAATAAAGAAATGATCGATTTTAGGAAAACAGCTTGATCCGTGGAGACAGCAAGGATTTTGGAAATATGAATGGCCCCACTGGAATCCCTCTCCAGCCTCTAGGAGCTGTTTGATGTTAGCTAAGTGAATCTCATCGACTCTTCTTTACAGCTTCTGATAAACGGAGGTAGTATGGATCCTTGCAGTGTTAGGAGAATCATTCAAGGTGACGTATGTAAAAATGCCGAGCACAGTGCCACTCCCTATGCTGGAACTGCTCAGCTCTCAGAAGTGATCACAATTAGTTTTGACAGGGTACTGATTTGTTTGCAGGCATGCGTCTAGACCCTTCACCTGGCGCCTGTGGCTGGTCTGTACTCCACGGCTCATTCCAGGTTTCCTCTGCACCTCCTGGTGACTGCCATACAGCTTCATTCTGCACACATTTTACCTACGGGAAGCTTGGTTGAACATTGAACATTTTGCTCTCAATTCCTAGTGACTTAATGTGTGGGCTGTTTTAATTATTTACGCAATAAATATTGATAACCCTCATAAACAAAAACTCTTTGGAATTCTCAATTGTTAGGAGTGCAAAGGAATCCTGAGACCAAAAAGTTTGAGAACTGCTCATCTATTGGATCAGGTTTAAGCTGAACTGGATCTGTGGAATGAGGATTCTTTCCTCTCATCATTTATTAAGTTATTTCATCAACTCTAACTGAGCGTCTACTTTATGCAAATTATTTGACTATGTTTTGGGAGGGATAAGATAGAGCAAGGGATAACCCATTGTTCCTGCCTTTGAGAAACTGACTACAAGTTGATCTGGATGGCTGGATGTGTACGTTGCGCTCTGTGTGTTAGGAGAATGGTTGCTGGCCCACTCTACAGGACAGCTTGCTATGCACAGCGCTGGTGGACAAGCTCTTGGTGTTTCTGGGCAGGTGTTTCTGCACAGCAGTTGAGGTGGTGATGCTGGTGACATGCAGGACAGCAGCTGCTGTTTCTGCTTTTCTCATCGTGGGCAGGTCAAGTGTCCCTGGGGTTCCTTCCTGGCCGTGGCCTTAGGGTTAGCAGCCCCGTGTGCAGAGCCGTGAGCGTGCAGCCCTGGACTCTGACCGCTGACCACACTCCCGGCAGATACTGCCTCAAGCTCGTCTGCCGGCAGCTCTGCTTGTGGTCAGGGCTCTGGACAGAGTTTGGGTTCAGCAGTCTTAGGCAGTTAACTGCTTTTCTAAATTCTGCTCCTCTTTGAAACAGTGTTCCCATTCTTGACTCTAAAATATAATTGCCCCTTAGACTGAGTTTTCTGCACTTCTCACCACTGAGTGTTGGAGGCCACATACGCTGTCAGAAAACTTCCCTTTTCACCCTCGGCTTGTTTTGCGGCCTGGTTCATTCCTCTGTTGAATGCATGACCCACTTTTCTTTCCTTTAAATTGGTAGCGAAGGAGAATAGGAACAAAAGAGCGTTTTAAATAATTTTGTGAGGAAATTCAGGACCAAGTGAAACTTCCCATTGGATTAACCCATGGGAAATCCCATCTTGTGTTAGTTTACACTGGATTTTCCAAATAATTTTCAGGGCTTTAACATTTGTTTGACCATTTGATGAATGAAAACATTTTCTCTGAAGTCGTTGTATAAAAGAAATGAGCGCAGAGACAGATATGTTCTTTGGGCTAGTTTTTACTTTTCTTAATATCCTTTCTCAGGTAGGAGTCTTGTCTGATAAACATATCATTTATATTATTATAATTTACCCCTCCCTCTCCTTTCCCCATGAAAATAATAATGATAGTACTAATAGTTGCAATAAGGGTCTCTGCAGTTTGCACTTATGGTCTTAGAAACATTTAATTTTATTTTAATTTAAAACTAGTATTGAAAAGATAGCAAACCACAGAGCCCTCTGCTGTGGCAGTCCTGCTAAGATACTTTTTTAAAAAATACATTTAGATTTTAATTTTAAGTTCTGGGACACATGTGCAGGATGTGCAGGTTTGTTACATAGGAAAATGTGTGCCATGGTGGTTTGCTGCACCTGTCAACCCATCACCTAGGTATTAAGCTCAGCATGCCTTAGCTATTTTTCCTAATGCTCTCCCTCCCCGCACCCAACCCGCTGACAGGCCCCAGGGTGTGTTGTTCCCCTCCCTGTGTCCATGTGATCTCATTGTTCAACTTCCACTTATAAGTGAGAACATGCGGTGTTTGGTTTTCTGTTCCTGTGTTAGTTTGCTGAGGATAATGGCTTCCAGCTCCATCCATGTCCCTTTTCTTTCTCATTCCTTTTTATGGCTGCATAGTATTCCATGGTATAGATGTACCACATTTTGTTTATCCAGTCTATCGTTGATGAGCACTTCACTAACAGTAATTCATTTAATGCTCGTTGCAACCCTGTGAGATAGAGATCAGACTCCCCCATTTTACAAACGAACAGACCCAGGCTCCAGGGGTGAAAGGGCTTGGGTAGGGTCGGGTGGCTGCTGCAGTGGTGGAGCAAGATTCCATTCTACTGTGTACCTCTGAAGCTCATGATTATAGCCCTAAAGTGCCCTGGAGGATCCCCTGGCAGATCAGAGCACCCAGAGGACCACGGATCACCCAGAGGACCAAGATCACCAGCAGATCCCGATCGCCTGCTGGGTCACCAAGTACCAGTTCAGCTGTCCTGCATGGTTAAACATTCACTGGGTGTCCATGGCCAGGATATTGACTTGTTTTCAGGATCCTTCTCTCTCACATATACTGGAGTCCTTCCCTGCTCACTTCTGAGATGAAAATTGCTGAAAAAATTAGAGTTCCATCCAGACAGATTGGGTGGAGACAAGAAGATGGAAGGTTCCCAGGGAACGAGAATGTGGGACAGGGCGATTCCCAACTTCTCCCACCGGTGTTTGTCTCCCTCTGCACGGTCACAGGCTCCACGGTCACTGGCTCTGTGAGAACACTTGCTCCAGAGCCTTGCCTGGGGCCCTGTGTGCCAGGCCTGAGTTGGGTACCGGGGACTTACTAGGGTCACTAAATGGGGGCCGTTCCTACAGGGCTCCGTGTTCGGAGTCAGAGGTAAGATTTTCCTTTCCATCCTCCCACCTAATAGTAGAGAAAACTGCATGTACTGCCATGGGGAACCCCTGTGCCTATTTTCTTTAAAACATTTGATATATCTAAAGGTTGCAATACATGTCATTTGCTGTGTAAACCAAAGCTGGGGACCAGGGGGTGGACTTGCTCGAGGTTGCACCGTTGGACAGTTAGGGTGAGTGGTCACCTGCAGGGGTGGGGTGGGGTGTGTGGGGGTGTGGGGGCGAGGGTGTGCAGGGGTGGGGAGTGTGGGGTTGCAGAGGCAGGCCTGCACAGCTGGGGCTGCCTTTGCTCAGAGGCCTCTCTGTTTGCACAGATGTTCCCGTGGCCTGCATCGCCATGGTTTGTGGCCAGCTCTGCACTTGATGCATCATTTATGGGCTACCCGGATTCCAGGGCCACATAGCGGCCCGCGTGTCTCCCAGCCAGAGCCCCAGCTGTCTGGGGCATTTATGACAACTGTATTGCCACAAGCAAGCCAGCTTTGCACTGTCGCTTACAGTGCTTGTGACGGCTCCACTAGCACCCACCCCACTCCTTTTGTTTATTTCAGCACTCACTCACTTATTCTGAATCTGTGAACCTTGGTCAAGTGGCAGCTAACAATGTCTGAACGTTCTCTACCCCAATGCTGGGGCCAGCGTGCCATCCAACTCATAGTATGTATTGAATACCTGTTACCTGCCAGGTGTGGTGTTATGTGCTTTACTTAATTATTTCATTCCATCCTCACAACAAACCTCTGAGGAATGCAGAACTCTCCTCACTTTTACAGATGAGGAAACCAAGGTCAGCAGAGGCTGTAATTTAGGTCTGGCCACACAGCTGGTAGTACAGCGGCAGAGTGAGGCTTCTCAGAAACCCAGAGTAGCTGGCTCTAAAGGAATCAGATAAACAAATGAACAAATAAACATGTTCACAGTCTCATGGCTGCTGGTGGTGGCACTGGTCACTGCCTGGAGATGGTCCCTGCCTGGGTCCTTTGGTGGGTACTCCCAAGGCCACCCCATGGTTGGGGAGAAAGCAAGGTGCATTACAGAACTGAAGTCAAACTCTAGCATGTGCATAAGTGCAGTTACCCAACTAGCAGCTCTTTTTTTTTTTTTTCAGCCGTGTAAGTATCACCTTGTTTGAGTCAAGCCACTGAGAACCAGGTGCTCAAAGGTCTCCTGGGAGAGCTAGAAGGATCCTGGGCCTGGCCTTGCTCGGTGGAGCGGAGGCTGCAGAGCTTCCCCGTTGTTGAATCTCCCATGACCGGCCCCCACAGCCTGCAGTAGATGACCAGGATAACTCGATGATCAAGTTCATAAAAAGCGCAACTGGCCTCTCTTCTGGCCCCAGTGGAAGTGCTCTTACAGCACCAAGGTGGCTGGGGGTGGGCCCCTTAGTGAGCAGGGCTTGGAGGTGGGGGCAGTGGGGAGGACGCTGCCCCACTGTCCCCACTGCCCCCTGACCCGCAGGCTCACTGTGCTGCTTCCATTTTCCTGGCAACACACTCCCCTGCCTCCTTGCACTATGCTATGTCCAAGTGTTTATTTTCAGAAAAAGGATCCCTGTAAGATGCACCTGAGTATGTGAAGTAGGCAGACAGAGAAAGCGAAGGGAGAACTGAAAACGGGGATACAGGAACATACCTGGTACTCACTGGTGGGTCCCAAAAGGGAGAATTGGAAACAGGGAACAGGAACATGCCTGGTGCTCACTGGTGGGTCCTGAAAGGGGAAAACTGATGATGTCTAGTTGGTCTTCAGCAAACTGGTGTTTAATTCCCCTTTGGTGCCAGAGAGGGTGATCCCCATAGGTAGCTTGGAGGCTTTTTGAGATGCCAGTAAGAGCTGTGGACACTCTTGTAGAAAAAGGAGTACACATACACAATTTCAGGAGCACTAAAGGCCCCCGGCTCTATCTGGCTTTAGAAACATTGCATTTGAAAGAAGAAAAGGGGTTGTCACCTGTCATGCAAAATGAACCACACCAAAGGCATCCAACACTGTCGACTTGTTGTCTTTTAAATATTTGTCTCGTTTAATGAAATTATGACATTTACCATTAGAAATAACCCCAAGAATGCCAATACTTTCTATGTATCTATCAATTCTTTATCCGTTTGACAGAACAAAAGGTGCTTGGAAAAATAATTCTATACCCCTCAAACATAAAGAACATGAAAAGCCAGGAAAAGGTCTCTTGTGTGTGTAGGTGGGATTACTGCGGAGCGAGACAAACTTCTTCTAACATCATGAAAGAGGTTTTCACCTTTATTAAATTTCTTTAACTTGTTCCAGAAACCTCCCCAGTATCGCTGCTAAAATTATCATAAAGAACTACGACTACTTACTGCTATGCCGAGATATTTACATGCACGATTGAGATTCTTCTCAGCTCCCATATGTAACTTGATGCCCAGGGGTTGACTCACCCAAGCCAAAATTTGAACATGGAACTTCCTGAAATCCCCCCTGAAGCCTGTCCTATCCTAGTCCTGCCGTTGGTATTTTTTTCTAATCGACATGTAATAATTGTACCTATTTATGGGGTACACAGTGATATTTTGATACATGGATCCAAGGGGTAATGATCAATTCAGCGTCATTAACATATCCATCACCTCAAACATCTGTCATTTCCGTGTGTTGGGAACATTCAAAATCCTCTCTTCTAGCTGTTTGAAAATACACGCTCAGTTATTGTTAAGTAGCCTTTGGTATTTTTTAATCTAATTAAGTTGCTTGTGAGGCTTTCAGGCAGCAGGAGGCAGCCAGGAAGCAGAGCCTGTGGCCTCAGGTCCAGGAGCTGAGCCTTGGATTGAAGGGGAGCCAGGGCTGCTGGGGGCAGGGGACCTTGCAGAGAGAGCAGGGACTGACCCTTGCAGGGGAGTTGGCCTGGCAGCAGCCACCCTCCCACACCTGCCTCCTCTTTTGGGAGGCTTCTGCGGTCAGCCGTCAGCCGTGGCCCGCAATCAAGGCAGTGGGCGGGCCTGTGGGAATGCCGGCCATGTGAGCGCACCTGTGCCGTCCTCCCAGCTGTGTACTTCACAACAGGGCTGCTGTCAGCAATGGCCAAGTGCTGCACACCACCCACCCACTCTCCATGGTTCTGTCACATCTGCTGGCACCCCCATCTGGGTTGAACTGCTTTATTTATTTTTATTTAAAAATGGACACCAGAATTCTTTATGTCTGGGAATGAGCCAAACTGGCCCAGTGTTGAGTGCAGAAATATTCCATCTTCCTTCTGTGCCCAGAATTATTTTTGTTTTCTTCGATACCCAACCTAGATACGGCTACAGCAAGGAAATCGTTTGAGTTTCAAAACCAAAACTCCTTTCCTGTTTATCTGTGTTGAAAAAAAAATCCACCATCATTGATCACGAGGCCAGTTTATCTCTGTGGGTGGTGTTCGATCCGTTTGCTTTTTCATCTGGTGCCTGCTCCTAATATTGTACCAGAGGAAGCAGCCATTATATTTTGGAGCCAAGAGGAGCTAATTGATACTGTTATTATAATTAATGCTAGTCCTGACTCAGGAGGGACCTGGCGGTGGAAAGCCTTTGAGATCTTTGACCTCAGCACCATCTGAGTGGGAATCCCAGCCCGGTCACTTAGGAGTTAGGGGCCACAAGGAGCCTCACAGGGCCTCATTGTCCACCATGTGAAGTACAGTGGGCCAGGCCCCCAGCCATGGGCAGTCACAGTGGGTGTGCAGGCACAGGGTGCTGGTGGCCCTTCCTGATGCTCTGTTCATCTCACATGCTCACCGGCTTGCTGTGTGTCTTTGTCCACCAGGATAGAAGCTCATGAGGGCAGGGGCTTCTGCCAGTGTTGTTCATTGCACTATCTCCAGAGTGTGGCCTGGCACAGAAGGATATACTCAAGCATTTGTTGAATAAAGGAATGAATGAGTGAATGAATGGACAGCAGGGAATATTTTGGACGGCAGCCTTTTCAAAGGACGTTCCCTTCATGATCAAGGCAAGGGGGATGCCTTAGAACAGATGCCCTGTGGACCAGAAGGGAGTATCCAGGTTTTAGAAGAATACTGCACCTGAGGCTTTGAGATTTGGGGCAGCAGAGGGTGGAAGTTGCTGGAAGGAGGCTGAGTAAAATGACATAGCTCCTGAACATGGGCAGGTCCCCAGAGCAAGAGTTCGAATGGGGCCCACATGGTAAAGATCTTCATATTTAAAAAATGACACATTTTGCTTATACATTGTTGAGTAAAATGGTTTCTCTCCTACTACCTTGACCTTGATGGCTAGGTTCGAATTTGGAATTCAGACTCCTTGAGACTTCAGGCCAGCAGAAGGCCTTGGAGGAAGCTGCTTCCAGCCCCTGCTGCCCTCGGCCTCCCTTCCCCCTCTCACATCTCCTCTCCTCCCTCCCTGGACTTCACTCTTCCCTGTCAGGGTGCTCCACCCACAGGGGTGGGCCTTGGGCCTCCCCAGGCTCTGGGATGTCCAGGGGATCAGACTTGGGCCCTGGAAGTAGGTTTGGAGACATTTAGGCTAGGAATTCTGGGGGCTTGGGTACAAGGCGTGGATGGGATCAGGTCTCCCTGGGAAGGCTCGTGCCCTCCCCCATCGACTCTCCTGTCCCTCTCTTCATGATAGGAGTGCTGGACCCAGGACAGGGGCCCCCTGGTCCCATCAAAGGGCTGTGCTGGTTCAGGGAATACCCTTCCCCTTATGGGCTGTGACAAACAAAATCATCTTAAGGGGAAGCCCCTTGTCATGGGGCAGGAAGCAGGCTGCACAGGGCAATTTCTGCTTCCCTCTGATAGGAAGGGTTGGGCTGACACTGAGCTAGGGTGGCCATGCCTCGCCCTGACCTCAGGCCCATGGGCCCCGTGGATGAGCAGGGGCATGCAGGACAGGCCTGCAGGGCAGGGCAGGGCAGTAGGGTTTTCATCGGCAAAGCCCCGTGATCCTCACAGTAGCCCCAGGAGTTGGACCAGCCTGGACCCTTACCCCATTTTACAGGTGAGGAGACAGAGGTTCCAGAGGCTGGCAGGGCTCGGCTAGGATTGCTTTTGCAGAGAAGAGGTTCAAGGCCTCATCCAAAGGTGTGCAGCTAGTAGGAGGCCGGGCAGGTCATGAATTGGCAACTTCTCATTCCGAGTCCAGGAGCCTCTTCCTTACACCAGCCCTTGGGAAGAGTGGCCTTCCCCAGGCCGGTGGTCAGAATGGTTCCTGCCTGGCTCTGGGGGCGGCCTGGGCTCTGGTCTATCAGTCTTAAGAGTGGGGACAGCCATGTGTGCTGCCCTAGCTGGCCTGACTCTACGGCTTTGGGTGCCCAGGAAGCTCTGGTATTCTTGGACGGAGCCCCTCCAAGCCCCTAGACTTGTGAGTTAGCCCAGGACTGCAGCTTGGCAAGGCTTCCTGTGCCTGGCCCATGACTTCTCAGAGGGACTCCAGGTCCTGTTTAGGCACAATTTTAAGGCCCCTCTTGGGTCCTTGAGTTCTCTGGGCCTCACTTGTCTCCAGGGGCCTTGGGTTCTTACTTGTGAAGCACCCAGGTAGCTGCTACCCTCCTGCATCCGCGATCCCCTGGAGGTGATGACAGACTCCACATGGCCACTCTCATACTCTGGTGGCTGAGGCTGCACTAGGCTTGGGGGGCCCCTGACCCCTGCCCCTCCAAGGCCAGGGTGAAATGCCTCAGAGGGGGATCTGTGTCCCCTGTAGCTACCTGGAGAGGCTAGATGACCCCCTGGGAAGTATGGGTGTCACTGCCTGTGGGGTGACTGTGACTAATCGAAGGTGGGAGATGAGGGAGCTGGCAGACCACTTCCTCCCTTGGCCTCCTGGGCAGGCTCTAGGGCAGGTCTCTGTGCAGCCTGTTTCCAGGGGCCCCACGTGGCCCAGGGACCCTTAAATCTCTTGGTGGCTTGGGAAGCAATGACCACGTGTTTACACACCGACCTTGTGCTTGCTTTCAATCTTTCCCTTTCCTCTCATTGTTTCTGCCCAGGGATTGGATCTTTCAATAAAACGTTAGCATCTAAGTCGGCCTCAGTTTCTGCTTGGTGGGGAATCTGGGCTAAGTCAAGTCTGCAGGTAGCTGCTGCCACCTGGGTTTTCTCATTCTGCAGACAATTCTCCACTCCGCTCTTGCTCTGGCACTTTTTAATTTTTCCCAGCATTCATAAACATTTGTCAACTTTTCTTCTACTCTGACTTCCCTGGTGAAAAACAACAACAGGGAGCCATGGAATGATAGATCCTCAAATGGAAACCCTGAGCCTCACCAGCTTCTGTGGAGGGGGTGGATATGTCCTGGTCCTCGGGAGAATGGCCTCTGTTGGATGATTGTCTGTGTTTGAATCCCAGTACTTACTGTGTGACCTTGGGGAAGCTACTTAATCCTTCTGGGCTTTACAGTCGTCTTCTGGAAAATGCAGACATTGACAATGTTTGTGTCATAGGATAGTTGAGCAGAGTAAATGAAATAAGAGTAAATGAGAGAAGATAGCCAAACACACAGTAAGTGTGTGATAAACGTCAGTTATCACTTGGAGCTGCTCAGTGGAAGTCTACCCTCCTTGACTTAATTTCTCTTGAAATAGTTAATAATTGTTACCATTTGTTATCTTCCATATGCCCATAACTTTGCCCAAGCTCTTTCACTTGACTCTTTGGCATTTAACAGTGAGGAGCCTGAGGCTTAAGGTCCCCTGGATGGTGAATGTCTTGAGTTGGAAGCTGTACGCAGGTTTGCCTGATGCAGAAGCCTATATTCCTTCCACTCCATGATGCTGAAACAGGTTTTCATTCTTCCCTTTCTCCCAGGAACACCAGCCCCATCTTTTCACCATGGAGCTTCCAGAGCTGACTTTGAAGTATAAAGAGAAAGACCGGATGTTGGGCCACAGTAGAGGGCTTCCACCAAAGGAGGGGTCTGGGGGCAAAGCAGGCAAAGAGGCAAGCTCCAGGCAGGGGCTGCCAGCAAGCAGGCTTCTCTCGATGGGTACAACAGTGCTGTAAAGCTGACAAACAGAGTTTGGCTTCACTTGAAGGTGTGAAAAGAACAGCCTGACTCTGAGAGGCAAGTCCGCCAAGCCCAGGACCCTAGGGCACCTGGTTCTCACCATTGCCTGCAATGCCGCAGCCACTTCCCAAGTCAGGAGGGCAGCTGAAGTCCTGCACTGGGGACAGTTGGGTCAGCTGTGTCTGTTAGACATCCCCCGATGACACAGAATGCCTCTCTCCTCTGAGAGCAGGACAGTGTGTTTAGACAGTCCCTGGTAAATGTGAGCAGCCATGAGAAAGGCAGCCTTAAGTGGCTCAAATTAACCTCTTCTATGGATACAGAGTTGAGCTCCATCATTCACTCCCCACGAGAGAAAGATTGCTGTGGCCTTAAGCAGTGGAAGCAGAACTGTTATTATTATTTTTAAGTTGATGCAAAAAAGGACTTCTTTCTCCACTTTGAATATGTTGTCATCTTGGGTGAGGCAAGAGGACCATGTAAGGTGGTGACAAGCACTGTTGGCTTTTTTGGGAGAGCATTGGCTGACTCCATCCACTACTCTGGGGTGACAAGACGGGAAAAACCACGGTTTACCAGGCAGGTGTTGGGATTAAGATACACTTTCATTTTCAAAGCACTTTGCAGTCATTAACTAAGTGCTCACCCCTAATTCTCTTCTAGGTTGAGCTTGGCCATGGTCTCCCCATGCTGTCTCCCTTGCCTCTTCTCTGAGTCTCAAGGAACATGCTGTCACTGGCAGATATAAGAACATCTTGTGCTTTATATATATTTTTAAACCTTACTGGGTTGCTTGTCTAACTCACCCCTCCAGTAGCTTAGTGAGATTAATGCCTCTTTCTAAACTGTGATAACCAAGAGATACTTTCCAGCAAATGCGAATGGGGCTTTAAAGTGCTGCGAGGCAGGATGACAAGATCTTGGGTGAGTTTCAGGTATTACAAAGAACATTTTGATTTCCTTTTCAGAGGAAATGTAGAAGGGCTTTATCAGCGTAGGTAACACTATAGAGCTGAGTGAAATGTAAATGAAATTCCCAGTTTTCATTTTCCCGCTTCATTTGATATTTGTGGGTTTTAGAAGTAGGACCAGCTGGATTCATCTGCAGAAAAAGCCATGTGGCTGCGGAGCTCCTTCCGTTGTTAAGAAGTGTGCCTTTGGGCTAAGGGGAAATGTTCTGAAGGCAGATCTGGATGTGAATTTTGGTTCAGATATTTATTAACCGTGGGACCCTAGGCAAGCTGGTTTCTGAGCTTTGATTTCCTCATCTGTAAAAGGAGGATAATAATGGATACCTCAAAGAGTTATAAAGATCAGAAGTAAAATACATGCAAAGAAGTAGAGAGGGCTGTTTCAAGTCGCTTACTTTTATTTTAACATACAGCTGGTGGGCCAGGAGAGAGTGAAAACAAAGCCACTGGATAGTGAGAGGATAGAGGGTGCTCCACAGACGCGAACTGCATCTTTATGTTTACATAGAAGGGAGAGTGAAGGAGCAAATGTGGGCAACAGCTGTCAGTGACACATCATTACCCCAACAGCCAGAAACAAGATAAGCGCCTTGCAGGGGCCCTTAACTGACTGCTGGGTTCGATGGTTCAAAGAGAAAAAGCACGTGATAACTTTGAAGGAGGCTGCCTGGCTGAGCTGATCGGATCACCTAGAGACTGGAAATGCTTTCTGGGTAAGTATATACATCTCTACTACCCATCTCCCAACCCAGAACTGAGCATTGCAGATGAAAGATACTTGCCTGTTGGTTTTTTTTCTTAGCTGATTGTTTCACTCTCTGTAAAGTTTAACTAAAGTGAGGACATGGGACTGTGGTAGAGAGCTGCCAGTGTCATTCTTGCTCTTCCGAAGTGTGGTCCTGCAGCCACTGGGTTTGAGCTTTCGCATATGCAGGTGGGGGTTTGATTGGGTGATGCTTTGAGTGTCTTTCTGCTCTAGGAGTCGACTTGTCTATGATCCTTGGGCTGTCTCTCGCTTCACTGACACCCACTTACCTAAGTCCTGCCATTCAAATGTATCCATTTTAAACCTTGTTACTAAACAATCGCCAAAGTGAAGGAATTAGCATCAATTCACACACAAATTCGAAAAATATAAATAAATCTGAAAAAATTGGAAGGGAAGAATTCATTCATCTTTTCTCGAATAGCCTTAGAGATGAAGTAAGGGATTCCTAGTTTTCTTACGCTGGGTTCAGAACTTGGCTAATATCAAACACATACAATATTTGATGAAACAAATGAAGATTTCCATTTTCCTGCAGCTGAAGATAAGAATAGCTGTTTTAGAGTTGGCACAGACTTATCATAAGCGGGATCATGGATCTTTTAAAATTTGGGATAGATTTCAAACAATAAAAATCCTAAAAATTCAAAATAAAATTCCCTCAAATTTGCTCATGGCTTTCAACTCTTATAGTACTTTCACAAAGATGATCTTACTGCATTCTCTCTTTTATAATCTCTTCCACTTACCTCATGAGGTTAACAGACCGGGAGTTATACCCATTTTATAGAATGTCGGTACCTGTAGTTAAAAAACAAAACAAAACAAAAAACACATGTCAATTTTATTCCCTATTTTGTTTGTAGTGGTTAGCATAATAAACATGAACGAACATGACAATAACTTTAAAAAATGTATGTGAGTGACTGACTTATCGATGAATTAAAAAACTGAAGTACACACAAAAAGTTAAGTGATATACCCAATATCATTTTGTATAAGTGCCAAGATTTTAGTGAAAGAGACAAAAATGCTGTCTTCTGAAATCAAAGCTCGGAAGATTCCATGATCCTATTGCAACAGCTGTCAGTTTAACAGAACAGTTAAAGAGTTCTGCCATTGTATGAGTCTACTATTGCCCCGAGAATGCTGTGTAACAAAAAAGTTTGGATTCTCAGTGTCTTGTAATGAATATTTGTGTTTCTTAGCTAGCCGTGTGTCTGTGGTTTGGCTGAGGTTCTGCTAATCTTATTGGGCTCGGGCAGGCTTTGTTCCAAGCTCTGTTCAGGCTCAGGGTTGCTCCAGGGGGCTTATTCTGGGGCCCACACTAAAGGGGAAGGGGCTCTCTGGGCCATGTTCTTCTCATGCTGGATTACAGGAGTGCAAGAGGACAAACCAGCCATGACAGCACATTTAAAACCTTTGCTCCTATCAGGTTTGCTTATATTTCCTTGGCCAAAACAAGACACTGGCCAATCCCCTCAATAGTCAGTGGGGCAGCAAAGTGTGCTCTATTCCAATGAGAGAGGGAGGGACTGTTTGATAGATAATAATTCAATTTATCACCACTAGCCTGAAGGGAAGAAATTTAATTGACAAATTCTCAAGCTGTCTGTCAGCTTTGTGATTCTTTAGTTCTTGTATAACACGTTAAAGGGAGCTTAGTCCTTTGTCAGGGGAAACTGTCTAGTCATACCGTGATCAGAATTCAAGGCCAAGCAGGGACCATTGTTTGAGCTGTGGATTCTGCCGTTTGGTATTCACATGTCCCCTAATCATCTTGGAAAGTATAATGTTTTCTAACAGCTGTAAAGACAAGAGATTCTAACATTACAAACTATACATAATATCCACGAAATTACATTGAATAATGTAGTGATGTGTTACACTGTCATTAACACATTATGAATACCTAATTTGAGAGGTTAATGAAATTGACAAACATATGAACACTGTGGGTATCATCAATACCACTTAATGACAAACCTCTCGTTTTCGTTTATAGAATCATCTGAAATGAGAGGATTCCATCTTTCTAGCTGCATTTTCTTGGTCATAAATTAAGAAGGGTCTGCACAATATGTTTTGATTTAATGTGGAGTGCGAGGTTAGAAAGTATTTTACATTGCAGGTTTGTGTGGTAATAATATTTAGAATAAATAAATTTGTGATTATTTGACATGACCATTTGTAGTTTTTTCTGAAAAGGATTGAACTTGCTAAGGGTAAATATATTTTAGATGGACAGATTGAAGAAGAAAGTGTCAGGACCAAGGATTGAAGAAGAAAGTGTCAGGACCAAGGAAAACTGCCCAGGGGAAAATAATTCTCAACAGTATGTTGTATTCCTAGTGAAGGAACCCCCATCCAGTCTGGACTCAACAGTCTGTAGTTTTTCATCTTAAAACTGGGAAGAATGATATGAGGAGGATGTTTTCTTACTCTCCACATCACTGGTTAAGTTTTTTGTTTAATCAATTGTATTTTAAAGCAGTTCAACCTGTCTTAATAGATAAATGAATATCAGTAAAACTCAACCATATTAGAAGGGGCCCGTGTTATTTTCATCTCCAAGGAGGGGCCCATGTTATTTTCATCTCCAATGTAATATTCCTAAAAGAATGGATATAATCTATGTCAACATTTTCATATAAAGTAAAAAATGTGAATACATTTTTTCTTGAGTGTTAATGTTTTCTGTCCATAAATGATAATAATAATAATACAGAAATAATAACAGGGAGGCCTTTTATATTACAGAAAGCACATTATATACATGATCAGATTTGACCTTTTTAGAAATGCAGTGGAGTTACAGAGAAGACGTTGTGATTCCATTTTGCCAATGATGAAATGAGGTCTGGAGAGGCAAAGCGACTTGGTCAAGATATAATGGCCCTGAAGTGGCAAGGTCATGATGTGGTAATTCTGTGCTTTTCTCATTATGCTCCACAGCTTCTCCACCACCAGCCTTCCAGAAGTCATGGCTTTCCGTTAGCCATTTCTAGTGACATATCATCCTCATTAAAAATGATTATCTTTTCTGATTATTAAAATAACAAGTAGTCATTGTAGAAAATTTGAAAATATAGAATAGTGTAAGGAAGAAAATAATAACCGCTCTACTTCTGGAATTTAACTGTGCAGAAATAACACACTAACTTTTAACTCTTTTCTCTCTCTCTCTCTCTCTCTGTGTGTGTGTGTGTGTGTGTGCGCGCGCGCACGCGCGCGCGCGCACGTGTGCCCCATATACATACTTATTGTGTGTTCTGGGCACTTTGCACATATTCAATCAATGCTGTGAAGTCGATACTATTATTATTTCTATTTTATGGATGAAAAGAATTGAGGCTCAGAAAGTCTATGTAACTTGCCCAGGGTACTGTGAGTAGGTCTTTCTTCATGTAAAATATGATTAAGCCTCTCCATGGACTCCGAATGTAAGTGCACATGTGTTCTGTTTAAAACTTTTAAAGTAAACAAGGTGTAATTCCCTCTGGGTTTTATTATAAAAGAAGTTTCTCATCTTTGGCAGCTTCAGACCTCCAAAGATGACTTCACTTCCCCACTCGAGGATTAAAAGAAAGTCATATGCTTCTGTGTGAGGCTACCATAATTGGCCTCTGCTCCACTCCCAGGGGCAAGCGCTGTACCAGGATAAGTCTGTGATGAACTATGCAATGTTAATGAGGACAAATAGACCAATGCTGAGGGATTTCTGAAGGCACAGCCTTCATCAAATGGATAATGGAGAAGAGAGATCCCAAGTCAGTGCTGGAAATCACTTGGAAATTTTAGAATCTTGTCCCATTTTTCAAATCACCTTACTTGGTGGTCTTTTAGAGCTCTATCTTGCGAATTTTCATCTCCATGCAAAACTCATGGAGATCTTATTAAAATACAGGTTCTGACTCATCGGTTTGGGTGGAACCTACTGGGTTGTGAGTTTCTAACTAACTGGCCGATGGGGTTGACACTGCCAGTCTGTGGGCTATTTCTTTGAGAAGCAAGAGTCTGAATCACCCCCTCTTGGAACAGTAGAAATACCATTGCTTGGCTGCCACTGCAGCCATTTGGAAACTTTAAGTAAATTATTTATGCTTGCCACAGAACTCTTTCATTAAATGAAATCTCAAGTGGTACCTGGGTGTGAAGATGAGTCCTTTGGTTGGGGACTTGCCTTGCACCTGTGTTTGCATAGCAAGAATCTTGTTTCTAATTTGTGGATGTGTTCATTTGTGGTGATTGGGTAGGAGATTGTGTAAGTCCAGAGAAGGTAGGGCTAATGTCACCTTGAAGCCCTACTGTGACCCTCTGCTCTATCACTGCCTTCATGGAATCCCAAGACAGAAAGAAGAGCTGGTCCGTTTAAGGAATAATTGGGAGCCCCAAGACCTGCCACTGTGCCCACCTCTCATTTTCCCACCCACAGAAATGGTCCCTGATGTATCCCATGGAAGGAGAGGTGCTGGTGGGTCAACCTGATGCCTCCTGGGTTTTAGCTCAGCTTCGCCCCATGTTATCTGTGTGACCTTGGTCAAGTGATGGAATTATTCATGGGATTCCGGAGAAAGTTAAAAAGATAAGGTGTCTAAAACACTCAACAGACTGGCTGGTCCATATTAAGTACTCAATACGTGTGAACTATTGTCGTGGCTGTTAGGATCATTATTATTACTGCTGTTGTTAGTTTGGGGTCTCTGTGGGCCACTGTTTGAAAGCCTTCAGTGTAGGAGCAAGAATGCAAGATGCTTAATCAGAGGACCTGGGCTCAAGTACCAGTAGCTTGGGCAAGTAGCTCATGTGACGTTGCAGAGCCCTAGTTCTTGTTTCTATAAAATGGGGATAATAGCAGCTACACTGAGAATTGTTGAAGGATTAGATGAGATAATATAGGTGAAAAGCCCATCAAAAGAAATAATGTATCCTCCTAGTCAGTTGTTGGTTTCTAAACAGATGAATTCCTAAAGATTCACCATTTACTCTGAAATATTAAACTTTGTATTGGTGCCCAATTTATGCATCATGTTGATGAGCTCATTTTGAATGACACATAGATCTATTTCCCAGAATGATTGCAACATCTTTCAGGAACCTTTAAAGGTAGATTTTAGCAACTTAAGGAATGATTCAGTCTCCACTACGTAAGCCTGGAGACAGGTATATGCTTGGGGAGGTTCATGGAGGGGTTTGGCTTTTCATGTGATGAACGTGGCTATCTCCACCACTCTATGTCCCTCTGGCTGGCTACCTCATGGAGAATTTCTCAGTAACTAAAGCAGCTTTTCTTCTATTCTCTGGTCTTGAATTTTTTCTACTCACAGGCTTTGTCATTTTAATATTGTCTCCTTCTTTCTAATGTTTTCAAAAACTCTTCCAGCTCATTAAGGAAAGGAAGTTTCTACCACAGAAAACCTGGGGCAAAGAGGCAGGTGTGGACTGTCAGTCTTTGATTGGCAGTAGGAAATCAGAATGTCAGAAAATGCAGAATTTTAGAATCTAAGAATTCCGGGAAAATCAGGACACTCTTTTGTGAAAATCTTCATTGCCACCCCCAAAAATATTTCAGCATAGTGCATAGAATTAGGTGTTTTAAAGAGTAGGTTAAAAACAGTCTTTAATGTTTTTGGAGAGCGTTTTTAGTCTACAGAAGCAGCCAAACCCTTTTATTCAACACAGTCTCAAAGATAAACCAAATATGATAAATTAATCAGAGACTTGTGCTCTGGCTGAGGTTGGGGGGAAGGGGAATGCTTGAAAAGGATGCTTGATGCCCCAAGCCTGTCCCTGAGAGGAACCCCCAGAGCTCTGCGTGCTTCAGTTGAGTAGTGGAACTGAAGACTGCAGATTTCCAAGCAAACAGCAGTGAGTGATGATATGTGAGGCTGCTGTAGACTAGTAGCTTCTAGAATGCACCTCGAATTGATCCTATTCTTGTCCTAAATCAGCACCCACCCTGCAGGTCCAAGCAGGTCCAGCAGGCAGCCCTGAGTCTTTTTTTTTTTTTTTTTTTTTGAGACAGGGTCTTGCTCTGTTGCCTGGGCTGGATTGCAGTGGCAGATCATGGCTCACGATAACCTCTACCTCTTGGGCTCAAGTGATGCTCCCTCCTCAGTCTCCTGACTAGCTGGGACTACAGGTATGCACCGCCATGCCTGGCTAATTATTATATTTTTGGTAGAGAAAGGGTTTCACCATGTTGCCCAGGCTGGTCTCGAACTCCTGGGCTCAAGTGATCCACCGACTTCAGCCTCTCAAAGTGCTGGGATTACAGGCTTGAGCTACTGTGCCTGGCCTGCTCTGAGTCTTTGGAGACAGTCTTATCTGCATTCATTCCTTCTGGTCAAGGTCTCTCTTCCTGACTTGCATTTCTGTAGCTTCTTTTCATTCCTGACCGTGTCCCAACTGCATATCATCATGGATTGAACAGTCTCATCTCTGATCTAGGAAGATATTCCTTTTAATTTATTCCCATTTTTGGTATCAGTAAACTCCACTCTTCTTTGCCCTAGGTTCTGTTAGGTGACTGGGTGTGCACAATGAGAACTTTTAAGAACACCAGGTCAGGAGACTGATCCCAATTCTGAACCTTACAGAATCTGGAGGTAGAAGAGATAAGATGTCAGAACTGCTTTACAGCATTCCAGGAAAATGTTCTTCTAACTCCTGCGTGAAAGCTTCAGTGATGCGAAGCTCACTGCTCACGCGGCCATCTGCCCTTCTCATGATGGTCTCTTGTTGTTCGGGGCCACACATTTCTTCTTGTCCTTCAGGCCCTCAAAGTCCACTTCATAGCCAGTGTCCAGTGACGTCACCCCTCTCGGCCTCACTGTCTTCATTGATCACGTGGTGAAAGGAGCACTGGGTTAATTAGCATGTGTGAAACACCCTGAACGCCATCAGACCCCCAGCTCATTCTCGTTAGTGTCAATCAGGTTGCTGCTGTGGTTGTTGCTATTAGGATAATTGTCATGGCCTCTCTTTCACCTTCTGCCTGGCTTCTTTGGCACCACTTGGCTTCATTATACCACTTGCTGGTTCTCAGACACACCATGCACCCCACACAGCACCCCGGTCCTACAGTGGCTCCTCTACAGGATGCCCAGGGCACCCTCCTTTCCAGCATTCCTGCCCTCACCATGTTCCCTCTCTCCTGAAAACCTTGACTCACCCTCTGGAGCTCAGCTACAACCCAAGTTCCCCAGGACACCCCTAACCTCATATGGGAGCCTGATGCCTGGGGCTTAGGGCCAGCCTCTGCTACTAGCAACCCTCTGATATTGAAAAATGTACTCACCTTCCTTGTTCTTATTCTTAAAACAGAGATAATGCATTTATTGCAGGTTGTTGTAAATATTAAATGAAATGAGATATTTAAGTTGTGTGTTGGATAACACATCAGCCAATCCCTCTTTCAAACACATTTTTCTACCTGATCCTCACAGCCGCGTGGGAGGCAGGGATCTTTTCTTTGCAGGTGGAAACACTCAGCTTTGGGAGTGGCAGGTCCAAGACTACCCAGTTCCTGAGGGCTTCATTCAAACTTGAACCTAGGACTTCGGAATTTACAACTTTTGTGTTATCCACTGAAAATTTGCAAAATTATTGCTGATGGATCTAGTAGGGTCTCAAAAAAAAATCCTCAAATTAAATCAATTAGATCAAACAGAACTCTGTGATATTCTGATTTTTAATTCTTATTTATTTATTTGCATTTATGTTGGGTTTCGATTGCAAGATTCTCTGGAGAAAGCAACTATAATTTTATTATGAAGTGATATGGTTTGGCTCTGTGTCCCCACCCAAATCTCATCCGGAATTGTAATCCCACATGTCAAGGGAGGGGCCTGGTGGGAGGTGATTGAATCATGTGGGCAGTTTCCTCTGTGCTGTTCTTGTAGTGAGGGAGTTCTCACAAGATCTGATGGTTTTAAAGTGGCAGTTTCCCCTGCTCACTCCCTCTCTTGCCTGCTGCCATGTAAGACTTGCCTTGCTCCCCCTTCTGCCATGATGGTTAAGTTTCCTGAGGTCTCCCCAGCCAAGTGGAACTGTGAATTAATGAAACCTCTTTTGTTTATAAATTACCCACTCTCAGACATTTCTTTATAGCAGTGTGAAAATGGACTAATGCATGAAGGAATAGATGTATATAGAACAGAAGTTGCTTTCTTGTTGCTGGGCACCAAAATGGATTTTCTAGGATGTTTGGCTTTTGGGGGGCCTGAGAGCCCCCCAAAACAGGCATTTAAAAGCTTAAAAGCAAAGTAGCCTCTTCTGACATAGCTATGATGGTTTCTGTCACCCAGGGTCTGTGCATGGGAATAACAATACATAGCTCACATTGAAAAAGTGCTTGAGGGTTCACAGAATGTTTTTTTCAGCCCTACACTTTAGTTGATGCAAGCCAGCCAGCAGCCCTGTGAAGCTGTGTGAGTGTGAGACTTACTACCTCCAGCCCAGCCTTCCCATGCTGGCTGTCCTGCTAAGCCCAGTGGGTGTGGCCTGTGCCTGGGTCTGCTGCTGTTACTCACCCCTCACTTCTGAAGCCACATCAAGCGTACTTCTGTCTTGAAGACTGCGGATCCGCCTTGAACAGGAGCCAGCTCTCATCGTGTCATTCCTGACAGATTTCTTAATTAATCTGCTCAGATTGTCAATAATGTAATTCACTGTTGATTTAGAAACTAGTTATATGAGGACTGCTAGGGCCATTGTGGGAAAACATCTGAATAATTCAGCTAATAGATGGGAAACTCACCCAGATCGCCAGGGCACAGGGAGAGAGCAGCTAATTCGAACGGGATGAGCTCAAGTAGGGTGATTCCAGCAAATTCCAGGGAGCAGGGAGAGGTTGTCATATTGCTAGGGGCAGCAGCTGCCTGGTTTAATTATTGTCATTTTGGTTTTTGGAAAAAAGCACATGGGCCCACACTTGCAGGCAGAGGCCATTAACACACTCTTGAAAAAGAGTGGAATTTTCAGTGTAAAGTACATGATGTGGCTGATTCTACCTCCGAGCTGTGCTCACATGTTAGTGGGGCTTATTCTAGGCAGATCATATTTATAATTTCAAATAATATGACTATAATTTGAAATTTGTGAGTTTAGTAATAAGTAACATCAGAGAAATATCAAAATGACCTTTCCCCCACTGGGAGATTCATAGTTGTTTGGGTTTTTCCCAGGATTGTGTAGATGTCTTGAGATTATGGTAATCATATCATCCTTTTTATACTTGGGGCCATGGTAGAAAATGCAGTTTATAGATGGGTGAGTCTAATGATGCGAAGAGTCTTACATAAACATAAAAACTCAATTCTATTTAGTTATATACTTAACATTTTGTTTTTATTGGAAATAATAAAATTATATGGAGTTGAGCTATTATACTAAATTTTTTGCTATGGAGGCTAGAGTTTTCACAACCCTTAAGTGCAGATAAGTTAGTGCTTAGATGTAAATGTTAAGAATCATGGTACTTTGGGAGGAAATGTTAATTTGGTTGCATTTATCTGCAGCGTCCCATGCTTTTCTTCTGTTTCTCTATCTTTCCTTCTCCATCTTCCAACATCCTCACATGCACAAGAGCACAGGTATGCACACACACACACGCACACGCATTGCCCTGTTGGCCACCTCTCTCCCAAATTTCTATCCTGAAGACCTTCAAAAAGAAAAAGACTAGCCATATCCAATTCCAATATTTTGACCCTGGTACAATTCTAGCACAGGAGAGTCGTCCTGCTTGAGGCGTCTTGCCTTATCTCTTAACCACATAATGGCTGATTTTATGTCTGAACTAGATTGGAAACTTTAGGGGACAGAATTGGCTTTTGGAAGCTTAGCAAACAGAGCTTCAGCAAATAATTTGTGAGTGAATCAGTGAAAGAATCACAAATGCACTGTCTGTGAATGAGCTCCGGGTTTCAGATGAATGTGCCCGCTATGGACCCTAGCGTGACATGGGCATGGCAGCACTGAGGATCAGGTGCGGGTGCACATCACAGAACACCTCACGAACACAGGCTCTGATGACACAAAGGCTAGTTCACTCTCTCTGTGAAGCTGTGGATGGCTGGGTGACCGTGGCATGGTCACCCCTACTCAGGCCCCTCCTGTCTTATTCTTCAACTATCTTAGCTCATGGCTTGCTTATATCTCAAGGTTATCTCATGGTCAAGATATTTGTGGGTGTTCTAGATATCACATCCATATTTCAGAGAGCAGAAAAGAGGAAGAGGGAAAAGAGTGCCACTCCCTTCCCTTCTGCTTTCATGAGGCAGCCCCCGCCTTGCCATTTCACCCCCACATATACATTTCATCTTGCACAGCCTTTGCCAGAGCTCAGATGGCCACACCCAGCCAGAGAGAGGGTGGTAAATGTAGTCTTTCCAGTGGAACATCCGTAACATTGAATAACATATGCCATGTTCTAGGGAGGCAGAGGGACTGGCTATTTGAAGATATTTTGCAGGATATGTCATAATACGTAACCTATTCCTAGCAATAGTACATGCTTTAAAACAAGCAATTATGATAGCTTTAATGAAACCACAGATAAATAATTCCCATATTTTATAGAGTGCTCAGGTATTTTGAATTGAGAAAATGATTTGAAAAAAAGTATTGTGTACTGATGCCCTAGACTAGAGAGCCTCTATCTGTCACTGTCCCTGTATAAATTCTCAGCTGTACTCAGGAAGACTAAGTGGTGATAAATGCCTCAGTTGTGGGCTGGTACTGTGGCAGGTCCCTGAGTTTTCTAGCATTGGCTATTGGATTAATGGTTTGTCTTTTATTGAGCAATAGTTTGTTGTGATTTAAGGGTGCCATGCTTACATTCTCTTATCATGTATTCCCTGGGAATCTAATTTGTAAATAATTACTTGACAGAAACTGAACTGGCTGGAAAATTCTGAGTATGCAGAGGCAGAGGCAGGCCCCTGGGAGGGGACTTCAGCTGAAAGGCTGAGCACCTGAATGGTCTGACCACAATTTCTCATCTCAGCAGTTAGCAGCTAATAAGGTCCCCTGTTAAAAAAAAAACAAAAAAACCAAATTCTCAGGCTCCAGAAGCAATGGACACGCTTAGCTGGTCATTAGCAGCCGTGGCTAGAGCAGCTGGCTTAGGTGGAGTGCTGATGAAATGATTTTCCCTTTCACCTCTTCACACCAGAGAATGTGGGGAGGACAGTGTTGTTCTCTCTGTATACAGAGCCAGGGGGTCTAGGGCAGGAGGGTTGCTATGGACTGAATGTCTGTGTCTCTGCAATTCCTATGCTAAAGCCCTAACCGCCTGTGTGGCTGTATTTGGAGATGGGGCCTCTAAGGAAGTAATTAAGGTTAAATGAGTCATAAGGGTGGGGCCTTGACTTAATCGGATTTGTGTCTTTACAAGAAGAGATAGCAGAGAGCTCCCTGCCTCTCAGTTTAGGTGCACATTTCTGGCCATGTGGAGACATAGCCAGCGGGTGGCCGTCACCAGAAACCAAACCTGCTGGACTTTGACTTTGGACTTCCAACCTCCAAAACTGTGAGGAATAGGTTTCTGGCCTCCTCACCTGCTCTCCCTCAGCAGGCGGGCCCACGTCTTCTGCCTTCCATGGGCCACTCATTCTCTGAATTTTCCATTTCAGCAGTGCCTGATCCTCTACTGGGTGTTCAACACTGGCTGCATTTATGGAGACCACAGACAAAAGATGGAAACAGCCTCCACCGGCATGGGGATCAGGCATGGGGCAAACACAGGAGACAAAACAGGTATTAGTTAACTCGTATTTAACACTGACAATACACCCATGTTCAAGGCACTCAATCCACATGAAATCATTCAAGGCTCAAAATAACCCTCCGAGGGAGGAGGGAGAGGCTGCTGCTGTCCTCATTCTACAGGGAAAGAAAGAGGCTTAGGGGTGTGACGTGGCTTTTCAGAGGACACAAAGCCAGTGAATGGCAGAGCCAGGGGTCACACCTGGACTGTCTGCATCAGGGCCCGCGCTGAGCCAGGTGCCATAAAACCATCTCACCAACATGTAGCTGACAGGTGCTTCTGTGGCTAGAGCCCAGGACCCCACCAGCACACAGAGGAGGCACCACCTCTGATCTCAGGGGCCAACCAGTATCTCCCAGGGGAAGTCAAATCTAAGTGAAGATCTGAAAGGACAGGCAGGAGCTTGCCTCTCATAAAGAATGAGAGAAGGGACTTCCAGACATCTGGGGCAGGGGAGTCCTGGGGTCCTGTGAATGTAGAGAGCAGGAGGTGGGGCTGGGAGGACTCAGGGCATGGGCAGGGGTCCACACCACGGGGAGAATGAAAAAACACAGAGAACCATCACAGGGTTCAATCAGGGGAATGGTGGGGTCACATTTGCCTTTTAGAAAGATTCCCACAGCTACCCTGTGGAGAATGGGTTGGAAGCAGGGTACAATGGGAGGAGTAGCCACTGCTTTTGAGGCAGGGAGACCGAGCAGAAGGATAGAGTCGCATTCCTGCAGATGCGATGGTAGCTCAAACCACAGCTGTAGAGGTGAGTGAAGAAATAGCCCGGAGTGTGCGAGCTGGCTTGTGTCAGTTTGTGAGAGCTGATTATTACACTTTGAGGAACCTGGGAAGCTGGTTATTAAACACAGCCATTATTAAACATTAAATTTTAAAAATTTACAACAAAACGGTAGCAAAAACAAAGGTGATAAATACTCAGATTCATCACTTCCTAATGATTTTGCTATGATCTATTTTCCTGAAGGTATTCTATGCCCCTCCTGTCTGTAGGGTGACATACTATATCACGGTGGCCACTGCCTGTCTCTTCCCAACTCTGCGTTCAGTGAAGTCACGTTGGTCTCCATTGGTAACTTAAAATTTGCTATTCTTAGGTGGGAGTGTTTACAACAAGGAAATTGGCAAACATTGAAAATCAAGTTTTATTTTTTTCAACTGAGCACACCTCTGGATAAGCCACTGCATTCTAGAGATAGAGCACATGGAGGAACCCCATTTATCCTTCCAGGATCCATCCCAGAAGCCTCCTCTAGCCTCAGCCAATAGCCTCTCTGCCCTCCGGAGCCTCCTAACCTGTCCTGCACTTCCCTCTCAACACTGTGGCTGGTGTCAGCCTTTCCTTTCCTTCTGCAGAGTTCTTGATGGCAGGAACTGTGCCTCATTCATCTCTAGAATAGAGGTAGCGTGGATTTGGGGCTCCTTATGCCTCTTTGAAATGAGTGGGCAAGTGACCGAGGGAGTGAGATGGCTTTGCTTTTCGACCTTTGTCTCTGTTCTGCCTTTTTGGGAGCCCTCTCTCACTTACTGGCTAGGACACTTAGATCATGATAAACCCTGAGCTGCTTTCGGCCTCTGAAGCAGCCTGGTGGCTGATGTGATGTTTTACATAAATGTCTGTACAGTTTGATGCCAAAATGTCTACTGAGAAACTACTTCAAAGGGGCTACTTTTGAAAGAAACTACTTTGAAAACGACCTGATAGTTAGCTGGGCCAAGGAAAATGTACCCACTAGCAAGGACCAATACTTCAAACGCATTCTGAAGGACAATTTAAAAGGAGCATCACGTGCCTGGATCACCTTGGGGGAAGTTGTCTTTGAAACTGATCTAAATCAAGGGCAATAGGGCACAAGGACATCAGATTTGTTTGAAGAAAACAGCATCCTGTTAGTCTTGGAAAATAATTGCACAAAGCCACCAGAGTGCCACTTCCTCCCCTCCTCCCACACACCCTCCCGCCACACCAGCCTCTGTGCATCAGGGACCTTTCCAGGCCCGTTTCTGCCTTGGGTGTCACTTTGGTTAACCATTTGAGGGCAAATACTCGGAACGTTGATAAGAGGGTTAGTTAGAAAGACACCCCACTTCTCCTGTTTACTTGTGGGTCACCCTCCTTCTCTGGGGCCCACTCCCCCAGGCTTGTCTTGGTAATTTTTTAGACCCCAGAGGTCAAGAGATCTGAGCTCAAGGATAGGTCACCCCCTCCCATGAGAGCCACGCTTTTGCCGCCATCTGTAAAGTTAAGCTGCTCAGTCCACTTGCCTGTGTCTCGGAGCTGCCGAGAAGTTGGAGGAGTAAATTATGGGAAGCCACCAGGGTGCTGAGCTGGGGTGCTAGTCATTCTCCACGCCGCTTCTAGTTTAAGTCCCCTTGTATTTTAAAGGAGGAACCCTAGTCCCAGCCACAGTGGGCAGCTTGACCAGGCCACACACAGCCACTTTACTGCAGGACTCAGGAGTGGGATCCCGTGCCCTTCTGCTCTAAACTACATCTGCCTTTCTCAGCAACTCTTAGTTGTTAGCCCTGTGTCAGATAAGTAATCTAACAACCAGAAATGATTGCCACCCATTTCGCTATAAATTTCTATCCAGGGAATGCAGACATACCCAGCCACCCCCACCCCATTGCCACCACACGCTCTCTGCCACTTGGTTTCAGATGGAGTAAAAGTCCCCCTCTTTTAACATAGCCATGTTAACCAGGTGACTGTTCTCTCCCTGTCAGCATTTAATATACAGCACTATAAAATCAGAATGCATATGCCCCCCTTTCTATAACTATATGTTAATATATAAATAATATTAACAATTGTGATAGCAACAACATATATAGCACTGACTATGTGCCAGGGCTTATTCAAAGTGACTTGCATATATTACCTCTTGTAATCCTGACAATTCTGTTAGGTAGATACTATGATTATCCCATTTTCATGTGAGGAAACTGAGATACAGAGAGGTTAAGTAATCTGCCCAAGGTCTCATAGCTAGTAATTGACAGAGCCAGAATTGAACACAAGCAGTCCAGTTTCAAAATCTATGTATATGTGGACACATATGCTTTACAGTGTGAAATACTCAAGACCCCTTGTGTTCTGGGTGTTAGGGTGAAAGAAAGGATTGTCAGGGCTCTGATGTGCTAACTTCAGACTCTATCCCACTGTACTGTCATAGGCCTGACCTCAGACGTGGTAAGTTGTCCCAGGAGGCTGGAACAAGACAGAGCAGATCAGGCACAGACATCCTGCCCTGGCCCTGGCCGGGGCTTCAGTCCCCTGCCGGGCCTCCCCACCTCCTAGGTTCCTGCTGCAGCTTCTTCCTTCACACTCTGGCCGTCTCTGCAGCTGTGTCAATGTCCTGTTCCCTCTGCACACTGAGCATGCCGGATCTTGTTGGCTGTCCTAGAGGGTCTGGCCTGACACAGATCACAGCTTTCCTTTTTAGAACACTGCTGCCTTCTCCCGGGTCACCAGTCTTGTCAGCTTCTCAGCTCTTTCCCAGGGGAAGCTGATCATTTACAGGACAGGACCTTCCAAAGCATGACCCGGTGGACCAGAAGTGACCCTCATCAGCACTTGCTGCCTTGTTTCCATGCTGGGTCATTTAGCTGGGGGACCAAAGACATAGACACAGAACTCAGAATTGCAATGCACTCCAGTAAGTTCTAGAAGGGTGCCTGCCTCTTGAGAGGAGGCAAAGCTTGAGAACATCCCTGTCTTCCCGCCACCCTGTGAGTCCCACTGTCCCCTCAGTCTAGCAACAGAGTTGGCCCTCAGTAAGAGTTTATTGGATAAATGTATTCCTGGGTCATCCCCACCTTCCCAGTTTTGCTCATTCATTTGTTCACTCATTCAGTTAGTCTTTTGTTGAACTCGTGTTGTGTGCCAACTGTGTGCTAAGTACAGAAAATACAGACACCAACTTTTAGCCTCAAAGAAACTTCATTCCAATAGGGGAGATGCGAATGTACACAGATCATCATCTTGCAATGAGGTGAACGCAGCAATGCAGACAAGACAGGCATTCAGGAGAGCCAGGCCTGGTGGCAGGGAAGGGCATGGTATGTGGGGGGTAGAGGAGGGGTCAGGGAAGACCCCGCCCAGGAGGAGAGAGAACTGAGAAGTCGCCCTGAGGCAGAAGAGCCAGACAGCAGGGCCCTGAGGTCGGCAGGAGATGCACCCTGAGTCTGCAGGCCGCCTTTCCATGACCGTGCTGCCTGATTTCCCACCAAAGCTTCTTGCTTTGGCTTCTGGGAGATCCTTTGGGATCACTCGGTCGAGAGGGAGGAACAGACCTCCGGAGGTTGACCACCTGTGTCCCTTCCTTTCTCTCCCTTCTTTCTACCGTTCTTTTCACTTGTTGGCAACATTCAAGTGGTCTCAGGAAAGTGGAGCTGCTTCTCCACCCAGAGCCCCCCCCAGAGCCTACGTTCCAATGACTGTAATGGATTCTAAAGGCTTCCCCAAATAAAGGCCATTTCACTACCTGTGAGCTTTGATAAGCGCAGGTTCTTCTAAGGCAACGTGGGCCTTTAGTGCAAGTTTCAAATGCAATCCTCAGACAAGACCATTTAAAAAGGCCTTTAAAATGCAGATAGCCTCCAGAATAGGTTTCAGGCTCCATGTAAATCAGAAGGCACTTGGAAACAGGGAAGCCAGCCTCCATACATCCACCCACGCACCGACAAGGCCCAGAGCCAGCACGTAAGCCTGAAGGGTTGCCTGTGTCTTTAAACTCCAATTACTTGGATGGGCAGGAGCTCAGGTGAGTCACTTCTGAAGCTGAGTCCTTGGGTAACAATCCCACATAGAAGATAAAACCAAATTGGACTTGGATTTCACACTTGATCCAGACTCTTGATTTTATTAAGGAAGCTGAGGCTGGTGGAAGTTAAAAGAAGTTTCGAAGTTAAAGCAACTAGTGAGCGGCAAAATGAGGACTCAGTGCCTTGCCTCACAACCAGGGTTTTCGCCACTACCTTACTTTCAGTTCTCGGCTCACTACAACCTCTGCCTCCTGGGTTCAAGCAATTCTCCTGCCTCAGCCTCCTGAGTAGCTGAGATTACAGGTGCCTGCCACCACACCCAGCTAATTTTTGTACTTTCAGTAGAGACAGGGTTTCGCCATGTTGGCCAGGCTGGTCTCGAACTCCTGACCCCAGGTGATTCGCCTCCCAAAGTGCTGGAATTACAGGTGTGAGCCACCGCGCCTGACCCAGAGCGAACTTTTAATGTAATTTACCAACACTTACGATCACCTCTGTGCCAATCATCGCACTAGGTGTTGTGGGGCTACACTTATATGCCAATCATCGCACTAGGTGTTGCGGGGCTACACCAACAAGGAGTGTAGGGCCTTGGCCTGTAAACATATTACTACAGTCTAGTAGGGGATGAAGGTTCCCATGTATTAAATTGACACACAGCGCTGAGTGGCATCATCACTAAACAGAGAGGTACAGGTAGCTGCACACTCCAAAATGTTCCTTTGAAAAAGAGAATTGAAGCCAGGGCAAACATATCATGCTGAGTGATGGGTACAGAGGGAGTAGGGAGTTCCTGGTAAACATTGTCTCTGGAAATATACCAGAATGAATCACTCTTTTAATATCATTATTCCAGCGATACCTTTGACAATTATTATTTAATTTTGTTTCTAAATCAAACAAAAGTTTTGAGTTGCTTTCTCTTCTCCTTTCTCATTTTCTTAGAATGAGCAGTGCTGTGTAAGATAGTGAGTGTGCACACATATACACACACACGCATTTGGAGTTTTTCTTTCCAACAGAGAGAATTCTGCGCTATAAACTCTCCTTCAGTTAGATTATATACAAGTGTTGACTTTCAATTCATACCTCTGATATGAGTCATTGAGTGCTCTGATTCTTAGTTTATTTGTGCTGCTTTCAGTAAAATGGATTGAATGTGGGGTTATCCAACCATGGTGTGGTGCCTTGCTGCCTCTGACACGGGGCTGATGAGATCTGAGTGCTTGGCACTATCTTACAGGAATGTCAAAATCAGATTTGGTCGGTAGCCAGCTTTCTACCTTCTCTGGAACATGGAGAGAACATCTGGGAAAAAGCTCAACTTATTACCCACAGCCCCAGACATTCCCATACCACCTCATCTCTCAGAACCTGACTCCACCCTGCTAACTGGCCTTGTGTACCGCTTCCATAGCTGACCATGGTCACGAACCTGCTTTAACATCTTATCTTTGTCTTAGAGGCGTTATACAGAATCATGGCTCAATTTTTCAAAGCTCACAACAAAACCACAATATCTATTTCTAAATTAAAAATTCAGATTTCCAGACTTCCCTAGCTACTGTATCTTCTCCCTCTCTTTTGGAGAAATTGTCTTTCAACATCTCCTCCAGAGTTGAGAGTTTTAAACCCATCCTCCGGGACAGGCTTCAGGGGTTCTCTGAATCCTCTTTCACATTCTGTGTAAACTTCTCTGTGTTTATGAGCCTTTGTCTATATTTCTGGAGGGAAGGCCCACCTGTTTATCAGATACTCATAGTGACCCTAAGGCCTCTCATGGGTTAAAAAATCTGTTACAGAGATTTCCCATGATTTTGAAGGCAGAAAGGATCTGAGATAGTGCTTAATTGAAACTCTCATTTCACATACAGGGAAACTGAGGCCCATAGAGATATAATTCTTTTTCTCAGACCAGTGCAACAAGGTAGTGACATCATAGCATGGGAGTCCAGAAGCAAAAATTTGATATTTTTTAAACTTGTAAATACCTTCCATTGTTCCTCATCTCACCTAAGATTGGATTCTGGGAAGCCTGGTAATTTGTGCACAGGGAGTAAGGAGGTTAGATGACTGTCTTTTGGAAGAACTGTTTTTCTCCTTTGCTTTTTTGGTAATTTACTCTGAAAGCTGGTAGGTATTTTATTTCCAGACTTGTTCAGAAAATCCTGTTCACGCTGTTAAAGTCTTTGCCCATGCAAATACCCAGTGCTGTTCTTGGCCAGCAGGAACCGTCACACTGGGACGTTGCTCCATTGTGCGTGTGTGCACGTTTCCAGGCATGTGCGCAAGTGTGCACTTGGTAATGCAATTGCAAAGCAAACTGCAAATGCCCATAATAGGAATCAAGAGAAAAGTCTCAAGTTAGACTTTTGTTTAACACTTGGCTTCCTAGAAGTTTGTAAAGAAGGTGTCTGTTTAGGGAAAGCCTTATTAAGCCTGGATGGTTGCCCTTAGCAAATGAAAGTGTTGACTAAACCTTGCTCTCTGTTGTGAAATGTAAGTCTAGTGAAATTCAAACACATTGTAAATTTACTAATCAGCTGTAATCAAAGTAGAGGGATATAAATACTCCCAGAGGGTGGCTCCCTGTGAGGACAACTGATGAGGTGACTTGGGAGGCCGTGGGTGGCTCTTAGGAGAGTTAAGGATGTCCATGGCCATCCCTGCTCCAGCATGAGCCTGTGTTTGTATGAAAGCACAGACTCCAAAACATCCTAGAAGATAGCTGAGAGAACACCTAGAATGAAACTTGTATTTTACCAGAAAACTAAGCCAAGGTCCCTAGAGAAATGGCTTTGCTTAGGCTTCACACTGTGGCTCAATGGCAGGTCAGAGACGAGGGCCCCACACCTCGGTGTCTAGCCAGGGATCTGGCCCTAGCACCGTGTTGCTGAGTCATGTCGGGCTGCCTAGGGGATGTCGCAGAAGGAGCTCCTGGAGGACACATGCGTTCATCATCTGCTCAAAACTGCACAGCAGGTGAATGGTGACATTGACACATCAGAAAAATAACAGACTGCTTGGAGGGCGACGTGCTAAGCACTTAACGGGAATTATCTTAGTAAGTCTTTACGCCACTGTGATGAAGTAGGTAGCGTTCTCATAATTGCCATTTTACAGATGAGGACACTGAGGTTCTGGGAGGTTAAGAAACTTGCCCAAATGATGTAGTAGGTGGCCAAGCTGGAATTCCAAAGCAAGGATTTGTAAAGATTATGCTAATCAAAACTCCCACTGCCCTTGTCTGTTTTTGTTCTTCCCCTAAAGCATACCTACGTTTTCTTGTCTCAGGGAGCATGATGTGTGAAGGACTTTGGTTCTCATTGGCCAGAGACACCGAGTCCATCTCAGTCTGAAGTCCTGGGATCTGAGATTCCCTGAGTGTGTGGATTCCCTGCTAGGCAGGATGCAGTTTGACTGACGAGTTCCTTTTCTTTTATTTTCTTCTATTTAGCGACTTGCTTTTCCTGATATCCTCTTTTAGGAGGCTGTTAGGCCCCTGGGCCAGAGGCCTTTTATAGCACCCAAAAAATTGCCTTGTAGCAATCTGACAATTTTTTATAATAATTTGGGTCTTATTTCTAAATACAGTAACAATTTGGGGTCTTTTGTGTTATTTTTGTGTTTTGGCTCACCATCATTCAGTTTGGATTTTGTTGTGTGAAGTTCCCCAACTCCTGGCCTATTTCCATCCACCCTTTTATTCATGGGATAAATAGTAACTGTGTACCTACCCCCAGAACCTCCTATGACAAGGCACCCTAGGGCTCAGAGTAAGTTGTCTTCCCCCCCCCCTTTTTTTGACTATTGATAACACAAATAAAGCTGCAATAACTATCTTGGTTGAGACACAGCTTTCTAAATGCTTGTCGATAGCTTGCTGGTGTACGACCTTAGTTTTTACCGCGTCCCTGCCTTGACCACCCATCCTGCCCTCAAGAGGACACAGGGCTCCTCTCTGGGAAGATCCAGGGTTGGCAGAAAGGAAAGATTTCCTTCTTGACTTGTGATATGGCCTCTGTGCCAGGCCCTGTGCTAGGCCCTGGGAATGGAGTGGGGAGCGAGGCTCAGCCCTGTCCTCTGGACAGCCTGGACTGGCTCTCTGCATCTTACATTTGATTTTTAACAACAGTAGGAGAGGATGAACGCTGGAGAGGAACAGAAACCAGAGATCTGGGCTTGCAGCCCTCCCTGTTAACCTCGACACGGCCCCCTGTGTCCTCTTGGTTTCCTGTCCCTCACCACAAGAAGCAGTGTTCAAATCGGTTTCTAGATGGCTCCGATGTGGCCACGTTTGGGTGGGTCTGGTGCATGTTGGCTCAGCTGGGAACATGCCAGTGTTTGGGGGTTGTTGTTGTGCAAGCCTGAGGGCCGGCTCACTGCACGAGGTCAGGGTGTCCTGGTGGGCCTTGTTCTGCTTTGTGATGACAGCAGCCCTCCAAGACGGTCAAGCTTGACCATATAAATTACCGTATAAATAACCATGATGGGTATGAATGACTCACTTAATGATTTCATTTCTGTATTTCACACCTTTTGGTGCTACCATGCTATGCATTGAGGGTCCAGGATGTGTAAGGCACTAGCACAGCACCTGAGATATTTTTGAGTGGTGGGGCAGAGAATGTGGTACAAAAAGATGAATGAGGCTGGATGCAGTGGCTCACGCCTGTAATCACAGTGCTTTGGGAGGCTGAGTGGGGAGTATTGCTTGAGGCCAGGAGTTTGAGACAGCACTGAGGGTCCAGGATGTGTAAGGCACTAGTACAGCACCTGAGATATTTCTGAGTGGTGGGACAGAGAATATGGTACAAAAAGATGAATGAGACTGGATGCAGTGGCTCACGCCTGTAATCACAGTGCTTTGGGAGGCTGAGGGGGGAGGATCGCTTGAGGCCAGGAGTTTGAGACCAGCCTGGTCAACACAGCAAGATTCTGTTTCTTACATTAAAAACAGCAACAACAACAACAACAACAACAACAACAAACAACCACCCATGAACAAGATCTAAGGAGTGCAGGGAAGGCAGTGGGTGCCTCTCAGCACACAGTGAGGCTGGTGCGCTGAGAGGTTTCCCCTCATTGGGATTTCTTTGTTCTCTTTGCTATTCCTCCCATTCAAGCAACCCTTTCTCTGCTCTTCCCTAGGTAAGGGGTGTGAGAGCAGAAAGACAAGCAGTCCTCTTTCGGCTGCAGTGACCATTGGGGTGCTCTGCCCAGGTCTCCCCGCTAGCTGCAGTGACAGTTGATGATGGCCATGGCAGAGCCCGCACTGGATGCCCCCTCCTGCTGCAGGGAATGGCCTCTTTTCAGGTCATATCCCCCAGGTTCTGAAACTGACCGAGGAAGGAACGCAAAGGCTCGGCCCTCTTGCCTCAACTTGGGACAACTCTGATGGGCCGTCCCAGCTCGAGAGCGCCACTTAGGATTGGCTGGGGGTGGCTCCAAGTGTAGCCTCGTTGCAGCCAGCTTCAGCTTCTGCAGCATCCTGCCTTTCTCACTTCTTTACAGGAGAATCTCCCGAGAACACCCTCTGATCAGCACTCTGCATGCAATTTCCATCTCAGACTCTGTTTCTAGGAAGACTTTCAGGCAGCTGACACTGGACGTGGTTGTGAGTTGCAGGCCCTAATGAAAAATTGGAGAGGAAGCAGGTGGCCGGCTGATGAAATGATAACCAGAAGGCCTGTGGGCTTGGGTGGCTGAGGCTGAGGCTACTGAGTGTTGAAGAGAGAGAGGCAGAGGCGCAGGATGACTCATCACTGGTTTCAGGCAAACTGTGAAAGCCAGAGCACTTCCTTGGCAGCATTTAAGAAAACCCCGATGATCTGCAGCTGGAAGGCAGGTTGGCTGGAGGACCAGTCTGAACCCTGAGTAGGTTAAGTTCTCAGTCCTTCAGACACAGGGCTCTAATGGGAAAGAGGTGAGACCCTTACACTTAGGGTGGGAGCCCTGGACAGTTGGGAACCCTGAACACTTACATGCCCCTGAGTCCCCTGGGCCTGCAGAAATGGCCTATTTCTCATGTCATGTAGAAGATTGTAGACTGCTTGAACCTGGGAGGCGGAGCTTGCAGTGAGCCCAGATTGCACCATTGCACTCCAGCCTGGGCAACAGAGCGAGACTCGGTCAAAAAAAAAAAAAAAAAAAAGCAAGACTTTCCTTTTCTGAAGATCATACAGAGGTCTCAAATGAGGTAGGTATCATACAAGACAATGCTTGACCCATCAGGATCTACCCTCATCTTTCCTGTTGGCAAAACCAAAGAATAACAAGAACCAAATCTCAGCACAGCCCGACTGGGGATGAGCTGGGCTGGCTTGGCCAAAAGGGGATATCAGGTGAAGGAGCTGTGGGGTCGAGCTAATATGTTGCAGAGGACCTGGGAATATATTCATGGGATTGGATCAAAGAGTGTAGATATAAAATCGAATAAGGTTGAGTTTATTGAGAGGGAGCAATCTAGGTGGTACAGGATTAAGCATCTTGGTCAAGATCCCTGGAGAGAATGCTAAGACTCAACTCAGATGTTGCTTAAAAGCCTAGAGAAAGCAGTGACCCACACTCAGGCAGATGGTGGAGAGAGGGACCAAATGGCTCAGAGAAGTGGCCATGCTGGAGTGGACATGCTAGCATCCATGGTGCTGACTATCTTCACGAGATGGCCTGGAGGACTTCCCATGTACAAAGGAATGCACTGGTGAGAGTGGCCCCAAAGTCACTGAGCTCAGGAATGGCTGTGCTCTATGTGCCAGAGCTGATGACAGATGATGAAATCACAGAACTGGCTCCTGGTAGCAACGGGGATGACAGGATCCTGGGATTACAAAGGCCAGGTGGTATGCTCACCATTGGATGCAAGGCAGAGGCCATGATCACAATGAGAGGCAAGATCAGTGGGGCACCCAGGGGGTTCCTGCCCTGCAGAGAGCTCTCAATAGGCTCATTGTTTTAGGAAGGAGATAGATGGGCACCCAACAAGGGCAATGCTTAATTTCTACAAGAAAGCACGTGTGGATTACCAGGAGGTACAAAAGTCAGGATCTTTTGCCTAGTTTCTTGAATGGAGCTAATTCTCAGCCCCAGAATCTGTTGACTGAAGGAGGAGCAGAGCTCTTCCCAGGAAGGATGGTACCATATTACAGCAGGTGCATTCAGCAATAATTCCCCCACTTCTCTCCTAAAGGTATCTAGGACATTTATTTAGGCAAATGCACACTGGGGAAAGACGAATGCCTTAGCTTTTCAAGGACTATTAAGCTAACATTGATATTTGGAGACCCAAGATGCTACCATAGCCCTCCTATTAGACTGGAGACCAGGAAGGCAGGTAATAAATGGAATCTTTTTTCAAGCCTAGCTCACATTCTTCATTTCCCTGGTTCTCTAGTATAATAGGAGTGAATGGCAGGTTCATTGGCAGAACCTGCACGTTGGCTCCTTGGCCTAGAATAAAAGATGTTGTAGTGGGGTAGGCCTCTTCCCCTACGAGATCGTAAACCACAGATATGACCACATCTTGCGTTGATGGCAGGAATGTCAGACATGAGTGTTACCCTCAAAGACTTAAAGGATGCAGGGGCTGTGGCCCTTGCCATAGCCTCATTTAATTCACCATGGTGGCTGCCCCTCACACAGACCTGGTGGGCCATGATGGGGGACAGTAAATATCCATACAGCGAGTCAAGTCATATCTCCACCTGCAGTGGCTGTGCCAAGCATGGAACTTTTGCTAGACAAGATTAAACGGAGTCTTTGGCCTCTCTAAGGAAGCTATTGACTTGGTGAACTGTTGTTTTTCATCCTTGAACAAAGGAGGATCAGAAGCAGTTCACATTGACCTGGAACAAACAAAGAATACTTTTATGGTCCCATTCCTGGTCCATGTGAACTCTCTCACTTTGTTGCTTAAAAAAATTCTTATTTATGGTTTATTTTGCATATTTGTTTCTAAAACAGACTCCTCATATAATAAATAAAATCATAATATTTTGATAATGGTAGAGACTAAATCATACAGTTTGTTGATTTTATATTTTTAAGTGCATCTTTAGTTTTTAAATGAGGCAAATTTCAGTTGTCTCTGAGGAGCTTAGAATTATCCAGTTATTTTTTAAGCATGCTAACTTTTGTTGTTTTTTAGTCTGAAGTCACCTGCCCTATCTGGACATTCCATAGACTACCACTTTTACCCACGACTTCGATGTGGCATGCTCATTGGACCAGATAAGCAAGCAGTGGCAAGTGGATTGGAGGTCTTGGTAAGCCACATGCATAGCGAGGCTGGGAGGTCAGCCCTGTGAAGACTTAGAGGCCTTCCACATTGGTGGAGTTTTTAGGGACTTAACAGGAGAGTCCCTCCAAAGTAAAGAGAGATTGCACTTCATACCTCCTCCCATTAAAGAGGTAGCACAGTGCTGAGGTGCCTCTTTAGCTTCTGGAGGAAGCATAGTTGGCCCTCGTGAACACATTTTGAACCCATTTTCTGGGTGGTGTGGAAGGCTGTCATCTTTGATTGGGACCCAGAAAGAAAAGCATTCTCAGTAGGTCCAGGTGATGATGGTGAAAGTAACCTTGTCATTTGTGCCATACGACCTGGACAACTGTATGGTACTCTGTGGCATTTATGGTGTGGTGTGGCAGAACTTGACGGCACTGCATGCACGTATGATACATCACAGAGGTATGGAAGGGACATCATGTGGAGCTCATGGCAAGCCCTGGGATAATCACTGCACTCCTGGCATTCTGGAGAAAGGCCATGCCATCAGCACCAAAGAATACATCATTTGAGAAGTGGCTCCTGGTGTGCTTCTCAGCCCTGATAGAGATGAAGCATTTCATCATGCGAGGTTGAGTAACCACATGGCTGGGCTGGTTTCTGTCAGACTCAATTGCTTATACACTTGGGTGGGCCCAACAGAAGGGGAAGTAGGATATCTAGGACTGAACATGAGCAGGGCCAGAGAGAACAAGGAAGTTGCACAAATGGTTTGCTTGGCCCTCAGGTCATCCACCACTCTTGTTCTGCTCTTTCTCCATCTGCTTACACTGATCGCCTTCTCTCAGGCCAGGATGGCTTGATTCATTGGCGCATGTGCATTTAATATGGATTGCAGGCAGCAACACTCAGGGATGGCCCTGGGAGACAGCAGTGAGGGGAAGTCTTCTGATGCACTTCCATCTGGGGAGGTCCTCTGGTCATCCACTGTGTAGGGAAAGTGAGGTGGCCTGAGGTAAGCATATGTGCCCTGTGACATTTATGGCAAGGCTCATGGGCAGTAGGATGTTAGAAAAAGAGAAAGATTGGAACACAAGAGACAAGGAAGTCTGGGGCAGGGGCCTGTGGATGGACCTATCAGGGTGAGTGCAGGGTGTGAAGATCTGGGTATCACATGGTGATCACCAGCAAAGAGCACTCACTGTGGAAGGGGCAGAAACAACCACATAGGCGACTTGGCTGATGGACATTAGTGAGCCTGTCATTGTCTCACCCAGTGCAGGAACAATGGATGCCCTAGTTGCAGAAATGAGGCTGTGCAAGAGCCCATCAGCACAGGCTCCCACTCTCCGTGGCTCTTCTACATGCTGCTGCTGCTGAATGTCTAATCTGTTGGCAGCAGAGACTAGCAACACCAAGCCCCCATATTAGTCTTTTAAAGAGACTAATCAACTATTTGGTAGCAAGTTGGCTCTGTGGACCTTTTCTCCCATGCAGGGGATAGAGACTCCTCTAGACCTGGGTCATCAGATAGTCTTGGCATAAGTTTATCTTTCCTGCCTGCAGGGCCTACGCCAGCATCACCATCCACCAACACAGGGTTCCACCTAACAGTGCTTTAGGTCAAGAAACCCATTTTATCGCAATGGAAATTCAGCAGTAGGCACATAACCATGGGTTCCAGTTTCCCCATCGCATATGACGTCACCCAGAAGCTACCAGCTTGACAGAGAGGTGGATGAGCCTTCTGTAAATAGTTAAGGGCCCAGATTAGAGATGATATCCTATGAGGATGGGCCACTGTCCTCCAGGACAGTGCACATACTATGTCAATGCTGCTGTGTCCCAAATAGGTTGGAACCAAAGAAAAGAATAGTAGTAGGAGCAGCCGTACTTAGCAACACCCCCAGTGACCTACTTAGGGAATGTGTGCTTTCTTTCTCTGACATATGAGGTTCTGTGGGTGTAGAGATCCTGGCTTGCAGAGCAAGGATGCCTCTGCAGGAGGACACAGCAAAAGTCCCAACGAACTTTAATTTACACCAGCCACTTTGTCACTTAGAGTCTTCATGACAAGGATCAGCCATAAAGGAAGGGAGATATCATCCTGGTGGGCACAGCTGGCCAGGGGAAGTGGGGCTGAGGATGCACAGGGCCAGGGCAGAATTGATTGTTGCTCAGAGGATGCACCGGGGTGTCTCTTGGTGCTCCCATGCTCAGTTTTAACTACAAGTGGCCAAGTGCAGATGTCATAGCTTGCAAAGGGAATGATAACTAGAGGTGCAGACCCTTCAGAGATGATGGTCTGGACTGCCTCACTAGGCAAGCTACGTAGACCAGCAGAGGTGCGAATTGAGGATGGGGGGAATCTCCAACCAAGGGTGGAGGAGGACAATGATGAATATTGGTTATAGCCTTGAGATCAACTGCAGCAATGGGGGTTGAAATTTATTCTACTAATCTTCCCTTGTAAATTTCCCAGGTAACCAGTTCAACCAAAATCCTGGGACAGCTGTTCCCTGATGCGGCACACTTCCTAGAAGAAGCAAGTGAATTTAAAGCAGAGTGAACTGTAGAGGAGTTCACGACCAAATCTCTGATGCTTTCCCCAGATCTTTCTTCAGGGCCAACACATCCATTGCTCAGCTGTGATAGACAGCAGTCAGGGGTGGCTCACCTCTCTCACTGGGAATTGCTCTCAGCAGTAGGGAACTCATTCAGGGTTAAGGCATCTCCTTGAGGAGGCCCATGTTCAATTACTGGTTGACACAGGAATATGAAGGCCTGGCCCTCGTCTCAGCTTGGAATAAATCTGAAGGCCCATCACAGCTTCAGAGATGCTTGGAGAAGGCTGAGGTCTCCCCTGTAACCTTATGGTGAGTTGTCTTCTCTCTCTGCCCAACTCTGCCTTCCTTCCTTAAAGAGGTTTCTTTGACAACACTTCTTGTATTAATCTGTTGTCATGCTGCTAATAAAGACATGCCCTAGACTGGGTAATTTATAAAGGAAAGAGGTTTAATGGACTCACAGTTCCACATGGCTGGGGAGGCCTCACCATCATGGCAGAAGGCGAATGAGGAGCAAAGTCACGTCTTACTTACATGGTGGCAGGGAAGAGGGGGTGTGCAGGGAATTCCCCTTCATACAATCATCAGATCTCTACAGTCATCAGATCTCTTGAGATGTATTCACTGTCATGAGAACAGCATGAAAAAGAGCCGCCCCCATGATTCAGTTACCTCCCATTAAGATCCTCCTATGATGTGTGGGGATTATGCCAGCTACAATTCAAGATAAGATTTGGGTGGAGACACAGCTAAACTATATCACTTCTCAGTAACCTTTTTCATGCAATTTCAGGCTGTTTCCCGTAAGCTGGATTTTAGAACATCCTAGGCCTCTAGGATATTAGGCTTTATGGAATATGTCAGGTTCTAGAAAAAACGATCATGAGCAAGAGTAATAATGACTCCTCACTAAACAAAAACAAAATAAAACAAAACAAAAAAAGAAACTTAGGACAAAAGTTTCTCAGTGAATACTCTTTTATTATTATGCTGTGGCTATGACTCTCTTTATCCCTAAGGATGTTTTGCTTTAAAATTTATTTTTGTCTGATATTCATAGAGCTAATTTCATTTTATTGGTAGTAATATTTGCCAGAAAGACCAAAAATCTTCAAGCTATGAGTTTTGTTTTAGTTAATGCAAATTTGCATTGATTTGAGTAGAAAGCCTATTTTTCATTGTAAATTCTCAAAGCCTTCCCCTGCTCTTAGTCCAGTCTTCTCAGCACCAAGGCGGTCCCTGTGTGTTTTTGGGTGTGGGATTTACTTCCCCTATACCCTTACAATGAGGATATAATATTTTGGGATCCCAGACTTATGGAAGAAGCCTCTCCTATTGGACTCTCTACTTTTTAATGGGACCTGGGCTTTTTCATAAAGGCTGTGAAAATGAAAGTTCACCAGATTTGCTTTTAAGGCAGAAATTATTTCATTGCTCTTATTCCTCGTTACCAACTTTCCCTTAGATTTTGACCTGATAATTCCTTATTATGTAATAAAGATGTTTTTAAGAATTTTAAAACATTTTAATCCAGAATTTTTAGTGTTTGATCAAAATACTCAGCCTTGCATGTTACTGGAAACAGAAATCCTAGAGGTAATTTTTTAAACAAAGAAAATTTCGATAATGGTGAAATTTTAGCATCTACTCACTCTGCACATGCAGGGAACTCATTTAATTGGTATGGTGCAAATATACACTTTGAAATTGGCATGATGCACTATGGGATCCTGAGGCTCCATCATGTTCATTTTAGTTCACTTTATGAGAGAGAGAGAGAGAGAGAGAGACTGTTTCACATTTATTGGATGGTGTTTCCGAACAATTTCAACAATTGATTTGCATTATACAGTCGAGACAATAAAATTGAAAATAAATTAAAGCCACTTAAACAACTGTTTTGTGGAATAAATATGTAAAATTTGAATATTTATGATGGTAAATCAGATTAAGTTGCTGAATACTTTTTTCTAATTTTTCATCAATGATGCAAAGCTCTCAGGAGTAAGTTTATCAAGTTTTTGTAGTGTGTTTTGATTAAATATAAATAAACTAATCACATTTTTATGGTTACAAAATAGTTCATTAAATGGGGAGGCAGTGATAGCAGACTTTTCCTCTGGAAACACACAGTTAGCAATGTAGATTTGCATTCCACAAAGGCTAAGAAATGATAACAGGTTTTATATAGCTGATGAGAAAGCTTCGTGTTGACTTTTAATAACCATTACACTGAAAACTAAGTTTTAATGTTTTGAACTTTTTCCAGAGAACCTTGAGTTGTTGAACTCATTAATTCTTTGGGACCATCTTCCTGATGTTCAAGTTTGTGAAACAGGCTTTCCCTTTAAGATTTGTTTTCCTCAAAATACAAGGTATGATATTTGGGAGAATTTGTAAGTTTTTTTACTAGGGAATATAAGAGAAAACCCATGATTTATTTTAGTGTCCTTATACCTTAGACTATTGATGCTTCAGTTTTGAAGTGGATTCTGCACTCAAGAAATGTACCATTGAAGAATGGGACTGGTAGGAAGGTGAGGAAATGGAAACTCTGCAGTTAAGTAACTTGTCCTTGGTCTTCTACCTGATAAATGGTGGGACACTTTTCTGCTCTGCCAAATGACACCTTCACTTCTTGGATCCCCTCCAACTTCCTAAACCCCTTCCCTTCCCTTCCTTTCTCCTCCATCTCATGTCCCTAAGCAGACAGAGGCACCCAGGTAACGACTTCATCTTTTCACCCATATCTTCCTACGCACATTCCATACTTGAGATCAATTGCAGCAGTGGTGGTTGAAATTTATTCATCTAATCTTCTCTTGTAAATTTCCCAGGTAATCAGTCCATCCATGATCCTGGCAGAGCTGTTCCCTGATGGGGCACACTTATTAGAAGAAGCAAGTGAATGTAAAGGAGGATGGACTATAGAGGAGACTGCGGTGCTCTCCCCAGATCTTTCTTCAGGGCCAACACATCCATTGTTGAGTTGTGACAGACAGGAGCTGGGGGTGGCTTGCCTTTTGCTCTGGGAATTGCCCTCAGCCATAGGGAACTGCCTTACTCAAGGGTCAGTCACCTTCTGGAGGTTGGCTCATGTTCAATTCCTGGCTGATACAGGAATGCAAAGGACCAGTCCTTGTCTCAGCTTGGAACAAATCTGAAGGCCCATCATAACTTCAGAGATGAAGGGTGGGAGCTGCCTCCACTCCCACCTATCCCCCTGTAGCTTCTCTCCATGGCCAGTGTTTGGAGTGTGCCCTGCACTCCATCCCCCTAGCACTCCTTGGCTTTGCCTCTGTATGAAGACCTGTTCTTCAGTTTCTACTGCACGTTCCCATCAGCATTCAAACTCCTCTCAAGTAAACCCAGGACCCTTGTTTGACCTCCTGTGCCTCTCAAGCTCCTTACAGGAGACCTCTGCTGAGATGCCTCACTCTCTAATCCTCTCCAATCAATGCAGGTTGGAAGCCTATACTTCATGAAGCTGCTCTGTGAAGGTTACCTCTACCTTAACAAATCCTGTGCAAAGTTCATTCTCTACATCAGTGGTATCTTTCAGCAAAGTCTGGCACAGAGCTCTGCTCCTTTCTTCTAGAAATAGTTTCCCCCATGGATTTGTGGGACATAAACAATCTTATGGGTGCTGTTCTGCCCGGGTTCCCTGGCCACTCTTTCTCTCATAGTGACTCCCTGCATTAATTTCCTATTCCGCTGTGAAAAATCACCACAAACTTAGTGGCTTAAAACAATGTGAATTTGATATTTTACCCTTTTGTAGGTTAGAAGTTCAACAAGGATCTTTCTGGGCTAACACCAAGGGGGTGGCAGGGCTGTCTGTGTTCCTGCTGGTGGTTATAAGGGAGAAATTCCTTCCTTGCTTTTTCCAGATCCTAGAGGCCACCTGCAGTCCTTGGCTTGTGACCTCTTCCTCTATCTTCAAAGCTAAGAGCCTAGTGTCTTCTCTCCTCTTTGGCCTCTGCTTCTGTCTTACATCTTCTTTCCCTGCTTTGAACTCTTCTCCCTCCTCTTCTAAGGGCCCTTGTCAAACAGGCACCCACCCAGGTGATCCAGGATAATCCTCCCCATTGCAGCATCCTGAGCTCATCTGCAAGGTCCGTTTTCCCACATAAGAGAATGATTCACAGGTGCTGGGGATGAGGACGTGGACATGCCTTGGAGGGGTCATTATTCAGCAGGCCACAATCCCTCTCCCTAAATTCACCTCTTAATTTTGGAGCACCCCAAATTTTGTTCTCTGCTCACTTCTCTTCTCCATCCACACTCTCTGAGGAGAAGAGCTCACCAGGGACCGTGGCTGTAAATGCATTCTTTGAGCTGGGGTTTTTCAAATTCTATCTCCACTCCGGACATCGCCCCTGAGTTCCAGGTTTGTATTTGTATCCACCTGTGTGCATTGTCTACCCAACAATTCACGTGGATGTTTAATAACGATCTCAAACTCAAAATATCTACAAAAGCCTCTGAATTTCTCCCCCAAACCTGTTTTTCTGCACCCTTCCTATCTCTGTTAATGGCTCCACCATCCACTTTGTTACCTGAAGAAAAAACTAGGAATCTTCTGGATTATTCTAATTTACTTTATCTACCTCCTGCATCTAATCTATGAGCAAAGTACCTCAGCTGCCATCACTGATTCCACACTTCCTCCACCTCCTGCCTGGGCTTGAGAAGCAGCCACTCAACTGCTCTCTTTGTTTCTGCTTTTCCCATCTGAGGTCTACCTTTCACCCAAGATTGAGGTTTTTGTCGTTGTTGTTGTTGTTTTGAGATGGAATCTTGCTCTGTCACCCAGGCTGGAGTGCAGTGGCACGATCTCAGCTCACTGCAACTTCTGCCTCCCAGGTTCATGCAATTCTCCTACCTCAGCCTCCTGAGTAGCTGGGATTACAGGTGCCCACCACCACGCGCAGCTATTTTTTGTGTTTATAGTAGAGATGGGGTTTCACCATGTTGGCAGTGCTGGTCTCAAACTCCTGGCTTCAAGTGATCCACCCACATTGGCCTCCCAAAGTACTGGGATTACAGGTATGAGTCACCCTGCCTGACCCCAAGAGCTAAGTTTTAGTAACTACTTTTATTAGCAATAATTTAAAACCTTCCAAAATATACAGAGAGTGATAAAGTGAGCATCCAGGTATTTATCACCTAGATTTAATGTTGTTAACATTTTATTTTATATCATTATCTTTTAAAACAAAGAAATGATCACATGCTTGTGAAGTCTTCTACTTTTTCCTCCTTAATCCTGTCCCCAGCTCTCACCAAGGATAGATGGCATTGTGTGATATGTTTTTACACTTTACATAAGTGTTTTGTATTCGAGGTTTCTGGCACTTGATGTTTTTAGAATTATATTTGAAGTGTATACATGTTAATGTACATAGATTGGCTTCATTCACTTTAATAACTATCATTATATAAACATAGGACAACGTAGTTAATCATTTTCCTGTTGTTAGGCATTTAATGGTAAAATTCACTGCAGGGAACATCTATGTGCCTAAATCTTCGTGCACAAGTGTGAGAGACAGTAGAAAAATTTGAAATTTTAATGTAGCTAAGTTTATCAATCTTTTTCTAAAATGTTAACTTGTTTAGAAAAGCTCTTCCCAACTCTATGAAGGCATTCAATTAAATCTTCTAAAATTTTACTTTCTAAATTGAGGTCTAATCATTCTGGAATGTGTGTGTGTGTGTGTTAGATATGGTTAGCCAATTGTTCATCACAATTTAATGAATATTCTAGTTTTTACCCACTGAATTTTAAGGCTGCTTCCATAAAGTACCATGTTTCTAAAAGACATAGTACAGCAGCGGTCATGGAGGCATACAGCCTGGCTCCAAAATCCGGCTCCATGACTGATGAGGAGGTGAGTGTGCCATCTTTGACTGCTTACACACACTCTCTGCATCTCTGCCCCAGTTCCCTGCGCTTGTAAAAGGAGAAACTATGAGTAACTACTTTTTGAGTATTAAACGAGCAATACTGAACTTTGATCCCTTCATGCAGAACCTGGCACTAATACTCCGTGAATGTTAACTATCTCATTTAAAGTATTATACTTTTTACTTTAGGTAAGTCTGCTTTGGGGTTCTCTATTTTGTATCATTGGTTTAGTATACCATATCTATATCAATGATGAGCAATTCAGGTACTATAGCTTTATAGTAATCTTGATACCTGAGAGTAAACGTAGCAAACATTGCTATGGTTCTGCTTGCGCTGAGAAAAGCAATATTAAGATTTTGATTGCAATAGTATTGAATTTATAGATTATTTTGAGAGAATTGCATAGATTATTGAGTCTTTCCACATGTAAACGTACACTTATCAACTTACTTTGTCTTCATGCGTTTGAAAAATGCTCTCTATTGTTCCTCATAAATGTCTTACCCATTTTTTGTTAGGTTATTTCCAGGCAACTTATAGTTTGTTGCTACTGAAGAATTTTTATGTTGTTACTTAAACATTATTTTATTTTGTTTAACTTAAAAATAGTGTTTGTTTTTTACTGCTATTGATTTTTTGTTTTGTTTTGTTTTGTTTTTGAGAGAGAGTTGTGCTCTTATTGCCCAGGCTGGAGTGCAATGGTGTGATCTCAGCTCACCACAACCTCCACCTCCTGGGTTCAAGTGATTCTCCTGCCTCAGCTTCCCGAGTAGCTGGGACTACAGGCATGCACCACCACACCTGGCTAATTTTGTATTTTTAGTAGAGATGGGATTTTTCTGTTGGTCAGGCTGGTCTCGAACTCCTGATCTCAGTGATCACCTGCCTCAGCCTCCTAAAGTGCTGGGATTACAGGTGTGAGCCACTGCGCCCAGCCTATTACTGCTATTGATTTTTAAAACTGGTTTTGTGTTCCAGCAACTTTATATTTAATAATTTATTTGTGGTTTTCTCATACTTTTTCTAACATTTTTCTCGATTGCTTTCCACTCATTTATATTTTTATGTATAACTGTGCGATAATAATTATTAATGTTTATAGAGGTTTTTTTAAGTGCTAGATACTCTTCTCAACACTTTGCATGCATTAACTCTTTTCATCCTTGTGACAACTCTATGAGGTATGTTGTATTATTATTCCTATTTTATTGGTAGTGGTAAAGAAAAAAATAATTCAGACATTTGTTAAAACAGTAAAGAAGGCTTTATTTGGGGTGATACAAATAGGTGTCAAGACTGTGGCAATTGGGAGAGAGATAGGGCTCAACCGTGAATACAGCAAGACATTTGGGGCTTTATGGCCAAGGAGCAGAGTGGGAGTGGGGTGGAGCGTAGATAGAAAATGACTAAGAGGAGACATCGAGGGTAGGGGATTCTTGCTGAAGGTAGGTGGAAGACTCAGACATCACAGGTGGAAGATGAGGAACTGATCACATATGGAGGGTGATCAGATATCAAGGCAAGGATTCCCAATAAACTGACTTAGTGGAATTCTTGCTATGACTGGAAGAGGTGGGCTAAAGGCAGGGCCCAAGGATGAGGCTCAATTGAAAAGAGGGCTCAGAGGAGCTTGACTGAAGTTTGGTGTGGAGAGAGTCTGCCAGTAAGCAACTGAGGTGCACAGAATTTAAATCTTGCCTGAGATGACACAATAGTAAGAGCCCAGCTAGGTTTGAAATCCTGATAGTTTGGCTTTAGGGTCAATGTTTCCCACCCATCTCGTGAGTAGCAGTGGCATCTGTAGGGACTATTGCTTTGTGACATGGTTGGGCTGTGTCCCCACCCAAATGTCATCTTGAATTGTAGCTTCTGTAACTCCTACATGTTGTGGGAGGAAGGAGGGAGATAATTGAATCACGGGGATGGTTTCCCCCATACTGTTCTTGTGGTAGTGAATACGTCTCATGAGATCTGATGGTTTTATAAGGGGAAACCCCTTTTGCCTGGCTCTCATTCTCTCTTGCTTGACGCCATGTGAGATGTGCCTTTCACCTTCTGCCATGATAGTGAGGCCTCCCCAGACATGTGGATTTGTGAGACCATTAAACCTCTTTTTTTTTTTTTTTAAATAAAGTGCCCAGTCTTAGGTATGTCTTTATCAGCAGCCTGAGAATGGACTAATATACTTTGTTACTGATATTGATGGGAAGGAGGTCAGTTTGCACTATTTAGGATGATATTGTGGAAAGTTTGGCTAAATACTATATCCGTAGCTGAAGAAATTCTTATATATTGCTCAGAAGCTTTTTTTCTTAATCTTAAAGGAATTTTGAAATTTATTGAATGCTTTTTCTGCATCGAATGAGCTAACCTTATAACTTTTTCCCTTAAATCTGTTAATGTGGTGAATTCCACTGATACATATTTTTTATATTGAACCATCCCTGTATACCTAGGAAAAATCATAAGTCAAAGTAGAAATAAATTGGTTGTATATCTTAAATATCTTACTTTAGCTTTAACGTTTGAAACACAGTTCCAAGATTTTTGCTTTTGTTTTTTCCTTTAAAAGAATCCTTGAAAAGCTATTGACCAAGTATCTTTGTGAATACAAAGCACTCAATTCTCATTAATAATAATAATAATGATAATTAGCATTATCCTTTGCTTAGAAACAAAGATAAGAACAGAAGTCAGTGATTATTTGCAGCATAAAGTTAACATAATATTTAGTTAATCGATGTTGATTTTGCATTTTATCATCAAAACGCTGAGTAAAGGGCAAAGAGCTTTCCTCTAATGTTTCAAGATTTGTTGAATTAGTTCCAATGTCTACTGACCATCATGTGGAAACTATAAAGGGTGCTCTCTTGTTGTTTCTTTTCTTTCATGGAAATTGTACAAGCTTTCTGGGTGTGTAGGTCTTGGTGATATCATAATCAGCTGAAGGGACTGGTTGCTGTGTGTTTGGGGTTTAGAAGACCTGAATAGGAGGCATCTCTCTGCTGTAACTACTCCTATTTGTAGTGTGTGCTTGGCTGTAAAGTAGGGGTGACCACGCCACCACCCAGCCCCACCTGCAGCTTTTGCATAGATTGAATGAGATTGGGCACTAATATCCCTTAGAAACACTCTCCAAATGGGATACGTCCCCCTTGCCTTGGGGGTGGTGAGGACTAGGGAGGAAAGCCAGCAGCTTAGCTTCATGGCTGAGGACAGTTAGACCGAGGGGTGCTTCCATCCACACTCCGACCGTGACTTCTCACAGCAGCTCCCCCTCTGCACAGTCTCTGCTCCTGATCAGGCAGGGACTGAGCCATGCCATATCACTCATTTTGCAAAACGTGTTCTGAGACTCAAGTCCTGGTTAGGCTATACTTGCTCCTTCGGTTGGGGTCAAATCCTGTGAGTTTTCCATACTCTGGGATGATCTCTCTGCTCTCTCCCTGCTCTTCTTCTCCTCTCCCTCTAAAGTGCATTTGCTGGTGCAACTGTGGCATGGTGTCCTTGTGTCAGGAGTGCCACCTTTGAGCTGCCCCCTTGCTTCAGGGCCCCAGTTCTTCCTGGGCCCGATTCCTGTCATTCTGACAATGTTCCATTCTCATTTGGCAGCTGGGATTCTTATAAAGGGGCTCAATTGCATTAATGCCTATGTTCCGGTTTTGTTTGTTCAAAGGGAAAAAAACTAAAAGGAAACGCATTTTCGAGTTGCACATCATGATCAGGCACAGAGTCCAGATACACTTGGAGTAGCAAGCATCCATCCTTGTGGAGACGCACATGAACCAGGACTCTCTGCACCCACCCCTCTCAAGTTTTATTTTCCGACGGCTGTAATGTTCCAGGACACCTGCCATCATGGAGGGTTATCCAGCACCTGGAGGATACCTGCTACCTGTGAGCTTCCTCTCAATTGTTTTATTATAATTTTTGTTATTACAGGATTAATTTGTTTTAATGGGGACGTTTGTCTTCTCGCTGTTTGTGTACGTCATAAATCTGAAGGGGAAAATACAGAAACAGAAGGGCGTGTGTCTTTACAAGTGTGTTTGGAGGCAAACCAAATGGTACATTTCTTTTCAGATGCTTTCTGCTTTGCTTTCTGATTTTTGGTCCAGGACTTTTGGAATAAAAATACGATGGCTTCTTGTTATAAGGACTGCTAGTGTGGCTCCTCCATGGGCTGGCTGCATGCGTACGAAAGCCAGCTCCTGGGCTTGGTTGTGTTGACTCATGAGCCACCAAGGGATTTATGCCTTGGCCCTAAAGAATAATGTAATGCAGGTTTTATTACAGTGAAAGCTTAACATTGATGTTAATTTAACAGTACAGTCAACTTTCAGTTATCCATGCTGTTGAAAGATGGGGTGGCATGGATCATTCCAATTAATGAATGGCCTGGATTATTCTTTTCCCTTCAATTCATCAGACTTGCTGCTCTAATTTTGCTACAAGGGACTAATGTTGAAATGATCATGAAAGTCGATTTCTGGGAAAGCAGGTAGGAAGGTCATGGTGTGCCGTGGATTGTGTGAACCCCTGTAGCTGTCCCAGGCCAGCTGCTAAGACTCGGTGGAATAAGTGATTCTCCATGGCTCAGTCTAACCCAGGTGTTGTGCAGAGGAAAACAAAAAGTTTTAATGCAGACCTCAACTGCAATGTGTTGTGGTTAAGAGAACAGTGTAAATTCTCTTTGGAGTATATGCTGTTTTCTTTTTAAGCAAAATTCCTCCTTGGGATGAAAGGCATAGTTTGGAAGAAAACCATAAATGGAGATAAAAGTACCCCATTTTGCATGAAGAAATGAGTAATTGAGGGTGGAGATGGGAAGGAGAGGCCTGTGGAGGTGAGCAAACATCTTTTCTTACAGAGCTGATGGGATTCTTGAGAACAGGGGCATCTAAAAGTCAAGGTACATGTCCCTGGCAGTGAAGGCCCCTGATGTAACAAAACCCCTTTACTCCAAATCTTTGGCCAAGTGTGCTGCGAACAAAACCTTAGCATTCGTTGGTGTGATGATGTTTGGGGACAGGTCAGCTGGGAGCTGCCCTGGGTTTGTTGTGAGGCAGAGGAACGACAGTCCCCAGTGGGGTCAGATGAGGTGAGGTGTGGGCAAGAGCCACCCCTGGCAATATCAGTGACTCGAATTAAAAGGCATCTGGGGAGGACTTGGAGCTGTTCCCTGGGCATGCAGGAGGGAGGTCAAAGCCATTTCATGCAAGTCATCAAGGACAGGGTGAAGTCTGTGGATTTATGCCTTACATAGTCTAGACAGCCAACCAACAGGACTGGTAGCCAGTTAGTTATTCGCTGACTTTTAGCCTGACTTAGAGCTATGCGAATGTCTAATGAATCCTAGAACCTTGTATTCAAAGTGTGGTCCTTGGGCCAGGGCAGAGACACCACCTGGGAGCTCATTAGAAGAGTGGAATCTCGGCTAAGCGCAGTGGCTCATGCCTGTAATCCCGGCACTTTGGGAGGCTGAGGCGGGCGGATCACCTGAGGTCGGGAGTTTGAGACCAGCCTGACCAACATGGAGAAACCCCATCTGTACTAAAAAATATGAAATTAGCCAGGTGTGGGGGTGCATGCCTGTGATCCCAGCTACTCGGGAGGCTGAGGCAGGAGAATCGCTTGAACCCGGGAGGTGGAGGTTGTGGTGAGCCAAGATCGCACCATTGCACTCCAGCCTGGGCAACAAGAGTGAAACTCAGTCTCAAAAAAAAAAAAAAAAAAAAAAGAAGTGTGGAATCTCAAACCTTTGGAGGCCCGGCTTCATGTAAACAAGCCAGCAGCCCATCCCTGGAGACTCCAGCCACACATGTGAGCCTGAGAAGGGCTGGCCTGGAACATACCACACACAGTGCTGGGGAGAGGTGGGCGTGGAAGGGGGAAGTGAGGGTCATCCTGGGGCAGTCAAATCAGGATTTTCAAATGTTTTCCTGGTATGCTGAGTGGCTCCCCTCTCCCCATGTGCTGAGACGCTGGCCTCCAGACCAGTGCCCCTCATGAGCATCCAATCCTCTCCTGGATTCCTCAGTTCCTCTAGCTCCTCTCTAGAGGTCCAGCCTGTAGGGGGAGATATTTGTTCTCATTTCTCTTTCTTTTCCTCCCCCTTGAAATCCAAGAGTGTTTGTGTGGTTACCTTTACTGTTTAGCTCACAAGGCATCATCGTAAGAGAAACCCAGAAGGGTCACCAGGGACCTTGGACTCTGATGAGTTCTGACGTTGGAGTGGCGGTGGCGTGGCCTTGCCTTGGGATCAACTTGACCTGTCTTCGTTGGGAAGGGGAATGTGTTTCCATCAGTGTATTGTGTTAGGCAGGGATATTTCTGAATGCATGGGATAATGTTATGGGTGTGTGTTGTGTTGTGTTGTGTTGTGTTGTGTTTCCCGTGTAGCTAAATGATAGGAAGCAGTTGAATGACTTTTGGGGTGCCTGCTCAGTTCATTGTTTCTTATTTTGGGGAGGCTTCATGGCCCACTGGGCAGGCAACTGTGGATATGTCTGTACTATACGACCCTTTTCTCCTGACAAAGGCTGATTCAACCTGGCCTTATGTGGGATAATCTGACACCTAGGGGACCTGAGACTTGGAACAAAGGGCCACTTTGATTGGGAATGACTGCAGCTGAGTCACAGTAATTCTGCGATCTGACTTCTGTCTGTGCATCATGTGGAATAGGACTGTATTTGAGAAAATAGCATCAGACTCTTCATGTCCTTTAACTAGGCTGGGTGCCTGTATTTTTCATCCATGGAATATATGAGGCATGTTTATTACGTGCTGGTTTCTGTGCTAGATCCTAGGGCTATCTAGCCTTGGCTCTCATGAAACTTACTATCCAGGGAAGAAGATAGACTCTAATCAAATAACCACTGAAATAAATGTAAAACCATAGCTGCGATAGCTGATGTGAGAGAAAGGGTGTGCAGTGCTGGGAAGCAGTGTAAGAAGGAGAGTTAACTTAGGGAGGGAGACCAGGAAGGATCCCTGGGAAAGGGACAGTTGGAGGGAAGTCCAGAGGCAGACTAGGGACCCCTGAGACATGCAGGCCGGGGTGAAAGTGCTCTAGGAGGGACGAGTGTATGCAAAGCCATGTGTTAGAAGAGATGAGAGCGGACCAGCCTGGCTGAAGCCAGGGCACCGAAGGGGAGGGACTCTGGGTGAAGTAGGTGGGGACCATTTTAAGGACCTTAGCTGCTGTGGTTGATTCCTACTAGTAATGAGAAGCCTTGAAAGTAATTTAAGCCGAAGGTAGTGGCTGGTGGTGACTGATGGGATGTGTCCCAGAGCTAGGGAGGATTGGTAAGAAATAAGTAACTAAATATATAAAATGATTTTTGCAACTTGGAGAGAAAGATGAATGCAGGGCCAAATCACCCACCTTTAAAAAGGATCAAGGCAAATTGTGGGAATAAATCTGAATTGCGCCCCTACGTATTGATGGCTATGAACACACTTTAGAAAGGGGATAGAAGGGGCTGGGCACGGTGGCTCACACCTGTAATCTCAGCACTTTGGGAGGCCAAGGCGGGTGGATTGCCTGAGGTCAGGAGTTCGAGATCAGTCTGGCCAACATGGTGAAACTTCTTCTCTACTTAAAATACAAAAAAATTAGCCAGGCATGGTGGCATGCACCTGTAATCCCAGCTACTCGGGAGGCTGAGGCAGGGGAATTGCTTGAATCAGGGAGGTGGAGGTTGCAGTGAGCTGAGATTGCGCCACTGCACTCCAGCCTGGATAACAGAGCGAGAGTCAAAAAAAAAAAAAAAAAAAGGGACAGAAGGTTGAAATGCCACATGCTGTAACTATAGGCTGCGGAAAAGACACACAAATGGAGAGTGCAGTGAGAGACAGCTTTCTCAGTGTTAGCAAAATCACAACTATATGGGCTGCATTCTTCTTTTTTAAGTAAAACGGAAAGAAATTTTGTTTCGCCAGGATATCTGCAACTTTATTTCTCGAAGCAAAAGTCAAGGTCTGATAATCGCCTCAAGATGATGGTTTGTGGCTTAGTAGAGCCTCGCGGCACCCTTGGCTCTGGTGTTTCCTTTGCGCTCCCTCTTGCAGTCACCTCAATTTACTGATTTCATTAGGAGATAAGGGGGACAAAGATGGGTTATAATACTTGAGAAAAATGCAAAACCATTAGCAGGTCATTGTTGAAGTCAGAACATGCCCTGTTAAGCTTCTTAGGCAACCCGTGGCAGCCAATGATACGGGGATTAACCTGTCCGGTGTGTGTGCGTGCATGTGAGTGTGCAGGCCTGCATGCGTGCACAGGCCACGCGCCCATCTGCCATGAGGAACTTACATACGATAAGCTCTGTCAGTGAAGTGATGAATACACGGGTTATTGACCAAAACAGTTACTTTTTACTTGCCTTTCTGTTTTCTCTCATTCTAAGTTTGAGGCTCCAGTTAAACATGCATCTGTTTGGCCTTAGGGCTGTATTTGGGTGGGCAGGCAGGAGGCTCTCTGAGCTTGGTTCTGCTAACCAGCTGGGTCAAAAGGTATAATTGGATATGACGGTTAATTTTGAGAATCAACGTGATTGGGCTAAGGGATGCCCGGGCAGCTGGTAAGCATGACTTCTGGGTGTGTCTGGGAGGAGCTGAGACTGAGTAAAGAAGACCTGCCCTCCCCAGTGTGGGCAGGCATCAGTCAGCCTGCTGACAGCCTGAACCCAACTTAAAGGGGGAAGAAGCGGGGGTTCTCTTTTCTCGGATAGAGCGGGGACGTCCGTCTTTTCCTGCTGTCCTACACTGGTGCTCCTGGTTCTTGGGCCTTTGGACTGAGACTGAACCACACCCCCAGCTTTCCTGGTCTCCAGATTGCAGACGGCAGATCGTGGGACTTCTCAGCCTCCACCGTGTGAGGCACTTCCCAGAATAAACCTCCTCTTCTCTATTTATAATCTATCCTATTCATTCTGTTCCTCTGGAGCACCCTGGCTGAAACACTGGATGACCACCGCAGCTCCTGTGTGGCCCGCCCAGTGGCCAGAAGGTGACACAGTTTCACCGTGGGGTGTGATGTGGCATCTGAGAGGCTGCCTCGGTGGCTGCTCCTCAAAGCTGAAGAAGCGAGCAGAGGGTCGGTCTCTCCTCATCTTTGCCCCGCGGAACGAGATAAGGGATGGGCCGGCTAGCTGGCGGAGGGCGTGTCCTCACTTGAAGTCTTGAGACTTCAGAAACAAAACTGAAGATACGTTTTAACACTGAAGGTTGTTGGTGCTTGTGGGAGTTTAAAGAGCAGGAAGGGAATTTTCCTCCGTCTCTGTTGTCCTTGTTTATTTTTGGTGCAGGCAGTGTAACAATTTGCCAATACCTGATATGGACGTTTCAGAAGATTGTGGGTTGAGGGGTTTTCAATACTTGTTTGAAATTGTTGAAATTGTCTGAATTGTTACGATAATTGTATGGAAGCATTATGCTCAGAGGAAGGTGGGGAGCTGCTGTGTTTTCGAGGGCAGGGCAGGGCAGGAAGAAACAGGCTGCAAGTACAGCAAGCAAAGGGTGAGGCGGGTGGACAGTTGCGGAGTCTCGGGTGGGGGCTGAAAGCCAGGCCCCCTCCTCACCTTTCTGAGTGGGGCTGGCTGAACCACAGGGCCACAACCATGGGCTTCCTGAAGGCCTGCCTTTCTTGAGGGTGTGATTTTATGAATTGAAAATTATTTCAATTATTCAGCTAGCCATTCATTTACTGCTTTTAAATTTGTGAACTTTGGAGCTGAGATAATAAAACCTAAGACTGAACCTTCACCTTTAGCAGCACTGTATCTTCTAAAAATCAACATTGATACTAAAATATGTGGCTTCTAGTTCTGCCCAGGTCCACGTGGCTTTGAATAATTACCACTCTCGGTGCTTGTCCATCTGTAAACGGGGAATAATAGCACCAAACCTGTTTCTCTTACATGTTGGTTGTGAGAACCAAAAGATAATATACATATACAAAATGCGCTGAAAAATCTCCAGTGCAATGCCAGCCTGAACTGAGAGATTTATTATTAGGCACATAAAAGAGTAGGCATACAGAGGTCTAGAAAGCTCACCTGGGCTGGGTGCGGTGGCTCATGCCTGTAATCCCAGCACTTTGGAGGCTGAGGTGGGTGGATCACTTGAGGTCAGGAGTTCAAGACCAACTTGACTAACACGATGAAACCCTACCTCTACTAAAAATACAAAAATTACACGAGTGTCGTCGTGGGCACCTGTAATCCCAGCTGCTTGGAGGCTGAAGCATGAGAATCACCTGAACCCGAGAGGCAGAGGTTGCAGTGAGCTGAGATCATGCCACTGCACTCCAGCCTGGACAACAGAGTGAGACCCTGTCTCAAAAAAAAAAAAAAAAAAAAAAAAAGAAAGCTCACCTGTCTTTATTTTATTTTTTGCATTATGGACATTCTGTTTGTGAGTCTTTAGTAAATATACAACTATGCAGGTAAAGTCAAGGCAAGAGTCAAATTTTACATAACAACTTGAAAACACTTTCTGGGGATTTGTCTCCTAATAATATACGACTATTTCAGTCTTCTGTTTGTGTTGATTTACCGGAGTAGAGTTGCCAGATAAAATACAGGATGCTTAGTTACATTTGAATTTCAGATTAACAACAAATATTTTTTAGCATGAGTATGTCCAATATTTGAGACATACCAAACAAAGTACTTGTTATTGATCTGAAATTCAAATGTAACTGGGTGTCTTGCATTTTTATTTGCTAAATCTGGCCACCGTATACTGGAGGTCCTTACAGCAGACACCTGAGAGAGAAATCCCATTTTCACATAAACTGCTTTTTTTTATCTTTTTTTTTTTTTTTGAGACAGAGTTTTGTTCTTGTCACCCAGGCTGGAGTGCAATGGTGCGATCTCAGCTCACTGCAACCTCCGCCTCCCAGGTTCAAGCAATTCTCCCAAGTAGCTGGGATTACAGGCGCCTGCCACTACATCTGGCTAGTTTTTGTATTTTTTAGTAGAGACGGGGTTTCACCATGTTGGCCAGGCTGGTCCTGAACTCCTGAGCTCAGGTGATCCACCTGCCTCGGCCTCCCAAAGTGCTGGGATTACAGGTGTGAGCCACAGTGCCTAGCCTTTTTTATCTTTTTTAACAGAAATGGGAATCAATGAATTTATGTTGGCATGTTTGGTAATTTTTTTGCACCTCTCTTCTTTATTTGCAAAATGGAGAGACTATAGTTGTCCTCAGTCTTGGCTGCACATTGAAATCCCAAGGGGACCATTTACAGCTTCTAATGCCTAAGCACCAGAGTCCAAATACATGAGGATCTCGGGTGGAACCTGGGGGCGTTATATTTTACAGCGCCTCCAGGTGATTCTCAGGCATGCAAGGCTGAGCCGGTGGTCTCTTCGGCGACGCTGTGGGGTTAGGTGATGTAGCATCTGTAAAGCACTTCACAGACTATCAGACATGCAATTAGAATGCAGCAAATGGCCCACGCCTTGCTTTGGGAAGAGGGTCCGCAGAGTAGGAGAGGAAGAGTAGGAAGAAAAGCGCCCCAGGTGGGTGGCAGGCTGAGCAATGCCCCACGCAGGAGTTCCAGGTGGATCTTATGGATCTGTGTGACTGCAGCACAATTTGGCAGGTGGGGGTGGGGGAAGAAATGTGGGAAAGGTGGGCAGAACCAGTCATGGAGGCTTTGAACTTGGGCTTCATCTTGTAGGGTGATCAGGAGCCATGGGACAGGATGCACATACTTGAAGGAAAGCATTTTCTAGGGGAAGCCAGGGTGGGGAAACCTCCTTACATCCGTGCAGGAGTCCCATGTCTCATGGGCTGATGTGGGTCACGTGGGGTTTGTGGAACATAAAATCCCCAGGGTCGGAATCTTGTCTTGCTCTATGTTGTATCCTTAGCACTAGAACCACGCCTGGTACATAGTAGGCACTTGGTAGAGGGTATCGATTGGGAGAATACACGAAGGACAAAAAATCCAAACGAAGGAGAAGCTTGGCAGAGGCAGCAGGGGACTGCAGGACCAGCCCTGTCAAAGCAGAATCCCACTGAACTGCTGGTGCCCCTGGACAAGCCATATCCCTTCTTGGCCTCTGTTTCTGTCGCTTAAATGGAGGGCAGGGTCCTTCTAGCTCTAATGTCCACCAATAATTAAATGCTTCTGATCCTGAACGAGTTCATGACCTTCTTACTGATGCGCCAAGTCCTAGGTGGAAACTCCATCAGAAGCCTTTGTGTTTCCCTGAGTTCTGGAAGCCTGGCCCCAGGAGGCAGAGTTGGGGCAACTCATCCTGGCTGCTGGGAAACCCAGGCTTGGATGGAAGGCAGCTTGCTGCTGAGGCTGGTGACCTTATTAGCAGTGGTTGGACCAGATCCTCTAAAGTCATTTTCACGGTTGTAGGTCCAAGTGCTGTGATGGTGGGAGGGAGGTCTTCCCAGGCAAGGAAGGGGCACTGGCCGGGGTGGGGAAGTCGGGCTCCTAGTCCCAGCTGCTGTGCCTCCCCTCTGGGCAAGCCATCTTACCTGTTTGCATGTTAGTTTCTTTAGTTGTAAAACAAGGAATTTATATTAAGTTAACTCTAACAGACCATTTTCGGTTTTCAACTCCTATGATTTTGTAGCATGCTCTCGGGTTTCTTTTATCTTTATCTCCGTGTATCTTTGTTTCTAAAAGATCCAGGCCTCGATGACACCTTTTCCTCCCTAGTACTTTCAGCCCACGAGAGAATCTAAAAGCTGACTCTGCACCTCCGGGTGCTGCCGAGCCTTTTGCACAGAAAGAAGAGAAAGCTGGATAGTTTTTTTTTTTCTTTTGCTTCTTCGTTAACAGATATTTTTAGCTTTTCTAAAAGCTTCTCATTCTGAGCCTTAAAAAGAAATAAGAACCTGTTCCAAAAATGCAAATTCTCTGGCAAGAAGCAAGAGGGGTGTTTTCAATCTTCCCTGAACGATTGTTTTCTCTCCCACAGACCCTCGTGGTGCAGCAGAGGGCAGCTGGGGTGCGGGAGGAGGTGGGAGGGTGAGGCTGTGGCCAGCAGGAGCCAGGCCTCAGGGTGCCAGCCTGGACCAGGAGCATGTGCTGGGGGCTTGCTTTCCGCAATCAGGCACTTTTTCAAGTTGGTCCTGAACGGTTCTGGACTGGATGGCAGGCTGCTGTGTGTGATTGAGAATGTTGCCTGTCTGAGCCCTGAGATGAGCTGAGGGTTCCTCCTCCCCAGCCAGCACCAGCCTCACACAGCCCTTGTAAATCTGAAAGTGCTGTTGGTAGCAACCAGGGATGGGCAGAGGCAGCCCTGTCCTGAGGGTGACATGAAAGTGAGAGCAAGCTGAAGCTCCAGTTGGCTTAGTCTTCAAAAGTGTCACTTTCAGATTATATCCCTCAGCTTTAAAATATCCTTCTTTGAAGTCCATCCTGCTCTGCCCACTATTTGTCCCCGGTGGTCACTTCCTCCTCTGTGCTCCCGTGGCCTGGGATTCACACCAGGAAAGAACGCCACGAAGAAGGAATGGTGAGTGGTATGTGTGTCTGCTTCCCATGGGGATGGGAAATGGAGAGAGAACTGCCCAGTGGGATTGTTACTTCGCCCGGCACCTTGCAGGAATCTTGCAATCACTTCTCATTTACATTTTTTATTCCCTAGCATCTAGCTCATAGTAGATGCTCACTAATGCACTAATGCTGGATTGCCATACCTAAGATTTTTCCTGTGTATCTTTCAAAACTAATCCAAAGGTTGCTTATATTCTGAAATAATAATCAGTCCTTGAATCTCTTTGAATAACAACACAATTTAGTTCCCATTAGGTTAAATTCAGGGAATATTGTGAATGCAGCCTTTGAAAGGAGACCTTTAATATACTTAGGCTTGCAATTATTTTTCAGAAAGTGATTATATTGGCATCTTGATATAAAAATGATGGATGCCACCCTCTGTCCCTTACACACTCAGTTCCGGTTCTCAAAAGTTAGCGATGGAGATGGGAGACAGTCTGGGTGTGTGCTGGGGAGGCAGGGTGGGCAGTGAGGCAACGTGGCCACTTTCAGATCCTTCAATCTCTTCTTTTTATACGTATAGCTTAGCTTCCTCGTAACTGAAAGCAGAGAATGATTCTGGTTCTTAAACTGAGGCTTAGGAGACCGCTTTATCTATGCACAGTTGTTTCTAAATATTAGGAATAAAGCCAGTTGGGATGAATACTTCTTACACTCACTACAGGAAAATGCTGAGGCATAGACATAGGATCTGAATTCACAACCATCTTTAGGACTGAGGAGAAATAACAGAAGTTCTTATGTTACTAACAGCAATGCCCGTGTTTCCTGATTCTATATCTTGTTTTGGTAGGGTGGTCAGAACATTAACATGGATATCCTTATTTGCAACCTGATTGCTTCCCAGAAACTATGTTAGTTGCTTTAAATACATCTTCGTAACAATATTCCAGAATAGACATTATTATTGCCACTTTCTGGATGAAGAACCTGAGACTCAGAGAAACTGAGGAACTTCCTGGGCCTTGTCCTCAGGTCCTCCTGAACACAGGGCTCAGGTGCCTTGCTCAGTTTCTTTGATGATCCTAACGGACTCCAGTGTCGCAGATGGGAAAGCTGGCAGGGAGGGAGAGGTGATGTTTGCCCAGGAATGGGGAGTGGAAGATAGAGGACTAGATGCATAGACCTCAGTGTATTGTGCTTAGAACAAATCCTATTGTCCATTAAACTTTATCATAATCATGCATGGTAGATGATAGTATCTTCCATTTACAGGTAAGAGCTTTGGCACACACCCCCAGACATTTATATGAAACCCCAGAAAGTCATGCCCAGGAATAAAAAGTAAACCGGTTGTATTAGTCTACTCTCATGCTGCTAATAAAGACATACCCAAAATGGGGTAATTTATAAAAGAAAGGGGCTGGAGAGGCCTCACAATCATGGCGGAAGTTGAATGAGGAGCAAAGTCACGTCTTACATGGTGGCAGTCAAGAGAGTGTGTGCAGGGGAACTCCCATTAATAAAACCATCAGATCTCATGAGACTTATTCACTATCAAGAGAACAGCATGGGAAAAACCCACTCCTCATGACTCAATTACCTCCCACTGGGTCCCTCCCACTGCATCTGGGAATTATGGGAGCTACAATTCAAGATGAGATTTGAGTGGGGACACAGCCAAACCATGTCACCCAGGGACTAACGACAAAACCAAAGCAGACTTCCCTAAGAAAGCTGAAATCCAAGAATTGACAGGATCAAAATGACCCACTGGTATTTATCTGCCTTCCAGGAAAACACCCTACCTCATTACAAAGAAGGCATAATTCAGAGCCTCTGCATTGTATCATCCACAATGTACATTACACAATAATAAATTACTAGATGTAAGAAGAAGTAGGAAAAAGTGACCAAAAGTCAAAGTTTAAAAAACAGTCCATGAAAGCAAATGGATGCAGTTAGAAGACAGACTTCAAAATAACTGTGATCCATTTGTTAAAGGAAAGAGATGAAAAGACAGACAACATGGAAGAGGAGAGGGAGTATTTCAACAAAGAATTGGAATTATATAAAAAAGAATCAAATGGGAATTTTACAACTGCCAAAGGCAATATCTGACTTTAAGAACAATGTCTAACATATTGCAAAGGAAAGATCTAGCATTCATTGGATGGCTTTAATAGTAAAGTGGACACAGCAGAGACAGGAAAAGTGAGCTTGAATTCCTCAAAGCAAGTCATTACATTTCCAGATTGAAGCACACAGAAAAAAAAAAATAAGAATGGGACAATAGCAGAAGAGATTATAAGGGAGTTGTTGGACCCAGTCACAGGATTAGCATTTATAACTTTGGGATCCCAGGAGGGGAGGAGAGAGATGTGACAGGCACAACGTTTGGAAAAACCTGATGTACAGGAATTCCTTGTTTTATTGTGCTTTCCTTATTTAACTTTCCAGCTATTACATGTTTTACAAATAATTGAAAGTTTGTGGCAACCCTGGGTCAAGCATGTCTATTGGCCCATTTTTTCCAACAGTGTGTGCTCACATTTGTCTCTGTGTTACATTTTGATAATCCTCGCAATATTTTAAACTTTATTTATCATTATATATGTTATGGTGATCTGTGATCGGTGACCTTTGATGTTGCTATTGACATTGTTTTAGGGCACCACAAACCAGGCCCATATAAGATGACCAACTTCATCCATCAATGTCATGTGTGTTCTGACTGCTCTGCTGACCGGCCACCTCATCTCTCTCCCTCTCCTAGGGCCTCTCGATTCCCCAAGACACAACGGTATTGAAATTAGGCCAATTAATAACCCTACAAGGGCCTCTAAGTGTTCAAGTGAAAGGAAGAGTTGTATGTCTCTCACTTTAAATCAAAAGCTAGAAATGATTAAGCTCAGTGAGGAAGGCATGTTGAAAGAAGAGGCAGGCTGAAAGCTAAACTTCTTGCACCAGTTAACCATGTTCCAAATGCAAAGGAAAAGTTTTTGAAGAAAATTAAAAGTGCTACTCCAGTGAACACTGAAATGATAAGAAAGCAAAAGAGGTTGAGTGCTGAAATTGAAAAAGTTTTAGTGGTCTGGAAAGAAGACCAGAGCAGCCACAACATTCCCTTAAGCCAAAGCCGAATCCAGAGCAACGTCTTAATTCTCTCCAATTCTATGAAGCCTGAGAGAGGTGAGGAAGCTGCAGAAGAAAAGCTTGAAGCTAGCGGAGATTGGTTAATGAGGTTTAATGAAAGAAGCCGTCTCCAGAACATGAAGTGCAAGGTGAAGCAGCAAGTGCTGATGAAGAAGCTGCAGCAAATCATCCAGAAGATCCAGCTAAGATCACTGATGAAGGGGGCTCCACTAAACAACAGATTTTCAATGTAGATGAAACAGCCTTCTCTTGGAATAAGGAACTATCCAGGACTTTCATAGCTGTAGAGGAAAAGCCAATGCCTGGCTTTAAAGCTTTAAAGGACAGGCTGACTTATTAGAGGCTAATGCAGCCGGTGACTTTCAAGTTGAAGATGATGCTCATTTGTTATTACAAAAATCCTAGGGTCCTTAAACATTATGATAGATCGACTGTGCCTCTGCTCTATAAAAGGAACAATGAAGCACCTCTGTTTACAGCATGGTTTACTGAACGTTTTAAGCCCACTGTTGAGACCTAGCACAAAAAAAGATTCCTTTGAAAATGTTACTGTCGATTGACAATGCACCTAGTCACCCAAGAGCTCTGATGGAGGTGTACACGGAGATTAATATTGTTTTCATGCCTGCTAACGCAACATCCATTCTACAGCCCATGGATTAAGGAGTAATTCTGACTTTGAAGGCATATTATTTAAGGAGTACATTTTGTAAGGCTATAGCTGCTGTACCTAGTGATTCCTCTCTGATGGATCTGGGCAAAGTCAATTGAAAACCTTCTTGAAAGGATTCCTCATTCTAGATGCCATTTAGAACATTGGTGATTCATGGGAGGAGGTTAAGATATCCACGTTAACAGAAATGTGGAAAAAGTTGAATCCAATCTTCATGAATGACTTTGAGGGGTTCAAAACTTCTGTGGAGGAAGTAACTGCAGATGTGGTAAAGATAACAGAAGAGGTAGAAGTGGAGTCTGAAGATGGGACTGAATTCCTGCAATCTCATGATGAAACTTGGGTGGATAAGGAGTTGCTTCTTATGGATAAGCAGAGAAAGTTGTTTCTTGAGATGGAAACTAATCCTTGTGAAGGTGCTGTGAACATTGTTGAAATGACAACAAAGGATTCAGAATATTCCATAAACTGGGTTGATAAAGCAGTGGCAGAGTTTGAGAGAAGTGATTCGAATTTTGAAAGAAGTTCTACTCTGGGCAAAATCCTATCAAACAGCATCACTTGATACAGAAAAATCTTTCATGATAGAGAGTCAATTGATGTGACAAACTTCATTGTCTATTTTAAGAAATTGCCACAGCCACCCCAGCCTTCAGCAACCACCACCCTGATCAGTCAGCAGCCATCAACATTGAGGCAAGACCATCCACCAGCAAAAAGATTACAACTCACTGAAGGCTCAGATGATTGTTAGCAGTTTTTAGCAATAAATAAAGTATTCTTAAATTAAGGTGTGTACATTTTTAGGCATAATATTATAGCAAACTTAATAGACTACATAACTTTGATATGCACTGGGAAAGTAAAAAATTAGTATGACTCTCTTTATTGTGCCCTTAACTTTATTGCAGTCGTCTAGAACTGAACCTGCAATATCTTTGAGGTAATGCTGGTGTTTATAATGTAACATAGAAACTCTGAATTATGTTACATTCCTTTAAATAGGCCTGCATTTCACTCTGAGTGTGTTTTAAAGGTAATGTCAATGTGATTTACTGGCAGGTAAGATTGGAGTACGAGAAGAAAAAAGAGGAGTCAAGAGAGAATCTAAATCTAAACTCTTCGGCCTGAGCAACTGGAAGATAAATTTCCATTAACTCAAAAGACTTCAAGTGGGGCACAGTGAGGGGTGGAAGATCAAGCCTTAATTTTGGATAGATTACATTTCAGATTTCTATCAGATATCCAAGTAGAGCTATCAAGCAGATAGGTGGCTATACACATTTAGAGCTTCCTGGAGAGGTTCATAGTGGAGATACACAATTTTAGAATCCTTGGCACGTGAGACCAGGTGAGACAAATGTATACTGAAGGGAGATGAATTCCAAGGACTGAGCCCTGGGGAAGTACCATGTTAAGATGTTGGGGGAGAAATTTAAAATCGGCAAAAGAGACTGAAAAGGGGTATCCAGTGAGAAAAGCAAAGGCATGTGGTGCCCTAGAAGGCAGGTGAGCAAAGCGTTTCCAGGAGTAAGGAGAGGTCAACAATGTCAACTGCTGCTTTTGTGACTGCATTCCATGGTGGCTATCGGCCACCTTGCCAGGGGCAACTGCAGTGTGTGAAGAGGGTGCAGGTCTGAAGACATAAGGGAGGATGGGAGCTGAGGATTGATGCCCTTTGTTTAGAAGACACTCTCAGGAAGATTTCCTGAAAGGGAAACAGAGAAAGGGATGAGAGCTGGAGGGGCAAGTGGTGTCGGGAAAAGACTTTCTCAGGATGAGAGGAGCAATATCGTATTGACGCCGATGTGAGTGTCCTAGTGCAGATGGAAAAGGAATCATATTGTGGGGAGGGGTTATTGCTGGAATGATGTCCTTGGATGGGTGAGGTCTGGTCAACAGTTTTGAGTTTTCTGTTTTCTTCACTGCTTGCGTTCTGTCAACCTGTCCTGCTATTCACTTCTTAATGTAGTCTCTCGCTGTTCCAAACTAAACTCCATCCTCTCAATGTCTTCCCATCTCCTTACAGTCAGTACCAAAGAGTCAAGGGACTTGATCACAGATCCAATATTTTTAGATGTATCCCAGAGGCCCACGAGAATGCTGCCTTCCCTGAGATACCCAGCTAAACGGGGCCTGAGCCACAGGGCTAAGATCTATGTCCAGAGAGTCATGAGTTAACCAGCAAAAGCTCACGAAAAGTTTCCTTAGAGAGCCACAAACCCCACTGATGGCTCCAGAGGGAAGTAATGACTTGGATATCCATGATCTCCTTCATAGAGTCTTGACTTCCTCTTGGCTGAGGCAGAGTTCCCACTTCCTGTCCTCTGCCTTCCACTCTACCCATGCCAGCCTCCCAACACTTGCCATTGATAAATCTTGTTTAATTGGTCCTCCTGACATTATTGACTTATTAGCTGTTCCACTTAGAAGAAGCTAGAAATGAACCCATCATCTTCAAATATCAAATACAAATTTATATCAAATGGGGATTGAGCCAGCTCTCCCTCAACTCTTTTGAGACACAATGAAGGAAGATGCTAGAATCACGTGGGTGACACATACCTTTTACGTCTGTCATCAGAGTCATCATTAAATTGAATAACTCTACCGAGAAAGGGGCCATAGGAAGGCAGGCTCATTCAAACTATGCTTCCTTTAAAAAGAACCTATTCTTCCATAGAATACCTAGCAGTGTTCTAAATATTGCTGTGTTTAGAAGAAGGTCATTGGCTAGCAGACCAGAGAGATGGAATGAGCATAATGAACAGAATGAGAGACAGGTTCAGAGGCGCTTGTTGGATGTTTTTTAAGCAGTCACTGTGGACCAGATCTTTTGTGCATTAGCTCACTGAATGCCCCCTGGACCTGAGAAGGGAAGTGTTGTCTATATCATACAAGTGAGGGAGCTGGGGCTCAGAAAGGTGCAGTAACTGGCTCCAGGCCATGAAATTTGTGTCAGACCCAGAATTCAAATCTAGGTCAATCTGACACCAAAGTCCAGAGTGTTCCACAACTAAAGAGAAATGCTCTCAAATTTCCAGTGCCCTTCATGTGATCAATGAGGTTCATCTTAGCTTCACCCCAGAGAAGCATGGTATGTTCCATTGTCTGTGGCCTCAAGGAACACAGCTGTTTTCTAGTTGAAGTTGTCTGGATACCTACCATACATTCAATAAGAGTTCAGTCAGGTCTTCATGAAAGGTTCATTTTTTTGATCCTAACCCATAGGTTCAAAGAGGTTCACAGAGCCCTCAGGTACTGAGGGAAAGGTCTGCTCAGGGCACTTGATGTCTGCCTGGAAGTATAATTAGGGTCTGCATCCGGACAGGTAGGCGATGGAAAGCGGTCATTCTAAGTGGGCATAAGACTGGGCAGAAGAAAGAAAGGCGTGGGTAAAAATATGGCTTTTAGTTAATAAAAGCCCCCAGATTTGTTCACTCTCTCCTCTGTGCTGGCTGTTTGAAAGGCCTATGGGGAGAAATGGCAAAATATGGTTCTTGAAACACAGGGCAGTGTACACCCACAGCACTGGGCTCCTTACCCTAAGACTAGAATAGAACGTCCTTGGATGATGGATTGTCCTCATCTTCCTTTAGCCACACGAAAGCACCCAGGAAACTGTAAAGTACCACTAAGGTAAGCCTTCCTCTGATTACGCGCATCACAGTAGTTTAAAGCCATATTATTATGCCATTGGAGATTGTACTTCAGCCATGAGAAATTTAAGGGAATCAGGTATCTCATTTTCTTTTATTTTCTTTCCTTTTTTTTTTTTTTTTGGAGATGGAGTTTTGCTCTTGTTGCCCAGGCTGGAGTATAGTGGTACGATCGCAGCTCACTGCAACCTCTGCCTCCTGGGTTCAAGGAATACTCCAGCCTCAGCCTCCCAAGTAGCTGGGATTACAGGCATCTGTCACCATGCCCCAGTAATTTTTGAAGTTTTAGTAGAGATGAGGTTTTGCCATGTTGGCCAGGCTGGTGTCAAACTCCTGACCTCAGGTGATCCGCCCACCTCGGCCTCCCAAAGTGCTGGGATTACAGATATGAGTCATCATTTTCTTTCTATGATTATCCAGACTTTTATCTCTTTTAACAGTTGTACAATTTATTTGAGTCTTCATCACTATCAATAAAGTATTTTTAATAAAGTATCTTATATATGTATAATTATTTATAAATGATATATCATTGCATTAATGTATAGTGCTTTAAAACATAAGCTAAAATTGAAATCTTAAACTAATGAGCTATCTAGAAGTCCTAGAAGTTTCTTCCTGAAATCTTAAACTAATGAGATATCTAGAAGTCCTAGAAGTTTCTTCCTGTACCTCAATGAATCTCCTTGCAAATTTCTGGAGAACCTTGGCTTAGATCTTGAACCCTAGGAGACTGCCTTCCAAAATGGCAAACATGTTGTCTTAGGGCTGCCATAACCAAGTACCATAAACTGGGTCACTTAAACAACAGAAAGTTATCATCTCAGAGTTATGGAGTCCAGAAGTCAGAGATCAAGATGTTGGCAGGGGTGGTTTTTTTGGAAGACCGTGAGGAAGAGTCTATTCCATGCCCGTCTCCCGCCTGACGGTTGTTTGCCAGCAATCTCGTGTTCCTTGACTTGTGGAAGTGTCAGCCTAGCCTCTGCCTTCATCTTCCTGTGACATTCTCTAGTAAGGGTATAATTGCTAGTAGGGGGTATAATTTATAAAACAGCTAGCAGGGGCATCATTTATAAATGTCTCTGTGAAGCCCCTCCAACTTCGTTCCCAGTGAGAATTAGTAAGTTCTTTCTCTGTTCTTTTATAGAAAGTTTCCTTAATTTTTCTTTAACTCCTATGTATTCTATCTTATATAATGGTTGTCCTTGCAGATTTTCTCACAAAATTAAAAGCTTATCAGAGAAGATATGTTTTCCTTGACATTTTTGTTCACTTCCTTTCATCACAAGTCCCTATTTTTCCACATACTGACCCCAAACATTTTTTTTCAGAATCTCCTTGTACGTGGTGGTAGATGATCAATAAGTACATCTTGAATTACATTGACCTTTCTGTGGAGCATAAAATCCTTAGATATAATTAATGGTAACTTCCTGGCCAATTACCTTTGTACAAATAATTGACATTCACCAATTGCCTTTGATTCTCGCGCATGTGCCAGCACACAATCTCTCCCCCTTGTCCAGTGTTATTTTTTCCCACAGTTGTTAAAGGGAAAGTGCAGGCATTGCTGGTACGTGTGCAGGCTCACAGAATTTTACTTAATTAGGCAGAACTTGGCTAACATCTGGGGTGGAGACACGTTTTCCCCACAGAAAATTGCCTTGTTCACTCCAGATGAGTCATGTCCTGATGTCTTGGCCCGGGAGTGGGTGTTCAAGGGAATTGTGTCCCAGCCACTACCACCACGAAATGCTCTTTCTGTAAGTGGCAGGGATTTGGGATGATGCAGAAGCACCTGCAGTTCTCTACCAGCTTTGGAGGGAGTTATATTTTCCTGAGTGTCATGGAGACTTTAACTTAAACCTTCCGCATCCCTGCTTATCTGCTGACTTGGCTGTTAGACAGAGGTAGAATATATGATTAGCATCTTGCCTTATTGTTGCTATTCTTACTTATTTGGCCTTTATTAAACAACTAGTTGTTGCATTGGAATAGGCTATGATTTCCCAGTTTACTACTGATTAGCTATGTCGCTTTACATCAGCCTTCTGTCAACTCCAGCAGGTCTCTGTTGCTACATAGATTGTCCAATGTTAAGCAAAAAAAGATTAATTTCTTTCAATCAGTTCTTCACTTTCACATCACAGATCAGCTGGATTCACCACATAATTCTCTCGAGCTTTCACTCCAATGTTTTCTTTGTTGTTGTTGTTTGTTTGTTAAGAACAAGGTCAAATTAGGCAATGAGCTGTTCTGATAATAGTAATTGGAATATAGAAGTGACCTATGCCTTCTTGACTGCCTGGTGAAGTCATTTGTTCTAGAGAGCTGGCCATGTCCATGTTGGACAAACTCAGCGTTCCCACGGCAGCATCCAAGACTGTGTCCACACTGGAGCAGTGTGAGGAAGCCATGGAGAATCTCACTACTGTTTCAGTAAAATGGGCATAAAGGGCTTTGTTCTTCTAAGAAAACATGGATGAAATATTTTTAAATGATACATAAACTTTGAGACAACCAAATAAAGTTCTAGCAAAAGTGCCTGACATGTAGTTACCCACCCTTACAAGTACATATTTTGTGTCAGACACTTCACAATGATCTTAGTTAATTGTCACAATGAGCTTTCAATACTATTTGATACATGAGGAAATTGAGGCACAGAGAAGTTAAGTCATTTGCCAAAGTTCACATAGCTGGTAAGTGGCAGATCCAGGATCAGAAGCCAGGGATGGGCCAAACCTATAATCCATTCTGTGTACTCTCCTGGGCCCACAGGCTTCCCGAAGATTTCAGTCTCCTCTGCCTATTCCGACAGGTGAGGAGTTTGCACATCCACATGGATTTTCAATATGGATTGTGTCTAGCGTGGACAGAGATCACCAGCCTGGGGCATGGCTCACTCCTCAACTCCGCAATGTACTGCCATGCTTTTGAGGAGTTGCTTCACACAATGACATAATGGAACCATTCCATTTCCCTTCTATGAATGACCTTTTATTAGCTTGAGAGAGCAGCTTACATACCAGTGATTCAGTATCAAAAAGCAGAATTATTTGTTTTTGAGAAGGCTCACCACCCACCTGCATGTTCCCTTCTGCTAAACCCCCTCCCTCAGACTTGAAGACAGGAAGTTACAGGCGATAAAACATAAGGCCCTTGTTAATTGCAAATTAGCAGTGCCAGGAATATATGCAGATGGCACCTGAGGTCAATTGCTGACAGCGTCCTATTCTGGTTATATTTTTCTTTTCTGCCATGCAACTGTGCAGTAAGCAAAGAGAGGGTGGTCTTAGGTTCTTGTTTAGTTCTGCATTTCTGTGGGATGAAATCCATGTTCTTGGCCTACCACTGTTTTTATTTTTTAAATTCGGTGGTTTTTGCTTTTATTTACTCACTCACTTTAACCAGTTTCAGGCTTTGGTAGTTTCCGGGACACAGGTGTGGCTCTCTGGACATGCATGAGGCATGGAATAGATGACACTTGCTTAGCTAGTAAATATCAGGCTGCATGAATTTGCACATTCTCGAGTGATCAGTTGTGAACCTCCAGTATTGTAATAGACCCATGGGAACATTTGTGCTTTTGCTGACACTCTGATTACATTCATCAAATGATTTTTTTTTTCTTTCAAGGCTGGCATTTCAGTAAATTTTTTAAAGGTTGCATGCCAACTGACAAAGTCAATTAATTAAATGCAAAATTCAAAATTGGTAGGAAATAATGATCACTGTACCAAACTGGATGACCTGGGGGAAATAAAAAAAACATTTCTGACTTCCAGCTGATGAAAGGAATGCTTTGGTTGGGACTCTGATGTAGAAGGGATTCGATATTGGCCACATTAACAGCTACTTGGAAAATAAGCCTTGCTCCAGGATTTTGACAGAAATGTAGGCTCCACAGCTTAGGACAAGTGACAGTGCAACTGGCGACACCTGATGGACCTCTGCTAGGCTACTGGACCACGTCTTAGCCTGACCTTCTGAAACATCCGTCCATCCTCCCATCTTCGTGATTGTGTCCCAGAGAAGAGCTGGGTCAGACCCAGGCCTGTCTGGCTATAAACTCTTACATCTGGAGGGAGTGGTTGGAGTGTTCTATTGTAGCAACCCGCCTTTTTCTAGGGAAGTAGAAGCCCCTGCTTGGCTCTCCCATGCTGATATTTAGCACAGCCAGCCTGGGGATGGGCATCTGTGTAGGGGGCAGTGTGACCTAGGCCATGGCCAACTCCTGAGCCTCGGTCCTCAGGGAGGCTGGAGGCAGCATAAACAGCTGATGTGATGCAGCAGGTTGGAAATCTGAAGTCTGTGGGAGCTTGGCTCGCCCTTCCTGGCACAAAATGAACCCATCCATGCCCACCTCTCACCATGTTAAAAATGGAACCAGTCATGACGACCCATGGGCATTCCTTGTTTGTGGCTCTCCTGTAATTAAAAGTGCTGTGCAAACTCTGAATAATAGCAGGAACACATGTTTAAAATCTGGGCTTTCCTCCAGCCATGCCCCCCTGAAATGCCCTCTTATACAACATCCCCTTCAAGTTCCCTTTCCAATGTATCTCACTTTGCTATGTGGGTGTATCCTGCCCACCCCCTCCATGCTCTGGAGTGTGTCCTCCCACCTCCTCCAGAGTTGATCATCACGGTGGGATTTCAGCCCTGGGTTCAGGCCCACAGGGAGGCACTTGTGTTCAGAGAGCCTTCCAGCCCACTTTGTTTCTTACTACCTCTGCTTGTATAATACCATTAAGGAGAGTAAAATCTCCTGCAGGCCATTGTTGTGCAAACTAACTGAGAAAATGTGTGCTAAAGCACATATAGGGAAATGCAGAAATGTAAGTATAGATTCCAAATGCCAGTATTGAAGATCCTTCCTGAAGGATATCAGTTCCCTAGATCTCATCCTTCCTGCAGAGAAAGGAGAGAGCTTGGGGTTGGGTGTTGGGGGTGGTGAGGTGATGGAATACTAAGCCCAGCTGCTAATGGCTGAGTTCTTATGAAGTGGTCAAACTTGGGTGGTTTGCACATGCTTTTGGTAGTCCCCACAGCCACCAGCCAGCCTCCAAAGCTGCAGGTGGCAAAGTCCAGGCACTCCTGGCAGGGATGTTTCGTGGTCTCTGTGGGTAGGTCTCCTGCTGGGGCAATGTTGAACTGAGACTCTCCCACTCCATTTCTGCCTTGGTTCTTTTACCCCCACTTCTCCATCTAGGCATCCAGCACGCTGGACTTTCAGAGAAAAGAAGTGCTATTGTGCACGGGCAGGCCTAGGCTACACAAATAAAGAGATGGGATCGGTATAAAGGACCACACAATCTTTAGGAAAGGCAGAAATAAAAGGGTCCCTACATGTTCCTCCCATCAACTATGCCTGGCAAACAGTGAGAACTTAATAAATACTCAGCTGTTGAAGGACCAAGTTCAGAATCGGGGCTGTGGAGTTTGGGAGGGAAGAGGCAAGAAAAGCCTTTTTGGAGGAGATCAGAGTCTGCACAGGTGCTGAAAGATGGAGAGAATTTGAGAGAAGTGATGGAAGAAGCTTGGCATTGCTGGGCTGGCTCCATCGATTAAATATCTTGGAGCAGGATATGAACTGATGGAGGGTCTTACATTTACTCAAGCCCTTGGGTGAGTCCACAGGTAACAGGGCATGGGGCAGATTGCTACAATCTAGGATGATAAAGAAGGCTTCTTTACTACAGAAGACTTCTGTCAGTGGTGTGCTGGATGGACTAGAGTCAAGAGAGGCTAGAGGGTATTGAGGAAGAGAGGGTATTTTCTGCCACAGGTGGGGCTCCTAAAACAGGGAGTTTGAAAATCCAGACTTGGCTAGTGTTACTCTCATTTTTTTTTTCTTGTAGACTCTGTTACTCATTTGGCTTGGGAATACCCAAGGCCTCCACATTCCCTTTATACTGTAGTTCTTTAAGCAGATTTGATTTATTATTTTTGCCTTTGGGGAGAGAGAGATACCCAACAACCTCTAGGGTCTACACTCCCCTTCTTTAGTGGGTTTTGTTTGCCCCTAGATGAATTTGCCTGATTAGCTTCTCCCAGATGACAAAAGGCCTTTGTGGAGTGCTGATGGGCCATTTAACCCCTTGTCTTCAGTTTCACTGGCAACAAAACCAAGCTGATAATACCTGCTTCCGAGGATTGGTGTGGGGTCAGGAGATCATTGATGGGAAAGTGCTTTTAGCCTTTTCAGGAAGAACAACTTTGCGTGTCACAAAAGGATTTGTTCCTTTGAAGAGGCTTTCCTGTTTTATCCATTTAAACACTCGTTAAAGGGACTTTGAGGGTATCCTTTGAAGGGAAACTTGAGGTGGCTCCGACAAGTCTTTGAGAGTGGGATTCCTTCAGGTCCTTTTCTGTAGCTAAAGGGTTGGGGTTGAAGATAATCATAGTAAGACAGGGTGCCTCTGTGGGAGTATTCCCTTGCAGGGATGGGGCAGATTATAGAGGAGGAGGAAGAGGTGGAGGAAGAGGAGGAAAATCTATTTGGGTTTGTTGAGACTTTTACTCTGGAAAACTGGAATTCTAGTGAGGAATCATGGATTCCAACAACTAAAATTATGTTTGCATGCCCAATAGTTATAGTAAGAGGCATTAGCAAAGTGCTTTAGAATGTATGGAATTATTTTTGTTGTTATCACATTTTGATCCTGTTAACAGCTCTTTGGTACTGTTATTATTGGGATCTTTCTTTAACATCCTTTTTTTTAAATGGAGGTACAGAAAGGAAACATAATTTATCATTTGCTCAAGAGGCAGATGTTATCACCCTGTTTCTGTTTCTTCATGTTAAAATTGCCCACCATGTGGCCCGGTTTCCCAACAGCTTATGAGATGGACCCATACAGGTGAAAATGAAACTGTTATGCCAAGGCCACAAATGTATGAAAAATGACAGGAGAGACCCACCAACACGCATTATCAGAAACAGCATCAGTTCTGGCTGCTTAGCGGCCCTTGGAGCATTTACAGAGGAAAATCATTTACACTTCACAATGACCGTATGCAGCCGATATTTCTACTATCCCTATTTTCAGATTTGAAAATGGAGAATTAAGAAATGAAAAACATCTAGCCTAAGGTCACACAATTAGCAGATGGCAGCTGGATCTGTTTCCCAGTCAATCTTGTCCAGGCTGTTTGCCGTGACGACTCTGTTGAATGGGCTCAGGAATTGAGGGTAGGTTTGGGGTGGGAGAGTGTGCCCCCTGGTTAGAGCAGAAACCTATTCAAAGAGAGCCATGCTCCTCTTTTCCTCCTTAGTCTACCGGATGCATCATAAGGTTCAGGGATGAGACATGGTGGAAGGACTGGAGAGATAAGAAGCTGCTGGCTTCCCTGCCAGCACTGCCTGCCAACCTGTGGGCACGATTTGGTCTTTGCTTTCCTTTTACCTAGCATGTTGGAGCCACGCTCGGCACTGGGGTCTTTTCTCGGTGCACAGGCAGGCTGAGTTACCAGATTCAGGATCAGGAGAGCACCTGTACCCCAGACATAAGCAGCAGAGTGGGCCACCCAGAGCTAAGCGGTAGCACAGATAATGCATAATTTTTTTGTTTTGTTTTGTTTTGTTTTGTTTTTTTTGAGATGGAGTCTCACTCTGTCACCCAGGCTGAAGTGCAGTGGTGCAATCTTGGCTCACTGCAACCTCTGCCTCCTGGGTCAAGTGATTCTCTTGCTTCAGCATCCCGAGTAGCTGCGATTACAGGCATGCACCACCACACCTGGCTAATTTTTGTATTTTTCTTAGAGATGGGGTTTCACCATGTTGGCCAGGCTGGTCTCAAACTCCTGACCTCAAGTGATCCGCCCGCCTCAGCCTCCCAAAGTGCTGGGATTACAGGTGTGAGCCACCGTGCCCGGCCAATAATGCACAGTCTTCAAACACTCCCTCAGTTGCATCCTGCATCCTGTGCTCTGAAATGCCTTTGGAGAGATGAGTCCTGAGCACAATACGTTTAGAATGTGCTGGAAATGCCCCCAATCCAGTATAGAATAATCGCCCCATATGGCTGCAGTTCAGCTGCTGATAAGGCAGCCCCTTGTGCTGGTCATGTTGTCTTTTTCCTAGTAGTTACATAAAATCCAAACAACTCTAAATGCGCTGCCTACACGGGCTGTATTAAGCTTGGCAAATGGAGTGATCCATTCTTAGTATGCACCAAGTTCGATTGTGTCCTTTGCTGCCTTTCAACACTCAACTTAAACTTGAAAGAGGTTTTTCTCACTGTGGGAATGAAAAAGCACCACTGGAAAAAAAAACAAAAAACATCTCACTGGCAAATTAACAGATAAAGGTCTACCCTGCTGACACAATGCCAAGCAGAGGTAAACATTCAATCTTTTTATCACAGCAAAGGCATTTCTCCTAAACTGGAGCAATAATGTAGGTTGGAACACAGGAACAGTTTCTCCTTTTAAATGTGATTTTCAAGTTTGAGATCTAAAACTGCAATTGAAACGGGCACTTACTTGTAAATGACAATCCTATTCTTCTTTAGATTATACCACATTTATTAAATTTTTATGACAATTTATAAAGATGGCCAAGCAATAAAAGTTAGGCCATGATAGCAGAGTGAACTATGAGGCTATTTCTAAATAGCATTTTCAGCATATTAATTGTTGCTTAGATAACAGTCCTATCTCTTCGGGGCCTCTGTTTGGGTTTAACTCCAGAGCCAGCAAATTAATCCAGTCATTATATGGCTGAAAGCTGTATCATTTACCAGTTCATTATTGTTCAAATCAAAATCCATACTTTTCTGGATGTCTCCAGGGTTATGAACTAGATAGGGAAGCCTTATCATTCTGCAAAATAATCTCTCATGGTTCTCTCTCCCCTGCATTAAAAGAAACAGCCCATTACATTACATTAATTTTCATATTGATAGGTCCTTGCTGAAGAGCAAGTTGAGGCGTGGCCTTTCTCATTCCATCTCACCACCTTCTTCTTTGACCCTGCCACCTGCCCGGCAGGTAGAGTGGAAGCCCCGATTCCTTATCTTTCTCCAAATCTCAAGTCACGGACGTGACCCAGCTTAATTTTAATCAAAATAACCATCTACCCCTCTGCCTCCTAATTTTCAGATCGTGGCTACTCAAATATGGATGCAGTTTGTGAACTTGGGTTGCTAAAAGAGTTTCTCTAAGAGCAGGTGCAGGTCTACATGCTGCTGAGTGTTCCTTCCATGCAGAGAGTGGTAGGCAGAGCCAGTGAGCTGCATTAGAGGGGGATTAGGAAGCTATAATAAAAGATACTAAATTCCAGTTTCTTACAGATTAGCACATTTTAAACCAAGTGCAGCTTCCCACGCCATGGAACAAATTTTACCCTTATTCTAGCACTTAGCTCTTAACGAGTTTGATTAAACAACATTTTACCTGAACAAATAATGTTGCAAACTTGAGATCAAAATCTGAATTTTTTTTTTTTTAATTTAGAATACGAGCAGGGACAGGAGGAGAATTGTTGATTTCCAAGTGGGTTATTGTCTTTCTGACTCACTGAGCAGCGTTCCTTCCTTTTTTTGTTTTCTTCCTGCTCACCAGCATTTGCCACCTCCGTTTTTACCTAGTGCCCATAGGAAGTTGAATGTGGAAGGGTGCAGAGTGGAATCACAAACAACACATGTTTCAGACGGAGCATTTTTCCCTAGAATTTTTCAGCAGCCGGAGAAACACAGTGAGTATTTCGGGTACTCTCTGCATATGATCACTTCACTCCTACAACCCAGTAAGAGGCAGCTCTGGAAGGCTCCAGGGAAGGGAAGGTGCTGCTGGCTGAATACGTAGAAAGCCGAGAGCGGGTGTGTGTTTTGGAGACAGAATCTTAGCACCTTTCTGAAGCTGGCATGTGGTTATCTTAGCTGCGAACGCATGACGCTCAGCTGCTTCATTTGCCTAGGACTCCCCGTTCTAGGACACCACCTACATCCCAGCATATGACTTTACGGCAAGCTTCATTTCTTTCTGATGGAATTAATCATCAATGTGCTCTAGGACTGGGCCTTTCCACATTGGCATGTGAAGAGCATTTGTTTCTTGTTTAGACAGTCCATGATTTTCTCCATTGCTTTGATGGTAAAGCTTTTCATATCAAGCACTGTTCATTATCAGAGTTCCTTTTCTAGAAAGACAATGGGATGAAGACATTTTCCAAAAACACTATTGCAGGGAATGAGATGATGGAGAGGACGATGAGAACGCCATCCCGTGGGGACCAGTTATAATGACTTACATCAGTCTCATTGGAACCATTTCAGAATTTATTCAAATGGCAAAACACTCTTTTTAAGATGAAACAAGATTCAGTTCTGCAACCCAAGTTGGCACCAATGTGCCGAGGCCCCATTTGATAGTTCTTTGTAAATTAAAGTATTTATAACTTCGCTCCATTTACTGCCCCAAGTTACAAGAAATGGAATTCTACTTGGGTTTCTTGATGCTGTGGTCTCTCATGTTCAGTTTGGAATGGCTGTGGGCTTTGCTGGGATATTAACTGCACCAAGGGGCTTAGACTGATGCTTCTAGTTGGCACTTCCACTCTGGGGCACTGGAGGCCAGCCAAACACATTTTTCTGCTGTGTGTTTTGCTATGAGGAAGTCTCCCTTTCAGAAATCTGCTCTGATGGGTGCTATTATTTTTATTTACATGTGGAGTGAGAATCTACTAAGAGGAAGGCCCAGCAAGATGCATATGGTGTTGGTAAAAATTGTAGACCTGGGCTACATTCATTTTAAAATTGAATTGGATTTTCTCATTATGCACTGGCCTGGAATGTGCTTTACTGAATCAGTCATTTTTGTTCGTTCTTATTTCAGTGGAAATGGAAATCAGGGCATCATGCAGGATCAGAGAATAATATATTTTGTGGTTCATGCACTTGGAAAGGACAAACAAGAACTGGCCAGAATGGACACAGGCTTTTGTTCTTCAGTGCTGCCACTGTTCCAGAATCCGATCAGACAAAGTGGTATTGTCTTCTCTTTCCCTCTCTTGTTGAGAAAAGGAAAGAAAGGGGGCTGGCAGATGGTTTCATGCAAAAAGATACGTTAAAGAAAGTACTCACTAGGTGCATTCGTCTAGGACTTGGTTTCTTCAGACATTAAATGGGCATAATAATTAGGCCTCATAGGGTTGTCATGAAACTAATTGATAGATTAAAGCGAGTTTAGAACAGTGCTGGCACATAAAACTAAATACATGTTAACTGCTATGCTACTGCTACTACTACTAGTACTACTATTACTACTACTACAACTGCTAGTACTATTACGACTCCTGCTGCTACTACTAGTAGTACTATTACCACCACTACTGCTACTACTATTGCTACTACTACTACAACTGATCATCATCACCATAATCATTATTGATCATATCTAAACTGCTTTTTGGAGGCTACAGATGTTTTTACCAGAAGCTGTATAAATCCATGTATGTCAGATGGCTTCCATTCCTTACTGGCTCCATAATTTGGGGAAATCTACTTAAACTATGTGAACCTCAGTGTCTTCACTTTTAGGTGGAGACAGTAATGGCTCCCATACTGGGAAGCGCTGTGTTGATGTGGCTTAGTGATGGTGGTTACCGCTGTTCTTTCATTCATGTGCAAGCCATTCGGTCATTCTCCCTCACGCTGTGGCTCTCACTGTGATTCACCCCAGAGGCATCCTTTGAGCATCTTCTTTGCACCAAGTATGTTGCTGTTTTTCTCATGTCAGTCTCTGACCCACATCTGCACCTTTACACTTGCCTGAGATACTGTAAATTGGAGTGAAGCTCATATCTATTAGATATTAATTAGCTATATATAGATGATTAATTTTCCTATAATGGCCATGTTTATTCTTGTGAATTTAAGGTGACAATGGGCTTCTTTTGGTTCATAATCATGACAATTATTCTTCCAAATGATCCAAATGTTAACCTGGTGATATTCTTTCTTTTTCTTGTGAGGATGTCTAAGAGTTAAGAGGTTTGATCCAAAGGAGAAAAGCAGAAGATGTAAGATAACCATTCCAACAGCAGCTTTGGGTGAAATTGATTCACATTGATCACCTATTCAACAGAGTACTGAGTATGAGATATGCTTCACGGTGTCTGTTGATTGCCCTGATTAGAGAGATTCAGAGTTAGAGTTCTTGGAGTCTTTGTGTACCTCCTTCTAACTCTTCTCTAGAGGAAAGGGACCCAGCCTGTGGCACAAGTATGTACTCAAGTACTTACAGAGAGGAGTTAGGTGCTGTTTGCTGAAAAGGCATCTCACCATCGCATCAGACTTTTGTTCCCAGGGGTTCATTTCAGAAGATATAGCATGACTTTTAGGGCATATCCAAATCCCTGTCAGAATACACCAGATGCATCTTGCTTCTCACTCTCCATCTCTTTTATTTTAAAAATAGATGCTATTGTAGCTTTGGAGTCCCTGACCAAGAAGGCAACGGGGCTGGATTCTATTCCTGGCCCTGCTGCTGTTGTCTTGCTGCCTGGCAATTCACTTGACCTTTCTTCCCTTTTTTTCCCCTAAGGAAGACGCCTGCTGTGGATAGACCCCATGGGGGCGTTGGGAGGGTTTCAGGAATGAATACAACTATCTCAGGCTATAATACGATGCTGCCAGCCACTTTGAGGCTCTGGGATGAAAGATGCTGTGTGAAAGAGAATTGTTATTACATTTTGTTAAAAATATGGATCAAAGGCTGGCTATACAGTAAGTGCTAAATGTTAATTATTGTTATAATATCATAACAAAGCAGATGCCAGAATGCTAGATCCCATGAGAAAATCCATTATAATAAGCCAGTGTGAAATGTACATATTACAAAGATATTTGGCAAGAAGGCAGATTTGGTTTTGAAATCTCAATGAACAATTAAGTAGAATAAAAAATAACTTTTAATGCTATGACAAATATAAGTGTCTTGACAACTCTTTAACATAAAAATAAGGAGCTGCCTTTTCCCCATACAAAAGAGGCAGCATTGTTTCTTTCTTTTTCCCCTGAGCAAAAGATATATTTCCTTGGACATGGAAGAAAAAAGTAATATTTGTCTTTACAATGACCCCTTCGACAGCCCTCTTTATGACAGGTAGATCCAGGAGAAAATTCTCTAAGTTTATAATAGCGCAATGAGCAAATCTATTTTTAAATGGGTTCAGAGTCTACTGCCTGTTTCTCTTTCCTTCTGTTTTTTTTTTTTTTTTTTTTTTTTTTGACGTTGTTTCACTCTTGTTGCCCAGGCTGAAGTGCAATGGTGCGATCTCAGCATCTCAGCTCACTGCGACCTCCACCTCCTGGATTCAAGTGATTCTCCTGGTTCAGCATCCCGAGTAGCTGGGATTATAGGCATGTGCCACCACGTCTGGCTAATTTTGTGCTTTTAGTAGAGATGGGGTTTCTCCACGTTGGGCAGGCTGGTCTCAAACTCACGACCTCAGGTGATCTGCCCGCCTCGGCCTCCCAAAGTGCTGGGATTATAGGCATAAGCCACCGCTCCTGGCCCAAATGCATGTTCTATTTGATGGTGTTAGAGAATGGACTTTGATACGTATTCATAAATGCCACCAGCTTTTTTGGGCTCAAGCTTTTCACCTATTTTCAGATCTAAAGTGCATAGTCCATTATGTGATATCAGCTGGAAAAAGGAAGAGAAAGAGGGAGAGAAGGCATAGGAAGATGGATTTAGAAAGAGAGCCCTATCCTAAAAAAAAGACCGAGGTCAAGAGAACGTAATTTTTATATCCTAGTGCTTTTTAAGAATGGATCATGCATGAATTCACCTAGCATGCTAATTTTTTCCCCCAGAATATTGTGAGAAATGAATAACCAACTCTCAGGGGAAAGAAGAAGTCTGTATTTGCACTGGGCTATGTATTACCTTTGAGGAAGAAAGGGAGAGTGGAGGACAACCGCACACCTCAGAGCAAATTTGCAGTAGATCGTGTACCCTCTGCTGATAGGATTATGGCCAGATTATAATTATAATTGCCTTGGCTGTGACTCTGTGTTTATTTGCCTTGACATGGACCCAGCCACCTAACTCATTCCACACTCACTTCAGTTTTTCCCTTTGAACTAATTTTGCAGTTACAATAACTTCTAAGAATACATCTGTTGACTGGACATGGTGGCTCACGCCTGTAATCCCAGCACTTTGGGAGGTCGAGGCAGGTGGATCACCTAAGGTCAGGAGTTCGAGACCAGCCTGCCTAGCATGGTAAAACCCCGTCTCTACTAAAAATACAAAAACTACTGGGGCGTGGTGGCAGGCGCCTGTAATCCCAGCTGCTCAGGAGGCTGAGGCAGGAGAATTGCTTGAACCTGAGAGGCGGAGGTTTCAGTGAGCCAAGATCGTGCCACTGCATTTCAGCCTGGTGACAGAGCAAGACTCTGTCTCAAACAAACAAACAAACAAACAAGAATGCATCTGTTACAGGAAATCAACAAACTCCATATTTGTCAGTCAGTTGGTCAGTTATGTGAAGGGGAGAAGATAAGAAATCAAATACAATAACAAATAACTTGTTTGGGATTAGAGTTGGAATGTGAAAACATCTAGGCTTTTGCATTAAAACAAAGCATTCAGGATGACTCACAATAGAGGCCAAGGGAAACCACTGCCCCTGTGCCTGTGAACTTCAATGGGACAAACCTGCAAAAATGCCTGGTCTCTGGAAGAAGCAGCCACACCAGATGAACATGGGCTTGGGCTGGGACTGGGCCCCAGTGGGGCTGGAGGAGTGTGAACAAGGATCCTGCCTTTCTCAGGACACGGTCATCATTTCTGCAGCCCCCGTAATATCAAGGAGTTTCACGAGTGCTTTGGAGCCATTTCTTAAACTTAAGTGGGGAGTTGAATGACAGCCTCAGCACTGCCCTCAGGATTTCTTGGGAAAATGAACAGGGCAGGTGAGATGCAGGTACGTGAAGAGAAGCTAGGGGGAAGGTGGGGGCCCCATCAGGTCCCAGCCTCTTACAGTAATTCCCAAGACAAGGGGCTGAGTATCAGAGTGAAAGCCCTTGAAGAAGCCTCCGTGTCTCTACGCTGGACAGCTCTCTCTCGGCCTGCTCTTCAGCAACTGGTGTAAAAATTAGGGCCATTCCTGGTGTTCATTTTAAGTTTGGATTCCTATGGTGTTCCATTCATTTTTACAACCAACCTTGCTTATGAAGGCACGTCCACCAGGTGCCAGGCCAGAGGGACGTAAAGTGAGCTGAGACCCTGCCCTGCCCTTGGCCTGCTAGATACCTAGTGGGAGGCACAGCTCCAGGAAGCCAAGCTCAGAGAAGATTCCTGCAGAGATTCCAGAGCCAGGAGAAAGTGAGGGGCTGGAAGTGAGGAAAGCTGTCAGAGAGCAGGGACCCTGATCTAAGTTTTCTCAAAGGAGGAAGTGCACTCCTCAGGAGGCCAGGTATCCATGAAAAGAGTCAAACTCTGTAAAATATTTGAAGAGATTTATTCTCAGCCAAATATGAATGACCATGGCCCATGCCACAGCCCTCAGGAGGCCCTGAGAACAAGTGTCCAAGGTGGTCGGGTACAGTTTGGTTTTATACATTTGAGGGAGGCATGAGACATCAATCAAATACATTTAAGAAATACATTGGTTTGGTCCAGAAAGGTGGGATAACTCAAAGTGGGGGCTTCCAGGCTATTGGTAAATTTAAACATTTTCTGGTTGACAATTGGTTGAGTTTGTCTAAAGACCTGGGATTGATAGAAAGGTTAAGATAAAAGATTGTGGAGACAAAAGTTCCTTTGAAGTCTTGTAGTGGCTGCCCTAGAGACAACAGATGACAAATGTTTCCTATTCAGATCTATAAAAGGTGCTAGACTCTTAGTTAATCTCTTGAGGAGTGGGAGGGCCTGGAAGATAAAGATCTAGCTATGTTAGCAGAGATTCTTTGCAGATGCAGATTTTCCCCCACAAAGGACAGCTTTGCAGGGCCATTTCAAGATACAGCAAATAAACATGTTTTGGGGTAAAATATTTTGATTTTCTTCCTTGTCTTGTAATGTTATACCAGAGTCACGTTGGAAAGTAAGTCACAATATATAGGGTCAAATAAAACTCATCTGATGAGAATGTATGGTTTGTAGGGCATGACTCCCCAGACTCCTTAAATAGGAATTTGGGCAAAATAAAAAAAATCAGAGCTTAGTCCTCATAGGCTAGGGAAGAAACCATGTGGGCAAAGAAAGGGTAGTGAGAAACCACTGTGATTCCAGGGGTGGCAGGAAGCTCTGTGCCCTGATACCATGCCCAGGCCTGGGGGTGGGGGGTGGAGGTAAAATCAGGTTCCAATCAGGCTTAGAATGTGTGTCACAGGCTGAATGGTGTCCTCCTGAATTTATATGTAGGAGTCCTCACCTCCAGGAGCTTAGAATGTGACTGTGTTTGGAGATAGGATGTTTATAGGGCGATCAAGTTAAAATGAGTCCTTTAGGGCGAGCTTTGATCCAGCATGACCCATATCTTTATTAAAAGTGGAAATTTGGATGCAGAGACGGATGCATAGAGGGAAGACGAGTTGAAGAGACGCAGGGAGAAGAGGACCACCTGCCAGCCAGGGAGACAGGCCTGGAAGCCTTCTCCCTCCCAGCCCTCAGAAGGAACTGGCCTGCTAACACCTGGCTCCCCGGCAGCTGGCCTTCAAGGCTGCATGATGACACATTTCTCTTGTGTAAGCCACAGGCTTATGATGCTTCGTTAGGCAGCCCTTACAATGGCGCTGAGCAGCTTGGGCTCTTCACACCTCTCGGTGGATCTATTCCCCTAGGCATCAGGTTACAATGCAGGTTTGGACTTGGCAGGGTTGGCGTGGGCCAGACACTCGGTGTGACTGACAGCCCCCGGCTGCTGCCAGTGCTGTGGGTCTGCTGACCACACCATGAGGAACAAGGCATTAGACCAAAGATTCTAAAACCAAGCTTCACTGAAGAAGCTCCTGGGGAGATTTTAAAAAATACTGGTGTCAGGACTCCACCAAAGATGGATGGCTTTAGAGACTAGGGTCGGGGCTGGGCCCTGGTATTCATCCTCCAGCACTCTGGGGAGGCTGCTGAACAGGCAGAGTTGAGAATTCCTTGGCCTGGGGGAACCACTGCAGTGTGCTGCCTCGCAAGAGAGTGGGGCTAGGGCTGTGTGAGATGTGTCACCTCTGGTCAGGCCAAGTGGGGAAACTGCCACAGATTGAAGCTCTTTCCAGGTTTCCTGGATTTGCCTAAGAACAAAATACGAACAGTACAATTACAATGCGTCAGTTCAAAAAATAAATTAATTAAAAAATTAACAAAACCCCACACTAACAAACCTCATCAACAAGGGGGCATGGCTCTGAAAAAATAGACTGGGACCATCACAGCTGAGGAGAGGCCTAGGGGAAGGAAAAACATTTATACCCTGGGGGAGGGAAAGAAACACTACCAGCCCCAGACACAGTCCTGCCCAAAGGCTGAGGCTTCCTGAGATGGTAGAATGTGCCCAGACTGCCACTCCAGTGGCATCCAGCATCATAAAGTGGGTTAAAAGGAAGGATCTGTAAGACACAGACTCTCTTTGGGGAGCAACACAGAGGGAAGGCCCAAAGCCAAGGGGGAAGACACGAATAAGGACACCAGGGAAAAAGCTTCAGGCACCAGTATCTGCAGCACCCGTTAAACACAGCCTAGCTCTTGCCAGATTAATACAAACCCAGGAGTGTTCCGTTTGATGCCAAAAACTCATGTTTTTCTCACTACAAACACGCCCATGAGTTATCATACCAAATTATTTCAACAACCAACAAAGCCTTTTAAATTATGAAAACAGAGATGAAAATAAGACTTCACCAGCTTCAAGATATGGTTCCTATGTGTTGAGTGCTAATTATATTCTAGACTCACATGGTACTGTCCTTAATCCTCATTTGTTGTAATAATTTTCAGTGTACTTTCTGATAGGGCTTGGAAGGGTGAAGTCACCAGGCAAAAGTCATAGGCGCTACTTGTTGCAGCAGAACTGGAAACCAGATTTGCTGCAGCTGAAGCTGGTGCTGTCACTACCACGCCATGCTGCTTTTTATAGGAGCTTCAGCTCTAGAGGCAGGCAGCCCTCTTGCAATGGGACTTAGTCCATGTTAGAGAAAAACCTGCTTGCTTGAATATAATTATTGCTTTGTTTGGGTGTGTAGATTATTCACTGAAAACAGCCTCGGGAAAACAGGGCCTTCAAAAGAGATAAAAGAAAATACCAGACCAATGGCTCTGGGCATCGGCTGACGCACCTGATAAGAATAGGCTGGTGGCCCCTGCGGAAGATCTCAAAACATTGACCAAGAAAGCAATGATTAACTTCCCACCTGAGACTGCATACGTTTCACGATAATGTTTTGATGATGTTTCCCTTAATTTTCCCTTAAAAATCCCTGATCCAGAGGCATATCTCAGAGAGGTGGTCTTTGAATGCTAGTTCACGGCCTCCCCTGCATTGCCAGCTTCTGGAATGAAGCTAACTTTCCTTTCACCAAAGCTCCTCTCTTGAGTTTTTGGCTTTCAGGCATCAAGTGTCCTAGACCTGAGTTCGTTTATATTATGATAGGGTAAAAATTATGGAAACCCAACTGTGATCCATGTTTTCTCTGATGGGCGGGCAAGGTCACCGTGCTGATAAGAGGAACCAAGCTTGCCCAGACAGCCTGCAAAGAAACAGGGAAACCGACCTGAGCTCCCCAGGGTGGGTGGTTCAGAGGAAGTAATGAACATAGTTTTGGAGACAGAGCAAGTTCCTCTAGCTCTAAGTGACATTTTGTGACACCTCCTGATAAAGAATCGAGTACTTGGGGCTTTCCTGGGAGGAGGACTCTGCACATAGAATTACTGGGCTCCCTTGTCAGAATGGGTGGGGGATTGTCCCAAGCCCATGGGCCAATCCCGGCTTCAGTTAGCTTTTAGAATATTTTTATTAAAAATGCTACTGATGGGAAAATACCCCACAACATTTCCTCAACACTATTGAAGCACTCGTCATTGGGAGTGTGCGTGGCACAGGATTTTAGAACAAAAAGCACGAGCCTTGGGTGTTTGTGTTGGGGAGACCCAGATGAGAACCCGAGGACTTAGAGCTCAAGTGTGGGATCCTTGAGGAACAGTCCAGAGTATCTGGGGAGACTTGGGGAGCAGCGGCTACTGGTCCTCTTGCATTGAACTTTGTTTGCTCTACTTGGTGACTTTCGTCTTCCCTGCTGGACTCTCAGCTGCATGGGGCAGAACCCACCCTGGCTGAGGGGAGGCTGTCAGCCTTGGAGAGTGGTGCCTGTTCAGGAAGGGAGTGCTGAGCCTCTGGCAGGAGACACCTCCAGCTGATTGTGGGCTGGGGAGGGTGGAGCAGAGGTTGGAGGGACGAAATAGGAGAGTGGGCACCAAGCAATATGTTCTTGGGGTATTGTTCAGAAGTGAACACCACCAGATAATTTTTTTAGGGACAGACTATGTCCTTGTAAAGGGCAGGCTACTCAAGAGACACCACAACTGTAGCTGTGTCAGCTTATGATAGGCTCTCAGGAAAGTTGCCTTTGGCAATGACCCTCACCATGGCTGTATTAGTCTGTTCTCACACTGCTGATAAAGACATACCAGAGACTGGGCAATTTACAAAAGAAAGAGGTTTAATTGGATTTTCAGTTCCATATGGCTGAGAAGCCTCACAATCATGGCAAAAGGCAAGGAAGAGCAAGTCACATCTTACATGGATGGCAGCAGGCAAAAGGAATGAGAGCCAAGCAAAAGGGGTTTCTCCTTATAAAACCGTCAGGTTGAGACTTATTCACAACCACAAGAACAGTATGGGAGAACCACCACCATGATTCAATTATCTCCCACCAGGTCCCTCCTACAACAACGGGAATAATGGGAGATACAATTCAAGATGAGATTTGGCTGGGGACACAGCCAAACTATATCAGTGGCCTCAAAGCAGATTTTACTGAACAAATATCTAAGAATATCTAAGGGAGCTCAGGGATGGTGATCACCACTCACTTGGCAAAAATTTGTTGTTCATCCACTAAGCAACAGTCTCTGTGCCGGGTGCCAAGGATGCAGGGATCAATAATGGTTCTAGGTTGAACAAAACCTAAAATGTTAGAAAATAACATCAGATTTTGGATATCAGGACAGAGGGACTGTGAAAAAAATCCTACCACCCTTTGTGCATACAGGGCTATTCCCATCTGAACCGATGTTAAGGAAACCAGCTCTCAGAGGCGTATTGTTTGGAGTACATTGAGTTATCCATCTGGTCCAGCTTATGTAAATACCTAGCACTGCTGGGTGTCCCAGGGTCATCTCATGTAAGGATGCAAAATTTTATCTTTGGGTAAATTTATCTTTGGACACTCTGTCCACTATTTCAGTAGCAAAGGAAGTTCAACTACAAAAATCTAGTTTTCTAAAAACAGGGAGTAATCATTATTCTTTTCTTTACAATTCCATTATGCAGAAATCTATCCTGGAGTAGTTTTCAGGGTATTTATTTTTATTTTAAAAAACTACTTATAAAATAAGTGTTTTCTAGGGTCATAGTACATTCAGGGTAGCGAAAGGTAGGGACCAACTCTAGGTTAGATTCTGCAGTATTTATTCTTTTTATTTAAGCACCAATTAATGGGATAAGACCTTTATGTCTCTGGTAAAACCCAAGCAGTGCTTCCTGAAGGATTTGAGTCGTTAATTGGCTTCAGGGTTGAAGCTTAGCAGGGAAGCCACTCTTCCATTACACGGGAGTTGCTGCTAGCCAGAAGCCAGATCCCGACAGGAACATCTGACATCACCTCTCAGCCGGGTGCGGCCAGTGCCCAGCTCCGGGTCCTGGCCAGAGTACGGGTGGCTGGCAGGGACGTGCCCTTCCGCACATTGCCCCGATCTCCAGAAGGCTCTCTGCAGTGGATTCTCTGTGACATAGCCTGCTTGAAGCAGGGATCTGAGCTTTGCGACAGCAGCTCGTGGCCAAGAGCCAGTCCAAGTTCTACACGTGGCCACACTCGAGGGCATGCTAATTAGGACATTTGGACTGTATTTTATTAATGGCCTTTGGCAAAAGTCCACTAAGAACTCTGATGCCTATACCACTGGCAAGTGAGATTCCAAATTTGCTGTTCTCCCCAAAGCCACCACAGAGAAGCTTTTGGTAAGACTGCGAGCTCTCCCAGATGCACCAACGGCTTCAAAAAGGGGGAAATAAAAATCCAACTTTCCCTTCTGAAACAGATATACTGTTGGCTGAAGAGATTTTTTTTGCTTTGAAAAAATGTCATTGATAAATCCTGAAGCTAAATGTAGAAATTCTAGAGAGAAAAATCATGATTGGATCAGATCTTTTTTTATAAAGCCAAAGAAAATGTACTGGAAAATTCCTAGTAACTGAAAGTAACTTTTGTGAAGTCAGGAACTTCCAAACTAAACACATTTACAAATCCAGCCCTCTGCTGAGTAATTCTGAGCAAAGTGATTTGAGTGTGGCATTCAGTGAAATCTTATTTTTGCTATGCAAATCAGCTAGGGCATTTATGAGTGACAATAACACGAAGTTGATCTGCAAATCGGGTATTAGCTGTGTTGAAGATTTTCCTTTTTGCCAGTCCTAGGAAAGCTTTAGTATCTCCATAGATGAATTTATTTACTTTGTCATCATCTATTTCTCGAGCTCCGGCTGGTTGATAGGCTCTGAGTAAGTGCTGGGATATGGGCGTGAAGGAAGCAGACAGACCTGCCTTCACGCTTACGTGCTCTGTGGGGAACAGAGACTGGATTCAAAAATAAAATGTGTGCTTTATTCCACAGGCATTTATTGAGTTTCTGTGCTGTCCTATGGAGGAAGGAAAGATGACAGGGTCCAGGAGTGTGGTCAAGGCCTCTCCTGGCTGGCCAAGTGTTGACCCCAGGGTGGAGGTATAGACATGCATGTTGTGTTTCGAGGGTGGGTTTTGAGGATGAAGACCCAACTCACATGTTGCCAAATGCACAGTGTTTGAGGACAGGGTGAGGCTACAGGGAAGGAGGGCCTCGTGTTGGGAGGGAAGACCTGAGACTTCTAGAAGCCCGTGGCTTCCTCTGGGAACATTCCTGTGGGCAGCAGGGCCTGGCTGCTGATGGTCACCCAAGTGTCCTCAGCAACTCCTCCCTCCCGATGCCTGCTCAGCTTGCCTAGCCTGGCCTGCACAGCAGGAGAGGGGGCCAGCTGTCTCTTCCAGCCCCTGGCCTGCTCCTGCTCTTCTCCAGGAGGGGAGAGGCAGAAGCCCGGTGCCTGGGTGTGTTGTATTAACTCCTTCTTTATATGCCAAGAGCCTGAATTCTCCCGGCTCCAGTGCAACACAACTTGATTCCACAACTTGGACTTTTCTCTTGCTTCTCACTTTTAACTGGGTGCAGCTAGAGGTGATGGTCTCAACACACAAAGACTAGCAGAGTATAAGTGTGGCCATTCAGCTGTGAGCTTCCAGCCGTGTTATCCTGGCATAGCCCAGGGTGATGTCCTTGCTACAGTGCCATTGAATATATTTGGAAACAGAGGAGCATGAAGACACATACCCTAGTCTCTAGTTTTGCCCTGAGCTTTGGAGTCTGTCATGTTAGCTGTTGGAGTGGAGGAAGAGTCAGAATGCAATGAATGTGGTTGCCTGGATTCCTGCATTTGCCCAGGGCAGGGTGGGCTGGGGGCTGTATATAGTATGGACCAGCCCACTGGTGGGAGTCTGAGGGACTCAGGCTGGCAGGGGAGATCTCATCTGGACTCCTAAGGACCCAGAGGTTAAGGCAGGGAACAAATCTGAGTTCTGGGGTGATATGGGTGAAACTTGAAGTCCACTGAAATTTAAAGTCCAATGTCCAATCTGTTGTCCAAATAGAGTGGTCCTGGAGCCAATATAGGCATTGGTATTATGGGATCAGAGAGCCTGGAGATGTAGGCTCCAGTGATGTCCAGGGTTGGTGATCTGCAGTAATTCCTGAGGCGAAGTGGGAGAGGGGAGAAGAGGAGTTACTTGAGGCAAGTGACAAGCCACAGCTGGTATTCTTGTGGCCTGCTGTGTAGATAGGCCATTCCAGTTTCTCTTGAAGACTGGCATAGGGAGAACACCGTGTTCTGTCTGCCTGTTCTGTCATAGCCCCTTTCTGACCCTGGCTGCCTGGTGTGTCCCTAGCTGAGAATGGCCCTGCCCTTTTCCTTAGACAGGGATAACCTTTCCAATTTACACCTCATTCAATCCTCAGTGTAAATGTTTGCAAGGAAAAAATCAGCTTGTTATTTCGACTGCAGTATTTATACCCACCCATAAAACTACACATGGAAATGACAAACAAATTTATTTGCCATTTTTGAAAATTTGGCCCTTAAAGGGCATTAGCAAGAACATTGTGCCATTAGCACAGATTGTTTCTAAAACACTTGAAAAGATCCAAATTCTACTGAATTTGGGGGCCAAGTAGATTGAAAATTGTATCTTAAATTCCAGGATCTCCATGTAGTTTAGTGTGCACATTAGAAAAGAGAGCCATTTAGAAACGACCTTTATCATGCAAGGAGATGGATCTGAACCTGGATACATGTACATTCGAGTATCCAGTCATCCGTGGGCCATAGAAGGGCCCTTCACAGACACCTCCTGAGGGAGACCAGAGTGCAGTGGGCTGGGACCTCCTGCTGGGGCACTAGGGCTTGGGACGGGGGTAAGGTGGTGTATTAGTCAGTTCTCACGCTACTAATAAAGACATACCCAAGACTATGTAATTTATAAAGGAAAGTGAGTTTGTGAAACTCACAGTTCAGCATGGCTGGGGAGGCCTCAGGAAGCTTACAATCATGGCAGAAGGGGAAGCAAACATGTACTTCTTCACATAGTGACAGGAAGGAGAAGTGCAGAGTGAAGGGTGGGGAAAGCCCCTTACCAAACCATCATATATTGTGAGAACTCACTATCATGAGAACAGCATGGAGGTAACCGTCACCATGATTCAATTACCTCCCACTGGTTCCCTCCCGTGACATGTGGAGATTATGGGAACTATAATTCAAGATGAGATTTGAGTGGGGACACAAAGCCTAACCATATCAGGTGAGCTTGCTCCATGGTCTTCAATGCCTGATGGTTCCTTCTGAAGCACCCATGTCCCTGGGCGAGCACTCAGTGCTCCTGCCTTCCCTTTCTTCAGTAGCTCCTCACTGCCCATGGGAAAAGGCACACATGTCTTCCAACCTGCCACTCTCTACACAAACTCCAGGCTCGCTCTATACCATAGCCTCTTGGGTTGCCCCCCAGACCATGATCTGGCAGTTTCCTTGTCTGGAATCTTCTTCAAAAGTGGGATGACTGAGTCTCCTGTGCCATGTCCCTGGGACCTGCCTTCTGCCCCAAGCCGGGCAGCCAGAATCTCTCTCCTGGGAATTGCAAGAGTTGGCTGGAGCCTACCTGACAGAGGCCTGATGCACAGCCACCTGAGGGCCACAGACATGGTTTGTGAAGCTTCCCTGGCTCTGGCCACTCCATGGGGCTCAGTTTTCAGTCTTCCTTCTGTTCTGAGATCTATCTTTATAAAGTCCACTTTTTTCCTTAGCCGTAATAGGTAGTTATTGAGAGCTTATTATGTGCGTTCCTAAGCACTTTATGTATCGTCTTTCATTTGTTTAAAAAACTCTTACTACTTTGATATCACGGACGAGAAAACTAAGGCTCAGAAAGGTTATGTAGCTCCCTCAAGCAAACAAGGCTGGTGCTTTAATGCTTGGGCCACATGGCCTGTTTAAGTATTTCAATCACGTTGTCCATTTCTGTAGCTTGTGAGCAAAAGGACCTTACAGGATTCATCCTTTCTCATGCCTCCTCTAGGGTGACCTCATGGCTCTAGGTCCCAGCATCTCTGTGCTGGCTTTTTTGACTAGGTCATGCAGCATTAGAGGTTCCCTCCTCTGAACTCCAATAGAACATGGTCCATATTTATTTCATAGCTTTTGTTTACTTTTTATGCCTTCTTCAGTGGTAAAGTCCCTGAGTTATTTATATCCATTGCCTGGAGCAAAGTAGGAGTTTAATGCATATTTATTGAAGGAAAGTGCTTTCTTCTTCCCTAGAGTGGATAAACAGGAGGGAAAGAGAAAGGAAAGAGAGCAAGCCGGTGATAACAGTAGACATCTACTGTGGGCCTCAGCTTCATCTGTGCCTTCAATACAGGGCAGGTGCATCGACCTCAGGGTGAGAATTATTTTATGTTCAATTCCAGTAAGACCAAATAACCTGGCCTGAATTATTGCATTAAAATAATTTAGGAACTATTAATATATGTTGGTGGTCTTACCAAGTCTCAGGAGATACTAGGAAAGAGGAAGTTGGAGTGAGGAGGGAGGTGGCCACTGCTGGAGGATCTGGCTGGGGCCTGAGAGTGGGAGGAGACCAGAGGAGGAAGTGGCTCTTTCTGACTAGAGTGCCCAAAGTCTCCACTGCTAAGTGGCATCGGGGTTCAAGTTCAATAGCAAAGGGGGTGCCACCTGTGAGACTAAGGCCTGGCCAGGGAGGAGCCATCCCTGTGCTGGGAAGGGAGAGGTTGGTGGGAGGGTGTCTGGAGCTTCCATACTGTATTTGTAACAGGAGTAAAATCAAACTTGGTCCAAGGGGACATTGCAGCGAGCCTGTCAGTCTCTACCCCTGGCATTGTTATCGAGGGGGGAAAGAATGGCTATTTTAAAGGCTGGCTGAAGTTTGTGCTCTTGGCTTTAACACTGTGGCTCTTGGTCACTGGGACCCTTTTAAAACGAAGGTTCCTAAACTCCCGCTAAAAAATCTGTAATCCAGTGGGATCTGCATTTTAGTAGGCACTCAAAGTGATTATGATGTGAGGGGTTCTTTGCAAACCATTTCCCAGAGCCCCCATGGTGAGGACACATTATTGGACAATCTGTGAAGGAGCCTTTTGGTTATTTGATCAGATCATGGTTCTGGGGGAGTCTAGTTTGGAGTGGTTGAGACCAAGAGGATGTAAGTGTTTTGCATAGAAGGAAAACAGGAACCTTCTTGGAGTAGACAGGTTGTTCTGCTATAAAGTAATTTGCATTTTCTTACGGGCAAATCCTAGAAATGGGGATTTCAGTTGAGAATTGTGGTGGGAGGTAGGATAAGAACTCTAGGGGAAAAAGCTTGCTGGCCGCTGCCAACAGTTTGGGACCACAGCCCTGGCGGGGCCAGCCAGGGTCCCCTCTGGAAGCTAAACTTCAGCAGCAAAGACATGGGGTTTTATTTCTGGTCTGTACAGCAATTCTCCTCTTTTATACCCAGCCCTTCACTAAAGGTCTGTTACACGTGACAGTACTGGATGAGGGAAGTCTGAGAGTTAAAGGCCTGGATCCCTGCTTACCTGTGGAGCCGAGTGGCAGGGAAGATAGACATAACTGAGATGGTGTGTTTGTTTCTTGAAGCTGCCATGACAAAACTCCACAAACTGGGTGGCTTGACACCACAGAAATTCATTATTTCAGAATTCTGGAAGCCAGGAGTCTAAAATCAAGGTGTTGGCAGGGGTTCACTCTCTCTGAAACCTGAAACCTTTCTGAAGTGGACCCAGTTACTTTCATTTTAGGGTGAAGGACTTTAGTACGATGGTCAAGACAAGAACCGTGGAGTCAGAATGCCTGCATGCAGATCTCATCACCATGGGTAAGTGGCAAGAGCTGGGCGAAAGGCTAATCTCTGGGGCTGTCCGTGTTCTCATGTGTGAAGGAGAATTCTCTGTTGTCTGTTCCAGCTTCTGGTGTTGCCGGCCATCCTTTGCACTCCCGTCTTGCGGCTGTGTTGCTCCAGTCTCTGCCTCTGTTGTTACATTGCATCTGCTGTGCATCTATGTCCACATTTCCCTCTTCTTATAAGGACAGAGGGCCCATCCTAATGACCTCATTTTAACCTGATTACATCTGCAAAGACCCTATTTCCAAATGAGGTCATGTTCACAGACGCCCGGGGTTAGGACTTGAACAGATCCATTTTGAGGGCACACACAATTCAACCTATAACAGAGGGCTAGATGTGAGACGGTGCCCCCTCCTACCCTTCACTCTGTCTCAAAATCTTTAGAAATATTTTGATGGAGACTAAATTCCTGGTAGAAATATCAGCAATCTCTGAAATGACAGTTTGGGTATTTTTTCCAGAATATTATAAGACAAGGTGACCCCAGATGAACTTGGGCCCACTCTGGTTACATACGTGTCATGAGTGCTTAGTGAACTGTGTGTCAAATGAATTACCTAACTTCATTTGTACCATGGCCAACTCTGTGTCATCATTGCAGGATTCAAGTCTGGCTTGTCTGGGGCCAAGCTGAGTTCTCCATGCAGAGAGGTACTTAATAAAGGCTTCCAATGTTTGTGCAATGAAATGAAAGATCTGCGGGGCTGTTAGGTTCTCAGACAAAAAGATTGCTATGCAAATTCAGAGCCTCATTATTTCACCAAAGGTTGAAAAACTAAAAACAGATCTGGTAGCATAGTCCCCTTGGTTGGCAGGAGCAGTGCTTTGGACCCGGGTCACATTCTGATGTCTCCTTGATCATAAACACCTGGTTCCCAAAGCGTCCGCAGTTTGTTTCATTTTTAAAGACCAGGATGGCAAATTTAAAATTCAAATTCTTTTGAACAGCGGAGAGAATGTAGCTATAAAAGTGTTTCAGACCACAGTGTTTTAAATGAAGGTTAATTTTCTGATAAAATAGGAAATGAAGGAAAAATTATCTCCCTGCACGCAAGCATGGTTTAGAATACTATAGCTCAATTAGATGTTCTGATTGTGCAAACAATCAGCCTCATGTCTTGTTAAACTTCTCTTTTTCAAATTATGAAGCTTTTCTATACTAAGATTAGCAGGAATATTAAGGGTAGAACAGATAAAAGATCCATCTGAGCCAGAAGAAAAATTATAACTTAAGAAGTCTCAAAACGAAATGAACTTCCAAAAATCCCATGGTGTGTCCAACATTATTAAAAAATTGTCCAGCATGAAAATTAACTCCTAGACTCAGAGGAAAGAAGTTATTATTCTTTGCTTTAAGATACTGAGTACATTTTACTCAATGGAATTTTGCTTTGCACATACAGAAATACGTTATACATCATGCATGTTAATCAGACCTATGCAAGATATTGTTTGCAAAGTAGTTTTGGGGATACAGGGTGTTTACTTCACAGGGGCTGGGTTCAGGGGAAAGGGAAGCAAAGACCATTAGAACGTCTTACGTTTTGCTGCAAAGCAATTTTGATACCATAAGTTTTTATAAGTATATGACTTCTGATTTATTCTCAAGCATTTATATTTAACTTTCACTGGGTTGTATCCAGAGCAAAGAGCCATACAGTCATTTTGTGCTGCGTGCGTCTTTTCTACTTTCAGGGCTTGTAGTAAGGTTACAGAATGTGCTGGCACTTCCCAGAGTTTGTCTATTAAGCGAATGAGCGATGCATCATCTTGGTGAGATATTTGGTCCATTTCGCGCCTCTCTCTTCTCATTCCCGCCCTCCACATTTGTTTCCCTGTAGCTGGGCCTCTCCTGTTCTGATGGCAGCCGTGCATCCTGGCCACATCTACCTAGGTGGCTTCTCCTGGAATTTCTTCTGGTTATCCTTCCAGCCTTTGTGTCAGCTCTGAGGCCACATCTTTCAGGAAGCTCTATCTGCCCACCAGGCTCCCCACTGCTGGGTGGCTCCTCCCTGCTTCCCTGAACGTTCTGGACCTTTGCACAGTTCTGACCTTGCTGCTTCCTGGCTGTCTCCAATCTGAACTCTAAGCTCGATGGGTGTAATGTGTGGGTTGGGCTTGCTCTGGTGTCTCTGGCAGGTGGCACCAGGCCTGATATGTAGTGGGTGCTTGACTGCTGTCTGTTGCTCTTAGAAAAAGTAATAATTGAGTATATTTGGGAGTTCCCAGAGGAGACACACAGAGACTCTCCTTTGAAGATGAGATACACTCTTATAAAACCTGAAAAATTTGACCCTAAAATCTCCCTAGAACTGAGAGGGCTATGCAGAGGTTGCCTGGGATGAAGGTTCATTACACTATGATTCCCAGGTTAGGATGAGGGTTGAGGGGATGAAGACATTTTAGGCAGATAAGTGGCCAGGAGTTTAGCAGATTTCATCACTTTATTTGGGCCAATGCAGTGAATTATTGAAAATAATAGTGGATGAGACTTTATGTCATCTCAGAAAAGGGAGCTAAGAAGCACTGTCCTGTGTACTTTACATCAATCCATCATTTTCTGAGGTGGATTCAGGTATTAGCATTTTATTTATTTACGTATTGAGTTTTGAGAGGAAGACTCACTCTGTTGCCCAGGCTGGAGTGCAGTGGTGTGATCTCAGCTCACTGCAACCTCCACCTCATGAGTTCAAGTGATTCTCCTGCCTCAGCCTCCGGAGTAGCTGGGACTACAGGTGTGTGCCACCATGTCTCGCTGATTTTTTTGTATTTTTCATTACAGATGGGGTTTTGCCATGTTGGCCAGGCTAGTCTCGAACTCCTAACTTCAGGTAATCTACCACGTTGGCCTTCCAAATTGCTGGGATTACAGGGGTGAGCCACTGCATCCGGCCAGGTACTTGCATTTTAGAGTGAAGGACTTTAGTATAATGGTCATGACAAGAACTTTGAAGTCAGACTGCCTACGTACAAATCTTTTCTCCATGTATAGAAGGTAAGGGCCAGGCACGGTGGCTCATGCCTATAATCCCAGCACTTTGGGAGCCCGAGGCAGGTGGATCATGAGGTCAGGCAATCGAGACCATCCTGGTTAACATGGTGAAACCACATCTCTACTAAAAATACAAAAAAATAGCTGGGCTATGCCTGTAGTCCCAGTTACTTGGGAGGCTGAGGCAGGAGGATCACTTGAACCTGGGAAGCGGAGGTCGGAGTGAGCCGAGATGGCGTCATTGCACTCCTGCCTGGGTGACAGAGCGAGACTCTGTCTCAGAAAAAAAAAAGAAGGTCAGATCTAGGAAAAGGGCTCATCTCTGGGTGCCTCAGTTGTCTCATGTGTAAAGTGGGATTTAAAAAGCACCATGAAGTTGTAGTATAGCTGAGATGGATGATATAAGCAAACATTTAGCATAGTGCTTAGCAAAGAATGCTCAGTAAATACCTTATTCCAAATTGAGAAACTGAGCTTCAGAGGACTTCAGCTCCTCATGTGATCATTACTCAGCTAAGGAGGAGAGACTGGGTTTTGAATGCAGATTGATCTGTCTTACAAAAGATTGGGGTTTTCCTACTCTACCGGATGGTTTCCCTGGAAACCCACTGCCAAGCCTTTGTTATGTGCACCGCGGTTTGACATTAGTATGTGTTCTGAGCCTTCTTTTGACGCCTGCATTTTGCTGCAATGAATTTAGGGATTTCCCCCAAGTCATTTTGCATAATCAAGGATGGCCTGGATGTTGTCTCATCAGAGCCACCTGAAGACCATGGACATTTTCTTGGAAACTGAAACTATAGAAACTATATGTTATTGCTTCTAACTTCTTAGTTTTCAAAAGACATTCTTGGACCCGGCTGCAAAGTCCTATAAATTAAATTGAAATCAGCCACATTTATGATAGGGTTGTTACAAAGCTGTAAGTGTTCTGAATTTATGACTCTGCTCACATTCAGCTGTTCACTGCTTCTGCTTCTAGGTCTTTCTATCCTGTGTGGGACAGAATTTATATTTGTGGGTAAGATCATTATAAATCTTTTATGTACCGCAAGTGCAATTTCAAATGTTTGCAAGCATGCAGAACTAGGTCCATGAGATATCTGCTATATTTCATGGATTACGGCTTTGTCTCAGTAGTGGGGGAAAAAATATCCCTCAAACCCAAACCCAAACATTGAACTTTGTAACTGGCCACTAACTCTCACTGAAGAGGAAATAATTGTTGGTGAAGCTAAACTTCGACTCTGTGGATGTTGCTTTAAAATTCTCTTCTTTTTCATGTTTTAAAAAATAAGTCCCATGAATGACCATCTTTCCAAATGTCCCTTCCAGCCTTCTAGCTGAGTTCAGTGAGAAAGGAACAATTTGTCTGCATCAGAATTTCATGTGTACTTTTGCAGCAATCAGCATTGAAAGTGAGGACACAACTGAGCAGCTGGCTGGCTCTTTCCTCATTATTTTTTGGAAAGTTGACCCTGAACTTTTGTGTCATCGAAGTCAAACTGCCAAAGAAAATGTAGATATCTGGGGAAGTCTTTAAAAAAAATTATTGTGAAAATGAAACGGTTTTTGTATCTTTTGCAAACGGACAGCTGGAGACCCGGTGCAGCCACACTGGGGACTCTGGTTTTCCTGTCTCTGTGAGCTTTAGGGCGGCAGGGTGAGGCATCATGGCTATTCTGACAAGAAACTGGGAATCAAACACACCACTTGAGTGATGCAACCAAATTAAAAGGGAAAAGAGAATATAATGAAGTATCATTAAAAGCAAATAATGAGATAGATTTTAATATGCACAAACATTTTTTGCTGACTTGGTGCTTTGGAGCACGAGGCTGTCGATTTTGCTGTGTTGTCAGTAGGAAATGATTCCCAAATTAATCCAGGCAACAGAATCATCTGGAGGAACTTTAAAAAAATACACATTTAGGGCCCCATCTCAGACCCACATCAGAATTGCCGTGGTCACAGCTCATGTCTCTGTTTTAAGGAGATCTGTAGACTGGTTTGGGAAACTGGAGCATAGTTTTATGGTCACACTTTCTCTGTATCTTTTTGAAAATATGTGCAGATTACTTTGGAGTTACCCTTTTATAGGGGAGAATTCTAGAGTAAGTTGTGCTTTAGGGATTCTCACCTCCCTTCTATACATAGAAAATTGAACCCCAGAAAGGTTTGCTACTTGGTCTAGGTTGCACAGCTGCTGGAGGCAGTCAGGATTTGAACCCAGGCCTTCAGTTGCCCCACCCAGGGATCTTTCAGTCCTGCTCTGTGATTTCTGTGATTTCTTAGTCCTGCTCTGAAGCAGCCCAGTGGACTATAGTGAATGCAGACAAGCCCTGCAGGTTATCGAAAATTTTTCAGTTTTCTAGGGAAACACAGTGCTACTCAACATCTGTCAGGCAGTGTGTGGACTACTAGTTGAGATGGTTCAGTCTCAACAGTGGGTCCTGCTGTATTCCTTTTAATAACATACCTTTGCAAAGCTGGATTTTTGGAAGTGGCTTAGATAAAAAGTCCCTATTGTGGAAAAATCAGTATGAAACTGGAAATGAGAGTAGCAATGTCCACTCTGAGTCCAGGGATTGAGAAGTTGTGTGGGGCCCTAAGGATATATACAGCTATTAGTAAATAACTATTTTAGAATGAAATAAAAATGGCCTCTTTTCTTTCAATTTGTGTCTTATTTTTCAAATGGCTTCTAGCTTCCTAGGACATACACGCTTATAACCGAAGAAGTACTTAATAAGGGGAACCATTAGAAATTTCTTTTGGCACAAGGGCACTGTGAACAAATTACAGAGATGCTAGGGCACTTTGAGCAAAGAAAGTTTGAGAACTGGGTCATGCTGCCTTCCACTGCACACACTGAATTTTTACTTGGGCATTCCAAAGCTTTGGCTTCATTGGTTTAAAAAAACTAACAAACAGATGACATCTTCTCTTCTCTTGGTATCATTGGCCTCACCATTTATTTCATGTCGCTTAATTGCAGGCAAATCTATTTATGAATGTTTCAGATGACAGTAGTTTTTGTGACAGCAGCAAAACTCCTGAAAATGAGTTTCTCCTGAAATGAGGCTGTATTCAGAGTTCTTGGAGGAGGAGCAGGTTGCTGAGAGCACGAATGAATAGAGGGCAGTTCATCTAGCCAAAATATCTGCCCTACTGCCTGTTGGTCTACCATTATAACCCCATTCCTATGCGTTCTGCTGATAGTAGGGTCTTCAAGAAACTCCACAGAAATGCAGAGGTTTCTTGGCAGCCAAATCTTGGTAAGCTTTAGTTGTTACTAAAGAGTCAGACTGGAGGAAGAGGATGCAGTTTACCTGATTCTGGAGGTAGAAAATTCCAGGAGGGTGTGGGGCTCAAGGGTTGTCCCCCTAAAGGTTTGCAGAAAAATCACTACCATGAGGCAGATTAACAGGAGAAAAAGCGTACACATTTATGTCACATGTATACACGGGAAACTTCAGAATGAAGCCCCAAGCCCAGATGAGGTACAGAAGCTTCCTGAGGTTGCAAAAAGAATGTGGACTCAGAGCATGGCCCCAAACAGGTTATGGTGGTAAATTAGGATTTAGTGGAAAGACAGATTGTGAGAAGGAAAAGGAAGACGCCTGGGTGGCAAAGGTGACCTTAGTATGTAGACAAAGCCTCTCAGGTAGTAGCCCTCAGAGAGAGTAGATGCTGCTTCTTTTCAGGCTTTTAAAGGTGACAGACTCTCAGTTTTTCTCCTAGATCCAGGAAAGACCTAGAAAGAGAAGGCCTGGCTACATCACTGGAGATTCTCTACAGATGCAAGTTTCCCCCACCTCAGTCTGCCTGCCCTGCAGCAGCCATTTCAAAGTATGGGATAAAATGGTTTGATTTCCTTCAAGGAAAACTCAAATGGAAAGATGGACAGCCTGCTTATGGAGCAGTTCTACCTATGAGTGGTTGGCTTTGTCATAGGGAAGTAGCCACATACAAGGGCCATAAAGCTGAAATAGCCACATGCAAGTGTTTGAAGGGGAAAAGCAATTGTCCTCATGGAGAGCTCTGATTCTGGAGCTAATTCAGATTTTGCCAAACGATTCGTTACACTTTTTAGTTATCTTGTTTAATAGATAAAAACAACTTTTTCCACTTACTGTTTTTACCTTTCTTGAAGCCTTTTTTTTTTTTTTTCCTGGTCTCATTTAGTTTTTGCCACAACCCTTGGGAAGTAGGAGGTCAGGGTTATCCTTCCTGATCTTAACAGACAGGGACCAGAGCGGGTAGATGACTTGAGCTGATTAAGGAGGAAAAGCAACAGGACCTTAGACTTGGTCCCTTAGTCCAGTGCTCTTTCCTCTGCCACCTCTTTATGGGTGTAAGAAAATGTTAAAGATGAGTGTGATTATGAACTTAAAAGATAAACAAACACTGATTCTGGGCTCTAACGAAGCTAGGGGCCATCGCCCAATGCTGCAGTCACAGTCAGGGCCCTTGGTTCAGCCCTCATGCTCCTCTAACGCCCGTTACCTTTTTTCCTGTTTTTTGTTTTGTTGTTTGTTTTGGGACAGGGTCTCACTCTCTCTCTCAGGTTGGAGTGCAGTGCACGATCTCTGCTCACTGCAACTTTCATCCTCCTTGCTCAAGCCATCTTCCCGCCTCAGCCTCCCGAGCAGATAGGACTATAGGCAAACATCACCAGGCCTGGCTAATTTTAAAATTTTTTGTAGAGATGACATCTCACTATATTGCCCAGGCTAGTCTCAAACTCCTGGGCTCAAGTAATCCACTCACCTCAGTCTCCGAAAGTGCTGGGATTACAGGCATGAGCCACTGCACCCTGCCCTTCCCCATTACTTTGACTATTGCTATTTATTTATCACCTATTGTGTACCAAGCATATTGCATCTTCCCTTTTAGGTTCCTTAAATATAATCTTAAAATGTGATCATTGGCACAGAATTCAGCTTTCTGAGTTACTACATTTCCCAAAACATGAGGTTGAAAGGGACTTTCTTCACAGAGGCAGGCAGTGTGTCTGTCTGTCTGTCAGAGCTATATGGGCTCTCCCAGCTCCACAAGGTCCTCCCCATTTATGTGCCCTACAGGTGTAAAATCAAAGGAGGGGCAAAATTGTTTTGTTGTAGGAGAGACGAGCACATGAAGGAAATGTCTGCACAACTGGAGTGCCGGGAGAACAATAAAGCCAATCCCATAGAGAGGAAGCACACAGGGTGTCTCCATGTCTCCAATGGAATAAATCATCTGCAAGGGCTGTGGTTAATGTTCGGTCTGAACGAGGACCACACAGCTGGGACACTCTGTACTTTTGATCTGGCCTTTCAAGCTTGGGTGATGCCAGGAAATTGCATTTAATGGACTGAATGAAAGCTGCCGTATAGAAAACGAGAAGAGATTATTATAAAAACAATAGAGACCATTTCACCGCCCTCACTGCCTCACACCTGTTTTTTGCGTGGGGTCCATGAATCTGGGCTTTGGCAGGGAGACTGGGACTCCGGGGCCACAAGGCCACAGCCTGGTCAGCTTGTGGTTAGAGACTTTCTCTGCACTGTACTGGCTGTGTCAGAGAAGCACGACGTATGTGCCTGCATTGTCTTCACTGGGCAAGTCATTTCAGTTGCAGGAAGCCATGCACCTGCACTTCTTTGCCTTGAAAATAACTAATCTGCGGAGAGTGATCAGTCAGCCTTGTCAGAGCTCAGTCGTTTGGCTTTATGCTCATGGCCGCACCTGACCCTTGGGCACTGTGGGTGTATAAATAGCCTCAGAAATGGTGCTGCTCTCAAGCCCTGTCTTGCAGGACTTTACCTGTAAAGGAAAGCTTTACCTTTTCATGACAGGACTTGAGAGCTTATTTCAATAAAAGAAGAGGGAGAGAAAACCATCCTACATCCCCTGAACATGGAAACATTTCAACCCTGATGACCACTGGTTCCCACAGTGGTCAGAGGGACCTGAGGAAGAGTTTCCTTCCTTCCTCTCAGTGTGGAGCTGACACCAGGGTGGAATTTCCATAGAACTTACAGCACTGGGGGCAGGTGCAAAAGCAGAAGGGTGTAGAAACAGCTGCTTTGACTGGAGAGAGGAGAAATGCTTGTTAGCTTCCTATTTCCATATGACTGTGTGTCATCAGGGCTGACATGTTTCCGGGACAGAAATTCCCTCTTGTGAGAGAAGTATTGACATGAAATAGTTCCCCAGGATTGGGGCGAGTGTGCTGATGATAATAACACAGAGGTGATTTGTTGACACCATATGCAGTGCGTTGGTGCCCAGCTGTGTTTGATCCTCAAGGAATTCTTTGACATAGAGAAAGCAAGTGTCAATGTCATGTCCCATTATTCAGAGGGCAACGCCGAGTCTTAGAGTATTACAAAGCAGGTCAAAGAAAGGTGGATTTGGAGTTGAAGGGCAACCAGTTGATAGCTGCACAGAGGCTAAGTTACATGACCAAGGTCCTTATCTGGTAGAGACAATTGACTTTTGGCATCTGTGAGTTCTGCACAGAGTACTACCTATGGGTATTTAAATCTTCAGATGAAGGTGTACTTGATTACTCGCTCAGCTTCATAATTTACCCTTCTTTAAAAATTCCTGGGCAAATAGCCACTACTATAAAAAGTCCCCCAGCCTACTCTGGATTACAATTTCTGATGAAGATCTTTTTCCCTTTCATGTGCTTGGCCAGATATGTTTGGGGTAAACGTTATGAAGGTATTTACTGATTGGGCCCTGCTATTTTAGGGCATACGGAAAGGGAATGAGCCTTTTTCCCTTCATCATATTCTACTGGCATATAGTATATAAAAATTGAAAAGCTACATTAAGAAGGCACCATTGGCTGGGCGCAGTGGCTCACGCCTGTAATCCTAGAATTTTGGGAGACCGAGGCGGGCGGATCATCAGAGGTCAGGAGTTCAAGACCAGCCTGATCAACATGGTGAAACCCTGTCTCTACTAAAAATACAAAAATTAGATGGGCATGGTGGCACATGCCTGTAGTCCCAGCTACTCGGGAGGCTGAGGCAGGAGAATCGCTTGAACCCGGGAGGTGAAGGTTGCAGTGAGCTGAGATTGCACCACTGCACTCCAGCCTGGGTGACAGAATGAGACTCCATCTCAAAAAAGAAAAGAAAAAGAAGAGGCACTATTGTAGGTACTGAAAAATGATTCAACAACACATCAGGCCTGGTCTTGGCCCTTGCTATAGAATTAATATGGAAACAGTTTGGGTGTGAAAAGTATCTTAGACTGATGGACTCTGTCATTTTCCCTTCTGGGCATCAGTTCCCATTTATGCATCTATGAAGGTAAGAGCAGCTGCCAACTCCCAGTGGTTTCACACTTTAAAAGTAGATAGGATGCCTATTTGTACAAAGGCCAGTTGGGTGTTCTTATTGCTCTCCAGACTTCCACATGGTCATTCAGTAATCGAGCTGGTAGATGAAGAAAGAATTGAAGAATCTGTTCACATTTCATTGGCTGCAATGAGTAACATGGCCATACTTAATTGCACATCAGGCTGGTGAATACATACTAGTTTTGGCCAGGAAGAAGGGGAAACAGATTCAATGAACAATTAGTCAGTTTCTACTACTTCACTTTTGAAAATGAGGGGTTGGAATAGACCTTTTAAGTACCCTTTTAGATCTGAATTCAACTACTGCAAGATTCTAAGATTTCTGCCCTTCATAGCCTAATGACTTTGTGTGAGCTGATCTGTATATGGCATCACAAAGATGAAGTATATTCTCAGCAATATAAAAAATGAACAGTACTAGAATGGTGAAACTGGACAAAAATGCTTCTATCAAAATTGTTTAGTGAGCCCATACACATCAATGATCAATAAAATATTTTAAAGGGATTAAAAAAACCCAGGCAGCCATAGTGAAATAATGGGGCCCAAACTTACTATTCTGCTCTAAACAAGTAGAAAATTGAATCAACTCTATGAAACAACTGTTGTCAGACCCTGGAGTATAGACTGCAGGTAACGGAAACAAATGAGGTGAACCAACAGCCATGGATTCCCGCCTGGAAGCACTTTCTCAACCTCAGTGTAGGGAGAGGATTCCAGGCAGAGAATGGTGGTGTTGCTGAGCTGAGAAGACAGAGACCAGGGCTCAAGGTGGTGGAGATGCTGGAACTGGTGGGACAGGGTACTAGAAGGAGCCATGCAGGGAAAGAGTGCCAGAGATCTGTGCTGGTTTTCTCTTGGTTCCCTTGCTGATCACTAAAGTGAACATGCAGAGGATGAAATTCCATGATGCCAGGCAAGAAGGACAGGGAAGATGTAAAGTCTGTGATTCCTAGAGCTGGCATAGGTCTGGGAGATGTTCAGATTCTATCTAGCCAAAGTCAGTAGGCCTCACTGAATGCTTGGGGCATTCAGAGATACCAAATGCGTCATGCCTCAGTAGTAGGTCATAGCTAGCCCTAGAATAAGTGCACTTGAAAAGAACGTGTATTTTTAGTTGTTGGGTGTAGTGTTCTATGCATGCTAATTACATCACATGTTTTTGTATTGTTCATATTTCCAGTGTCTCTACTGATATTTATGGCTGCTTGTTTCATCAGTTACTGGGGTGTGTTTCACGGTCTTTAACTGTGATTGTGAATTCATTTATTTTGCCTTTAGTTCTACCAATTCTTAAATTTATATATTTTGAGGTTATATTATTATGTGTGTTCACATTTAGGGTTGTTATGTCTTCTCGTTGGATTGATCCTGTTGTCATAATGAAATGTACCCTTTGGTATTTCTGTGATTAGAATAGCTTTTTTAAAATTAATGTTTACATGGTATATTTTTTTCCATTTGTTTATTTGAAACTTTCTGTTTTTTTATACTTACGTATGTTTCTTATAAGCAGCATATAGTTGGATTGTGCTTTTTGTAAATTCAGGCTGATGATCTTTGTCTTTCACTTATGGTATGTAGTGTTTTTATACTTGATAAAATTATTGATTATTTGACTTGAAATCTATTATCTTGTTAAATGGATTTCTGTGGCATTTGAGTCAAAACTATGTTTAGGTATATTTAGTAAAGCGTTTAGTTTACCCTAATCAATGTAGTAGAATCATCCTTTTAAAGAAGAATTATTCATTTTAATTTGTGAAACGGAATATGCTATTATTAGATGGCATTTTATCCCTGATGATTGACAGGTGATTATACTCTCACATAAATATATACCCCTTTGCATTGAAGCCTGTTGTTTGACTCTGTCCAATGCCTGCTCCTATCCCATGGAGTCTGCCAGTCTACTCTAGGCGGGGTGGGGTTCCTTCTCTTCTGTCTCTGCCCTCACATCTCTTCAATTATTGCATCTCATTACCTCTTGGCAGAGATCATGTCCTATCACTCATATCTCAGTCCCTGATACAGAGATGGTTCTTCACAATTTTTGCTGAATAAATGATTCATGCAGGGCAAGTTTTAGATTGACTCCAATGTCATGTGCTTTGACAGAAAGAGTATTAAAGATCTGCTAAGGTGAGGAGAGGCCTTAGAAGGTCTAAGACGATCCTGAATTTCTCATTCTTCAAAGGATTCTTAAGAAATTTGGGTTAAGCCAGGGATTGGACTGTTCTCTTTTGTTGACTCAAGTTCATAGATGAGGTCAAGAATCAAATCAGTCTCTTCTTTGGTAATGATAGACAATTAGTTTGGGAAAGACTTTTTTCATGAGTCTTACCCATCATTTATCAATTTTAAAGTCTATGAGTAGCTTTGAATACAAAACTGCATGTGAAAATCATTGTGTCTACTATTGAATAATTGACTAATCTGTCACTCACAGCTCCTGAATGAGGTTCCTGTCTAATTGCACCTGCCAGTTACTGATTGCACCTGCAATTAGGCAATTGTGGGGGCAGTTTTTGTGTTTCTGTTTAATTGCCTGGGCCAAAACGGAGAGTACCTTTTACAAATCTGGCCTATTATCTCATTGTGAGCCTTTGCAAATACAAGGTGACCCCAGGAAGAGATGGAGAAAATATATAGTTTTATTTGCTGCACACCAATTAATGTCAGTAATCTAGTGCCAACATTCCTATACTTTTCTGGTTTAGTAAGAAATTTACATATATTGGAATCCATCAATATCCCAGAATATAATTTATACTTCAATTTGCTACTATTTTATTATGACACACATATCAAAAGTAGTTCTAATTCCTAAAAAGTTTCTATATACATTATACTTGTTAAAGAACTTTTCAAGTGGTTACTGAGGTTCTGTTGTTCATGAGGAAGAACATAAGACCCCTTTTGTTGTTGCCTTTTTGGTCTTATTTACTGTCTGGCAGATGCAGAGATGTGCTGTTCAGATTCCCTTTAAAAAATGGACTTGCTGGCTAGGCACGGTGGCTCACACCTATAATCTCAGTACTTTGGAAGACCTAGATGGGAGGATTGCTTCAGCCCAGGAGTTTAGGACCAGAATGGGCAACACAGTGAGATAGCTAAATTTTAAAATTAGCTGGGCATGGTGGCTTACACTTGTAGTCCCAGCTACTTAGGAGGCTGAGGTGGGAGGATTACTTGAGCCCTGGAAGTTGAGGCTGCAGTGAGCTATGATTGCGCCATTATACTCTAGCCTGGTGACAGAGCAAGATCTCAAATTAAAAAAAAAGAAAGAAAGAAAGAAAAAGAAAGAAAGAGAAAGAAAAGGACCTGCTTCCTGAGGCGTAGAGTGTGGCTAACTCATAGTCTCCAGCTGCAGCTGCTTGGAGGTTTGCCTCAGCTTTGCTGAGTCATGCTGTTCTCAGGGCGGCCCTACCGGTTGCCCCTGCAAAGTTGTGGTAACAAGAAAGAACCGACTCTGCCCCACATGGGACTTCTCAAAGACAACCTTAGCCTTGGATCTCCCTGGCAGAGACTTTGTTTCATCATTTGTCGTTGCTCTCTGCCAGCTACCCTGCCCAATCCTGCGTCCTCCCTTTTCTTGCTTAATAGGTGTCGGTCTCTAACAAAGCGAATCGACTCTCAACCTCCATCTGGGCATCTGCTTCCTGGAGAATCCAATCTGCAACCACCATCAAGTAAAGATAAATTAGGAATAGCTCAGAGGATGTTTATTTTATTGAATTATTTCAGACCCAAGGCTTCTCTCCAAAAACTGTTTTCAAGGAAATCTATTTTTCTGTGAGATTATATAAGAACTGCCTCTTTTCTATTTCTTTGTTTTCATTCTTTTTTCTCACCACCAATATCAAGGGATACCATGTGTAAAATGATTTAAAGAATGCATGTTAGTTTAGAATCTAAATTTCAAAGGATTTAAGTTTCTACTTCAGTAATAATTATTACTATTTATAGGGATTAACTCTTCCACACATTTCTAAGTGAAATAAAAGTTAGCTCTAAAGAAGTACTACAAGTTGGAAGAGACATTTTACCTTTACGTTATCACATCATCAAAGCAATGTGGCTTTCATTTTATAAATCTTATTAAGTTTGCTTGCCTTTTCATATTAGCATTTATTACGATGCTGGATAATGTTACTTGGCGAAACTTGTACTTTCTGTCTGCCAAAATCTACATTACAAGATCTACATAAGCACCATTGTACGTAGTGTTTTCACACTCCCAAGAAATATTAATGTTTGGGACTTGAGAATAAGAAGCTGGAATTCCTGAGAATTCTAGGGAATCCCTGAAATTGTAAGTTAGTCTTTATTTTTTAGTAATATTTTATATAAATATTTTAAATTAATTATAAGTGATCATACTAATAAATAGTAAATCATTTTTAATAGTGCTATGATAAAACTTTCAGAAACTTTCTGCAAACAAAATATATGATAGCAAATGCATGGTTTATTATGATTATGAAGTGATGTATTGCTGACAAGATGAAATATTTTCATAACTGCAAGAGTGATCTCTTTTTGATAGAACCATTCCATAATAGAAAACATTAAGAGAACTTTAACACAAAATATACGCCAAATAAAAATTATTTAAAAGTGGAAAGATATTATCAAAATATTAAATATCTAAAAGTTGCCATTCTTAAAAATAACATTTTAAAACACTCAAAACATCAGTTGCCATGTGCAATAGTTTTGATCCATGTTTTGTAACAAATACCTAAGATGCACACAGTTTTTTTCTATTTCATGTCGAGTTGGTCGAATTATAAATGTGCCTCCAAAAGCACCCTCAATTTGATTATTAGGGGGCATGTTGCTTGTCTCCTATTTTAACAGTGAAAATAGTTTGTCTACTGGTCCTCATTTTGGTTTTGCCTTCGAAAGCCATCTTACTTTTGCTAATCTGAATTTCATATCAATTTCTGATTTCATGTAGAAGTATTCCACATTGATGTCTTATCTTTGCATTTCTCCTATTAAAGTATTCACAAAGAACTGTAGCCTCTAGTAAATATTCAAACATTGGAAAATGCTAAGGAATATCTTGGGGTATTATTCCAATAATGTAACACTTGGATCTCCCAGCATTTTTAACAGAACTACACAGAATCATGTCAGTGTTGCCAAGTTAAGGATTTATTTTGCTTCCAAAATTTGTTATTTCTTAGAACACCAGTCATCGGATTTGTGTAAAGTGTACTCTGTGTATAAAGGTATTCATATTTATTTTGTTTGTAACAATGACACACCATTTGCAGCAGACAGGGCCAGAACTCACTCTTATAGTAACAGCTATGAGCAAAACCAACTGATTACATTACCTTGCTTCTCAGTTCTTTGCCCCCACCTGATTTCCAGAAAGTTTGACCCTAATGTTGGACTCTACATAAGACATTTTCTGCTCTTGTTTTTTAACTTGAATCAGTGGCTTCCTCTGAACAAATAATGTCTTGATTGCTAACTCTATTTCTTGTAGGAACATTATGATAGTTCCTCCAGCTTTCCTGTTTTCACAACTTATTTTTCTTAGGACTTGGGATTCAGAAATACATACATTCCCTGAGAAAAGCAGGAAAGGAATCCTGCATAGAAACATCGATGGCTATCTTTCATTGAGTAATGGAGTTTGTTGGGAATTCCAGCAGGAGAAGAAGACTGGGTTTTTCTCCCTTGATACTCTGCAATGATGGGAAAGTGCTCCTGCAAAAATCGGAAGTATTTACCAACAGGGGAAATGGTGTCTCTGCACCTCTTTGCATCTCAGTTGGGCTTGTGGCAATCACAATTAATGCTACCTTATGATGTCAAAGCAACTAAGATTAAAATTCTTGTTCTTTTTTGGTCAACCAAACTAATTAAAAAACAATCAAAAGGGTTGAGCTAGAAAGGGGAGTGGGATGATTAACAAACTGACAGTATCAAGGAGAATTGCTCTGACAAAGGAAGCATTCAGCAGAAACTCTTGTCAATGCTGTAGAGAAGAGAGGAAGAATTTGGCAATTTGGTGAGATGGGATGGCAAGGACTGTTAGGGGAGGCTCAAACCCTAGGCATTTGCCCTTTCACGGTCCAAGCTTTTCCTGAACCAACACAGTGTCCTCCCAGCACAAGAGGAAAAAGGAAGATGATGAGTGAGTCCACACTGAAAACTACTTCCTGAGGTGAGAGCTGCAAGGTACGGAACACTCTTCATCCAAGGCATGGCTCACTTAACCTCATCCCACACAAACAAGAGCCTGCCAGGCAAGTCCCTCCTGAAGGGTTGAGAAAATATTTTCCTTTGATATAACATACATGTGTCAATAAAAGAAAAGGCAACTTCTTCTGAGCTCCACGGACATTGTCTTATTGTAGTTCAAGTGCGACCTCATAGTCACGTGCTTGCCTACCAGGCAGACCCTCCAGAAAGGTTCTGATTGCCAACATGTGTGTGCACGGATTTTATATGTTAGGAAATTGAATTTTTGAAACCCAGTATCTCAAAAGATACTGAGGAAAATGTTGTCTCCGTGAGTTGGATGAATGGCGCTCTGGAACGGATATATTCTTTTTTCTACTTGGGTCTTGGAGCTTTTCCTCATCATTCTGAAACCAAATGTCATTGGAATTTTCTGGTAGGTAAATGTATTTTTGCACATTTAGATCTCATCCTACAGTCGCGCATTTATAAAATCAACATGTATATATGAGGTAAGGCTGATATTCATTTTAAAGTGGTTTGTTGGCCCATTAATATGAAGTTATTTGAGTCAATACACTGTAATTATGAGTCACATACATGGGTTGGTAGAGTATATATTAGACAGTTGATTAAATTACCCCAAATATAACAGGCTAATTTGCCATATACTGTATTATAGTGATGCAGTATTGGAGGTGATGATATGTTTGTGAACATGTAGAAAGCACATTTTTTGCTTGCAACTAGTAATTTACTGCTCACTCAAATGCCATAAATACTGGTTTTAGCAAGGGAAAAATCATGGACTTTATCTCTGGTCTAAACTGTGACTTGAATTTTAGACCAGAAGGCATTTTTCTATCTTTGCGAATTATAGTCTAACCGGTTACTTTCATGAGTCCACCCAGGCTGTAACTTTCCTGAGCAACAGGGCGAGGAGAACTGGACCCTGGTTCTGGCTCTGGGATGACTTTGCCCTGTGGCTTTGAGCCCAGCACTTGGCCTTCCTGGGCCTCTGCTTCATCTGCTGGTGTTCAGATGATCTCCGTGTTCCTTCCAATTCATCAATTTTGCAGTTCTCTCATCTGAATTCTATCTTGGAGCAAACATCTCATTCCCTAGAAGATAAGCTTCTGTGATCCCAAGCCTCACCCCGCATAATGTTTAAGATGCGACAAGAGGAAAGGAGGCTAACTGCAAATAAGCCACACCAGCCCGGCCCAGGGTCATTTTGTATCTGAGGCACATTCATATAAATTATCTAACCAGACATTTACAAGCGTGTTTTCCAAACAACCTGTAACACACTGGGTAGCTCGCTTTGCACCGTTGTTTTTCCCAGTTCATGGGAATACTAATAAACACAGAAGCCCCTGGAACAGACACCTGCAGGGGCTTCCTCTTAGCCTTGGCTGTTTCCTGAGGCAGAAGAGCAGGGGCTAGTTTCTTGGCAGGAGTGGAGTGTCTCCTGCCCTTTCCTATCCTGGCCTCCAGAGAATGGTGTTCTCTGCAACGTGGTGTGAGCCAGGCCTGGGAGGGGCAGCTGGCCTGGACTGTGGATGCTGTCGACCTCTGGGGTCCAAAGAGGAAGACTCGAAATAGAACACATGCTTTATTCCAAAAGTCCATTTGTTTTGTGCCAAACCAGTTAAAAGTGGATTTTTAAAACAGATTATCTCTGACATATGATAGTTTCTCTCTAAGTGATTATATAGAACCACTAATCCATCCATCTGTTCATTTATTTGACAAATATTTATTGAGCACCTGCTAATGTCAGGTCCTCTGCTCAGTGATAGCCACAGAGGTTAAGAAGGGAGGGCCAGCCCCTGCTGCAAGGGTTAATTTCACGTGTCAGCATGACTGGGCCATCTCACCCAGATGCTTGGCCAAATACCAGTCCAGATGCTGCTGTGAAGGTATTTTTAGATAAGATTAACATTTAGATCAGTAGACTTTGAGGAAAACAGATGACCCTCCGCAGTGTGGGTGGGCCTCATCCAATCAGTTGAAGACTTTAAAAGAAAAAAAAAAACCTTGAGGTCTTCAGAGGAAGGGGGAATTCTGCCCCCAGAAGGCCTTTAGACTCAAGGTGTGACGTCAGCACTTCCCTGGGCCTGTCTTGCAGATCCTACCAGCCTCCAAATCACATGAGCCAATTCCTTAAAACCTCTCTCTCTCTCTCTTTTCTTTCCCCTCTCTCTCCCTCCCATCCTATTTGCCCTGCTTTTCTGGGGAACTAATACACCTGCCCTCACAGAGCTTACCATCCGGAGAGGGAACAGAGAACTGAAGGCAGGCGTAGCAGGGATGGCGGGGTTTAGACACTCACACAGGTGTCACACAGTGACACCTCCGAAAAACGAGCAGAAATTGGCCACGCCCCACAGAGGGGAGCAGTTTCCAGTCTGAGGGAATAACACGGGGAAGATCTGGAAGACCAAGGAGACCCGGGTGTCCAGCAAAGCAAGAAGCAGAGGAGGGAGGAGCGAGCAGCTCTGGAATCCCGAGCTCGAGCCCGCACTCCCTGGGTTTCTCCCTTTGAATGTGCGCCTGGGCTTCTGAGGGTTATAAATAACTGATCCCTCTCAATAATAATGAAAACCACTGTACTAATAACAATAGCTCCTGTTAACGGAACAAATGACCCTCTATGAAGCTGTTCTAGGGGCTTTATAAGCATTGCCTCATTTAATCCTAGAAGTGTAGGGAGTCGTCTCTTTTTAATGAGTGAGGAAACAGGTCTAGCGAGGTAAAGTGACCTCTCCAAGCCAGTAGCTGGGTGAGCTGAGGTAAGAATGCAGGGGGTCTCTCCGGCTGCAGAGCTGGGGCTTTGATGGACAGGTGCACGTTGCTGCTCTGTTTCTTCCGCTGCTGTTTCTGTGCTGAGTGGTGCCAGCCCTGTTGCCACAGAGCACCTGAGGTCCTACCCCTCTGTTACATCCATTTTCTCATCTGATTCTTGCAAGGACCCCAGCAAGTAGGAGGGACTGCTGGTATCATTCCCCATCTCACAAGTGAAGAAACTGAGGCCCAGAGAACGGAACGTGGCGGGTGCCAGGTCCCAGGGCGGATGCTCACTGCGCCTGCGCCGGCTGTGTTTCCCACCCCCACCCAGGCTGCCGCAGTACCTACCAAACCTTACGTGTGCGTTGAGATCAGAAAATGGGCAATTTTCTCAGCTCCTCAGGCTCCAAGGTGCTGGCAACACGTGAAGGAGGTCAAATTGCCACCAGTGGGACGAACACACTTTTCACAGTTCTGTCTCTTCCAGCCTGCTGAGGATGTGGCTGCCAGGTCTGTTTTGGGGCATTTTCTTCCCTCTCGCTGTGCAGTTTCCCTCATTGTGGGTTCAGCTCCATCATCCTTCTGGTGCCGTCCCTGCTGGTCCCTCCCTCTGGTCTTCCCTTCATATCAGCTTTTCTTAGTTGGAAGTCCCCTTTGACACAACGCTCATGTGGTTTGATGCTTTAAAAAGTCTCAGCTCTGGTGAGTTTCTTCTCCCTCCAAGAAGCCTTCAGGGCTTTTCGAGGGCTCCCCAGAGTCTAGCTCAGAGCCTGGCACACAGAGGGAGGTGGAGTTTGTGTTTGTGGATTTAATGTGATTAACATGATTGAAAACATGGGTCGGTCACATTTGGAAATGCCCCAGTCTCCTAATAGTGTTTCAAAGGGAGGCGGACAGGGAGGCCCTTGGGGCCTGGTAAAGTATCCCAGTGGAATCCTTCCAGGCCCCTGCTGTGCATGTCCCCGATTCTTGTCCAAAGCACAATAGGGATTTTAGTGGGTGTGATAACGGCCCTGTGATTCAGAGGCTCAGCTTGAACACAAGCAGTTTCCTCTATTCAATTCCCCACCAGGGAGGTTTCCTGGTGAGAACATGGAGTTTGTTTGATAACACCCATCTTGATTTAGTACTTTTTTATTTAAACCCTGTGCAGGGAGCCTGAGCTCACAACTCCTGTCTTCTGAAAAGACTGCTGAAGCGCACCTGGATTTCTTTTGCAGCATTTGTAGAAAGGGGCCTAGCCACGGTCATTGCTACGTGGAATTGTGCACTAGGGTAGGAAAGAAGGACTCATTGGTGTGCTTTGATGGCTGTGCATGGAGGAAACGAGAGCTGGCGTCTGGTCACTACTGTGGACCTAGATGCGTCCCTTGCAATTTATACATTGAAGTCCCAGCCCCCAACATGGCTGTGTTTGGAGATAGGGCCTGTAGGAGGTAATAAAGGTTAAATGAAGAGTTAGGGGTAGGACCTTCATCCTCCAGGACTGGTGTTCTCATAAGAAGAAGAGACGCCGGGGTTCTCTTTCCATGCATGCACAGGGGAAAGGCCATGTGGGGCCACAGGGAGAAGGTGGCTGTCTATAAGACAAGGTGTCAGACCTCACCAGAAACCAAACCTGATCAGGGACTTCCAGCCTTCAGAATGGTGGCAAAATAAATTTCTATTGTTGAAGCCACCCATTTGTGGTATTTTGTTATGGCAGCCAGGACAAACAAACATGGTCGGTAATCATTGTTCTTGGGACAGTTGGACAGAACTTGTGAAACTAGAGGAGCAGTGAGAAAAGAAAGAAGCCATCAGTGTCACTGGCCTGTGTATTTGTGGCAGCCCTGAGACCCTGGGATTCTCATCCTGGAGGTTGTAGAACAGGGGATTGGTAATCTGGAGATGGTCCGTGAACTCTCAGGCCAGGCCTTCACGAGAGACGGGGAGATGGAGGCACAGGGCGCGTGGACGAGGCTCCAGGCAGCCCTGGGCACTACCTGCCAGGGCCAGCTCCTTCCACTGCCCCCATGAAGGGCCAGCCCTTAAGTCATTGTTTGGCCTCTAATGAGCCAACTCTGAGTGCAGATTCAGAAAACCATCTGTAGCTTCAGACCTCAATGACCTGAAGCCACACGGAAAGGAGAAATAGTGATTCTACAGCTCACGTTTGTCAGGCTTTTAGCTCACATTTACAGAGTGCTTTAGAATGTACTGAATGCCTTTCTTACACACTATCCATTTAGCCCTCCCAGAATCCTCTGTAGCTAGATAGGGGTGGACGATGCAGTCACTCAGGTCTGTCCTACTCCCAAGGACATTGCCACTCACATTGCCCCATATTGCCTCCCACTTGGCACTAGGCTTTGTTAGACACACTCTCCTCTCCTATGAGGCCAAATCCTCATGTCTCAGTGAAACATTCTAACCTGTCCTTCCTGCACATCGGTCACTGGCTGCTTCCATCGGCCCTGGAGTTTAGTTCAGGTACTCCTGCGGACTTTCCTGCATTATCTGTTGTGCCTCAGGGACCAGGTGGGAAGGTGCTTCTGGAGCCACAGTGCTGAGCCAGGTGCCTTTTCCCTCAGGGAGCTAAAAGGGCCCGCATAGCGCAGTGGGAAATGGATTCCAACTGCTGGGAAGCTGGGAGCTTCTCAGGGAAGAGGCAGCGCAGGAATTGGTCTTTGATGAATAGCAGAATCTGAACAGCAATGGAGGAGAGACCAGAAGGTGAGAGTCCAGGAGGGGCACAGTGTGGGCTGTGCACAGAGGGCAAGGGACCCCATGGGGCCCTGACTTGCTTGCTCTTCTTGGGTTGGTTCATGGGGTGAAGGGCTTGGGGCCTGGGCTCTCCTGTTGAACTGCAAAGAGGTTGAGCAGCATGGCAGTACTACAGGCCCTTCGCCCCTCCAGCCCCCTCCAGTCATGCTCTCCTCTCTGCCCAAAGTCCCTCTCTCCTGCTCATTCTGTTTCAATTTTTTTTGTTTGTTTTTTTTGTTTTTGTTTTTTTTTTAATTTTAGTTTTATTTTGTTTTTAGAGACAGGGTCTTGCTCTCTTCCAGGCTGGAGTGCAGTGACATGATCATAGCTCATTGCAGCCTTGACTTCCATGGGCTTAAGGAATCCTCCTGTCTCAGCCTCTAGAGTAGCTGCAACCTCAGGTGTGTAGCAGTAAACTTGGCAACTTTTCTTGGGGGGGGGGTACAGACAGGGTCTTTTTATGTTGCCCAGGCTGGTCTCAAACTCCTGGCCTTGAGCGATCCTCCCACCTTGGCCTCCCAAAGCGTAAGCCACCATGCCTGCTCTCTGTTTCAATCTTAATCCCAAAGCCTGGTCCATCCTCTGTAGCCAGGAGCTCTTCTCTGCACCTCCAAGTTGGGATAAATAAATGCCACTGCTCTGCACTCACCTCCACTGAGCACTTCCCACACTTCTGATGTGGCAAATGCCAATTAGATAGTCAGGGCACACGGGCCAAACAAGCTCAGCTGAACAGAACCTGTTTAGGTAGACTGGGTATAAACAGCACCTTGAAGGAACTGTAATTCTGGCAGCTTATGGGTACTGAATCCCAAAATGGATTTAAGGGCAACAGCAGCCCATGAAACAGTTGGGGTGAATGAATGAAACACAGCAAAGCAAATCGCCCCTTGGCATTAGTGTGACAGAACCGAGTGCACATTTGGGTTCTTTTGCTTATTAACAAGAAGACTGTGAGAAACTTCTTTTTGTAGCCTTAGTTTTTTTTACTTCATGGAATTCTTGGGTGTACAGTGCCCGGCCACAGCTCCCTAAATGGATCTATTCCTACACGGATGGGCTGCTGTCTGTTTCTGCAGTGCCAGGATGCCTTCTTTCTGGCGCCTCCAGACGGTGACCTAAACCAGCCTGTGAACTGTGCTCAGTTATGTGGGGAACGTCCTGGAGCCAGTTATGTCTGGTGCACCGGCTGCTGGCCCAACTGTGATGAGGTTAAATATAACATCGATGACTTCACGGGAGCCTGCTGGAGCGGCTGTGCCTCCTGGCACGGCGCCTCCTCTGCCCACTGTCCTGTCCACTGGGCACAGAGCGGCCGGCCAGCGGGTGCAGCTCCTCATCTGCAGAGCCTCTAAAGGACCTTCCTGCTCTGAGATGTCGGGATTCCCCCAGAGGCTAACGGGAGAAGGCAGACATCAGAGCTGTGGTTGCCGTTTCTTCCCTTATTTCAGACCCAAGTGTGTGGGCATCACGTCACATATGTTCCAAAGAGTGGTGTGGGCCTTCTGTGAGGGTTAGAAATGGCCCGGTCCAGGGCAGTTCTGGAGCTTGGGTATGGTGGTGGATGGCAGGGCTGGAACCAGAACCGGGTTTCCGGCCTCCTGGTCCTGTGCTGGGCAAGGCACAGTGCCAGGGCAATCCCACCTTGATGGCACCATTACTCATCCCTAGAGTTCACAACACCAGCTCAGGGCCTCGTCATGGTTGCTGCCAGCATTCCGTGCCAGGAGGAGGGACATGGAATAGGCTCATGGGCAACTTCCTTCCTGGGAGACAGTTTTTTGAACAAGCTGAGCTGACCGGGAAGAGTCCCCCGTGTGGTTCTTGGGGCTGAAATAAGTAAAATAATCCCCACCACTAGCCCCAGGAAAAATAAACAAACAAACAGACAAACAGGCAAAATACCCATTACAAAATCTAAAACCCTTCTTTCTTGAAAACGATACTCCTGCTATTGCTGTTCAAGGACCACCTGCGTGCCCCTTGGGGCCCACTGAGCACCTGCCTTCATTCTCTCCTTCATTTACGGACTCGGTCCACCCACACAGCTCACAAACCCAGGTCATCTAGGGCCCTGGATGATGGAGTCCACAGAATAAACCCCACATTCTCCTAGTTGCCACCACTCACCACACCCTCCCGTCCTTATCTTTATTCGACTCAAGAGACCAGCAGTTATCGGGCAAGGTGCAGAGGTTGGTACCGTTGGCTTTTGGGCTTCTGTAATGTGCTAGTCTGGGTTCTGCAATTAGAGTCTAACTTCCGAGAGGGTGGAGACTTCTTTCTGTAACCACATCCCACAGCATCCTGATGAAGAGGGATTTTATGAAGTCTTTATTTAATGTTTTAATAATTATTATATAATAAACAAGAAACTTAAAAAAATTAAAAAAACAGTTGTGCTGTATACGTGATGCAAAGTTTTACCTGAGGAAAAGAAGCTTTATTTCTAGTGAGGAAAATAGTGTAATAGTCACAGCTACCATTTCATGTGACACACTCGTGACCTCTAATAATCTCGACAATCCTGCAAGATATGGATGATTATCCCATTTTAAAGATGAGGAATCTGAATTTCACACAGAGTAGCAAATACAGTGAGTTGTTGCATGTCTTCAGATTCCAAAGCCTGTGCTCTTTCCCTGAAGCCGTGCTACTTATTATTTTGTTCTTTGTGTTCATCCACATTTAGATTTAATGTAGAAGATCAATGCACATGTAATTTTGGTGCATACAGAAGCACAGATAGAAAAGCTAGATCTTATTCTCATGGGAAGGACACACACTCAGGAAGGGTGGTTAGCAAGTCAAGAGAGTAAATGACAAGCACTAAATGAGAAGGACAGAGAATGTGTGTTGTATAGAATCGTTGTGTTGAATTTTTTTTTTTTTTTTTTTGAGAGAGGATCTCACTTTGTTGCCCAGACTGGTTTTGAACTCTTGGCCTCAATCGATCCTCCCACCTCAGTCCCCCAAAGTGCTTGGATTACAGGTGTGAACCACCACGCCTGGCATCTGTGCTCCTCTCTAAAACTAGTGGTGCAGCTAGAAACGGGTGCCAGGAATGTTTGCCAGAACTGGATTTTCACGTTCCCTCTCTCTTGCAGGCAATTTTGACCTAGTGATCTTATAGTTTTATCTCAGAAATATGGCTATTATAATTTGCCCCACCCCATTCAGCTTGATTGTTTCAATTTTAGCTAATAGAACAAATCATTTTGAGAGAACTGATCTATACAGCTCTTGCTTTGGGAGTGGTGGGGTGCAGACGCTTGACCCAGGCCGAGCCAAGCCAGCATAATGAGAGACAACACCCATTAGATTTGCTGCTTTTCCTGAACTCTGATTCTAACAAAAAGGCAGGATAACATTAATGATTAGGGCATCCACTTTCACTAAATGAAATAGCCTCCCTAAGAGTTCTACTCATCAAAATCTTGGGAGTCAGAGGTCACACACCTGCACATCCTAATGAGATTCATTAACGCCAGGAGACCAAGGCAGTTTGCAAAGGGACGTTATTGTGGCTATTCTCTCCCTTGACAAAGGGGTGGCTTTGTCAATTTGCCTTCCTTCTGTCCATGCCTATCATTAAAATAGAAGTGGGGGCAGGGGCTGGAGGGAGAAACCCTCCACTAACTGCTTCCTGGAACTTGAAGAGGCTCAGCTGTTCCATGGACAAAAATGAATTCAGCACGTGGCACATGGCTGGATGGATATTCCTCACGACTTGGAGAGACTGCCAATTCAAGCGGAGTCTGCATCCTTCTAGAGGCACAGAACACTCAGGGAATGGTGGTGGCTGTTCTGACAGCATGTTCCTCTTTAGTGTGAAGCCTTCGTGTGAGTCTTTGAGAAGAGTGCACGCTCCCCACAGCTGGTGTGAGTGTGCTTCAGACATTGCTCTCCACCCATGAGGACGCATGGGACCCACTAGGGCATGTGACTGTGACCACATCACACACGGCCAAAGAATGTAAGCCATTGGAACAAGCTGGGTAGTTCGCAGGCAAGGAGTATATGGTTTGTGTCTGTCTGTGTTGAGGCTGTGACAGCACACCTCCATCTACCCAGCACTGTTAGAAAGTGTTCAGCCAAAGCCACCTATCCTGTCTTTGTGGATCTGATTGAGTTTGCCAAGTTAATATGGGAATGTCCTGACGTTACTGTGTATGGGATTCCCATAATATCAAAGATTTTCAGTTCAAGGGATGGCAGTGGAGTGGAGCAAACAGACAACACTGTTACTCACACTTTTTGTTTAAAAAGCTTTCAGGAGCTATTAGTCTTTTGACTGCTATTGTTTTTCTCTCCTATTTGTTTCTTTTTGTAATAAAAAAATCTTAAAAGTAATATATGCTCATGGCATATATTACTGTGAAAAGTTCGGAAAAACTATGAAAAAATCCAAGAAAAAGTTATTTATGATCCCACCGTCAAGAAAGGAACAACCATAATGAATGTTTTGGTTTATTTATTTCTAGTCTCTTGAAGAGAGTTGACTAAGCTGTGTATGTGTGAGTGTGTGTAAATCATTTTTACTATGGGTACAATTGTATTACTGATTTAATTTTGAGTCCTGTTTTTGAGTAAGGCTTCCAATATTATTAAACAACTTTGCTAACATATTTTTTTTCTGGTTTAAAACATATTTTTTTTTTCTGGCTTAAAATACCACTTTCCCTGCCACATGTTTATTTTGAGAGGAATTAAAAAACAAACCTACCTACCTTGATGGAAGCTTTAGTTCGAATGTAAACTAGCAAACTAGCATAGTTATTTTAAAGCAACTTTTTTTTTTTGGCCTAGGGAGAGGCTATTTGTTTTTGCTTACATGACATAAAATGTGTTATCCTTTGTAGCTTTTTTTGGCAGGGGAGCAGGGAGATGCAAGATTGTGAAATCCTAGTTTTATTTCATTTGATGAGCCTTGTGGATGAAATTTTTAAATCAGTCTATTTTTTTTGGATAAATGCATTCCTCTTTCCCAAATCTAAACTTTATTTGAATTTCTCAGTGGAACTCTCCTCATCATTTTCTGTTCTTCATCAAACTGTTTTCTTTTTTTAAAAAAGTGATCTTTGTGGAACATAAATTTCCTTTATCATTTAACATGTCTAAAACCCAGGCAAGGCTTCTAAAATCCAGTAGAAGGGTGCACCTGCTCCTTCACCTTCTCCTGTGATACTTGACAGCCTTTTTCTCTCTTTTCTCCCTTACACACTTTTGGCCGGAGCATAGTGTTTCCAAGTAGGCGTGTCCTAACCCAGAAGCCTTGGTTGAAGGACGCTTTCGTTATAACGAATGAGCAATGAGCATATTCGAGGTCATGCAATTAGATTTCAAAATAGCAACTTTAGATTTTTAAAAATAAAAGATACCATCCCAATGGAAATGACATGATTCCAAATACTATGGTATAACATTTCTACATTAGTAAAAAAAAAAAAATTAAAGATACAAATAAAGAAATATTGGCAAAGAGAAATAGAAAGTAGTGCAATTTAGGCAGGAGCCAGTTCAAATAGAAAAAAAAAATTGACCAGAGATAAAAACATTGAAAATGACCAGAGAAGAGTTTTCTCTTCTCCAGAAACACCCGCATAATGAATGCTAAGTAATAAGAAAAAGACTAAGCCCCAGGATTAATCAGCTTTTATCTATTTATTGTAAAATAACACATGCATTGAAATAGAGTTTCCATAAGAGGAGGCTTGTAGTCAGCATGACCACACATCCTGGTTTGCCCAGCATAGTCTCAGTTCTTGCCTCAAGTCCTTGAATAATTATTAATAGCATTGTCTTTCACTCTCGACATGTAGCAGTTTAGACATTGAGTTATGTGGTCCTCTGTAATAGCAAGACTGAAATGTTTGTGATATAAAAAATAACAAGTATGCTGGTTATTGGTATATATACAAGGTGTTTGGAATGTAGGTGGAAGTGGCAAAAAAAAATCAACATATAACATCAACAGCTCAGGTCTGCAGTAACATTGAAAGGTTGACTGAGTGAGGATTTCAGCAGAGCGTGGGGTATAGAGCGGGGTGTAAATGAATAAGAAGAACAACTTGTATGATTATGATGTATTCCATTTATAGGGCAATAGACTTTGCATATACCTACACTCATGTGGTTTCCTTTGACTTTGGGTGGCCTAGGAGGAGGTGATATTAAGTTGATAGTGATGGAGGAGATGCCAGCCCACTCTCTGGTTTTGGTGGTGCCACACTAAAAATGAATGCCATGCCCTTATTGGTTCTGGATGGGCGGAAATGAAAACAGACTGGAACATGTTCAAAGAAGGATTGAGGTTTCAGAGACAAAACTCTATTGGGAGATTCTTAGGTAAAAAAATCTCATATCAATATTGACTCATAACTAATGGATACCAATAGCTGTAGCTTTGAAAACGACTTAGGGTCCCGCTTTTAGTGAAGATGAAAGTTTTACTCAGATTTGTAGAAAAAGGGCCAAACCCAGAAAAGTAGCTCCTCATGGGAGTATTTTCAGATGATGGGACTGGTCATCAGGAAAAAGATGACTGGTACCCAAACTCAGTGAATGTGTCTGTTGGAAAATTAAATTGTTTCTGTAACATTTTTCTTATTTATTTTTGCTCTCTATTATCCAATCAGCCAGTTGGTCTTTTTTCCCCCTACAGAAGTAGTTGAAACAAAAACATTCAAGTGCAGAGGGTTAACATTCACATGTTTACATGTGGGAGAGGGTATCAATTAGTTGTTGTCCAAGATGAGCAATTGACCAAGTGACTAGGGTGTCAGTTACTACTAACTGGGAAGGGTTTTACTTTCCACTGGCGGATAGATAGGTTCGATTATCCGAATTTACTATGTTTGGAAATGACTTCCTGGCAAGTGGTCCAGTGATGCTTGCATTCATCCCAAGAAGAGCTTATATCCCTGGCAGTTTGCTACTTGATACTCTGGAGGAGAAATCAGGACAGACTGACACTGTGGATTCACTGGTGACTCAGTTTCTCTTTCTGAGTCATCCAGGAAGACTGCCTGAGAGGAAGGGAATGAGGGTGCAAAAGGCAGCATGAGGAAATCCATTCTGAATCACTGTTCAGAGAGAGCACTAGGAGAAAGATTGGAAATGCTGAAGAGGAAGTTTCTGGGGTTTCATCTCACAATGTACAATGGAAACCATTTTCTGGGTCTCTCCACAAAATCATTAGCAGAATTTCTAACTTCCCCAATGGGATATTGGGGAAAAATGGAACTTAGTCTTGTTTTCTGGTTTCAGCCGTGGGAGGATGGGTTGAAAAGTTCAAATGAGCGAATGTATTTGGAGTCATTGGAGCTCTGCATAGAGCCTATCCTAGCTTTTGGTTCTGCTGCCTGTTGACCATGTCACTGCTGGTCTCATTGGCAGAGTCTTCAGGCTTTTTTCTTTCTTGGGCTAAAGTAAGACTGCTGCAGAATCGAGGGAACTCTGAGGTCCGGGCCCTGAAGGCAACTGCAGTCCCTTCACTAGGCAGTTCAATGGTTCTTCTGATTGTATTTTCATGAATCACTCTGCATCAAAGCAGATTTTAGTACAATAGTTCAAAGTGGTCTGTTATACAAGTTTTAGAAGACAGTTGAATGAGAATAAGCTGTAATAAGTAATATCAAACTTAGTTTTAAATTTCATGTTAGTCCGAACAAGTAGAACTGATTTTCTTAAGACACGAACCAAATTGTTTTACTCTTTTAATTAATGAGTTGATTAATAGACATTTCTGTCTATGCCTTACAATTTGAAATTTCTTGTTATCAGATTGTAGCAAGCTTCTGAATTTTCTAGACAACTCCTTGGAGGTAGAAATTCTGCTAAGGATTTTGTGGAGAGACCCAGAAAATGGTTTCCATTGTACATTGTGTCATGAAACCTCAGAAACTTCTCCTTCAACATTTTCAATCTTTCTCCTGGTGCTCTCTCTAAACAGCGATGGGTCCACATTCTTTGTTTCAGAATGGATTTCCTCATGCCCCTTTTTGTACCCTCATTTCCCTTCTCTCAGGCAGCCGCTGCATTTGGCCAACCTGCACCTCCTCCTTCCAGGTCTCTCCTTCTCATCTAGTCACTCTACTTTTCATATGGAATAATCCAGTTCTTTCTTGACTTTTCAGTGTATTTCCTTCCAGCCCTCACCTTTGCTCCCCGTCTGTCTCAGAAAACAGAGGGCCATCCTTGGGACTCAATGTCTTGAGACTGGAGAAGGAGTATTTAAAATAATGAAGAATTTTTTTTTTTTTTTTTTTTTTTTTTGAGACAGAGTTTCACTGTTGTTGCCCAGGCTGGAGTGCAATGGTGCAATCTCTGCTTACTGCAACCTCTGCCTCCCGGGTTCAAGTCATTCTTCTGCCTCAGCCGCTCCAGTAGCTTATATTACAGGCACCCACCAACATGCCCAGCTAATATTTTTTGTATTTTTAGTAGAGACAGCCTGTTGGCCAGGCTGGTCTCGTACTCCTGGCCTCAAGTGGTCCGCCTGCTTCGGCCTCCCAAAGTGCTGGGATTACAAGCATGAGCCACTGCACCCGGCCAATAATGAAGAATTTTTTAAAAATTCCTCTTACAATAAAATGGCTTGATGACATCGTTGACCCCCAGGACTGAGGAGCCATTTGTCCCAAACATCACAAAATGTAAAATTCTGTGGAATAAGAAAACCCTAATTGATATTGCAATTTTAAAGCATTTTATTTATAAAAAGAGTGGGGAAGGGTTTATAACTGTTATTTACTTTCCTGGCCTTTGATAGATATTCTTTTTCTAGTTTCTTCTGGTGGTTTACAAAATTGTTTTTTTTATATTTCTACATGCCCCGAGTTAATAACTGTCTTTTAAATAGTATCTCCTATCAAAAGAAGGTTGGGGAAATAGAGAAAGAGGGAGAGGAAGGAAGGAAATATAGGTTTACAACACTCAGCATATAAATGACTCATAATTGAAATATCAGCCGGGTGTGGTGGGTCACGCCTATAATCTCAGTACTTTGGGAGGCCCAGGTAGGTGGATTGCTTCACCCCAGGAATTTGAGATCAGCCTGGGTAACATGGTGAAAACTCATTTCTACAAAAAATAGAAAAATAAGCTGGGCATGGTGACACACACCTGTAGTCCCAGCTACTCAGGAGGCTGAAATGGGAGGATTGCCTGATTCCAGGAGGTGGAGGTTACAATGAGCCATGATCATGCCACTACACTTCAGCCTGGGCAGCAGAGCAAGACCCTATCTCAAACAAAACAAAACAAAACAAAACAAAACAACCATAATTGAAATACCTCATGCACTATGTGATAGCGAAATTTATGGAAGTCAATACCTCCTGTCCTTATGCAGGACTCAGTCTTGTGCTATGTGAGGCCACACAGTGGAATGGTTTACAGGGTTCAAGAATGAAACTCCAGAGTTTGGATATCTCTTCAAACACTTAATGGCTTGTAACTCTCAGTTAATTACTTAATATCTCTCCTCCTCAGTGTCTTAAAAATGAAGATGACAGAATTACCAAGTTGTATGGCTTAAATGGGAAAATAGATTAAAATGCTTAGAAACATGTCCAGCACATTGTAAATGCTTAATAAATGTCAGCTGCCATTATTTTCATTATAGGATACAGCTTTAATGATATTTTCACAAAGCAAACTGAATGACATGCTTCATAAGGCAGAATTGAAATGACAAGCACTAGATCTACATTATCTCCAGGTTTCTTGAAGAATTCCAGAACAGAGCCAGGCAGGGCACCTGTCAGTGGTGGAGCGTGGGTTTAAGACATGTTTGAAAGCATGGGCAGGGCCCTGCACTGTGGAATTATTTGCTAAGCTTCAGTCCGGGATACCTTGCTCTATGAAAGTCACTCTGCAGCGCCTGTCCCTGCCCTGACATGTTCAACAAAGATTTCAGTGTCCACTGTCCACCATGCACTTCTTTGGAGTAGGAGACACAGAAGTGGTCAACATCTACCACATCTCATCTCAGCTCTCTTGCCACTTGCATTCTGGCAGTGGGGTCTGGGAAGACAGCAAACAGACAACTATGAAGTCTGTAAATCTTTTGTGTTTTAAAAATTTATGCTATTTTTATTGAACTTTTTATTTTCAGAAAATTGTATATTCCCATGCAGTTGTAAGAAATAATACAGAAAGATCTCATGTACCCTTGATACAATACACACATTTTAATTTCTCTGGGATTAATGCCCTATACTACAATTGCTGGGTGCATGGTAGGTGAAAGTTTAGTTTTATAAAAAACTGCTAAACTGTTTTCCAGTGTGGCTGTACAACTTTACATTATTACCAGCAACACATGAGTGATCCAGTTTCCCCACATTCTCTCCAGTATTTGGTGCTGTCACTATTTTTTTTTAACCATTCTAATGGGTATGTAGTGATATTTCATTATGATTTTATTTTGCATTCCCCTGATGGATAATGATGTTAAACATCTTTTCATGTACTTACTTGCCATCTGTATATTGATTGCAGTGAAATATTTGTTCATGGCTTTTGTACATTTTCTAATTGGATTTTTTCCCAGTCAGTAGCTTGTCTTTTTATCCTTTTAACAAGGCCTTTTACAGAGCAAAAGTTTGTACTTTCGATGACATCCATGTTTACCATTTTTTTCTTTTATAGATCATGCTTTTTGTGTCTAGTCTAAGAAATCTTTGCTTAGCCTGAGATCCTAAAATTTTCTCTTATTGTTTTCTATACATTATATAGCTCTGTTTTTCCATTTAAACCTGTGATCTATTTGGATTTAAATTTTGTATAAGCTGTGAAGTTTAGGTTGAAGATGTTGTGGGAATATACTTGATTTTTGCATGCTTATATTTTATCTTGAGACTTGCATATTAGTTATAGAAGATTTTTGGAGATACTTTGGAATTCTTGCCTATAGATGGCCAATTACTCTAGCACCATTTGTTTAAAAAAGCTACCCTTCCTTCATTGAATTGCTCCTGTACCTTTGTCAAAAATCAGTTGGGCATATTTGTGTGTATCTGTTTCTCTATTTACTATTGTGTTCCCTAGACTTATATGTCTTCCCCTCAACGAATACCACACAGTCATGATTACTGTGGGTATAAAATGTCTTGAAGTTGTATCAACTAATTATTTTCACTTCATATTTTCTCAAAATTATTTTTGCCATTATAGTTCCTTTGCATTTTCATATAAATGTTTTAATAATCTTGTCTATATCTACCACAAAATCTTGCTACAATTTTGATAGCAATTGCATTTAACCTTTATATCAATCTGGGGAGAACTGACATCTTTACTGTGTTGAATCTTCCCATCCATGAACATGGTATGTCTTTCCATATATTTACATCTTCCTTGATTTATTTAATCAGTTTTTTTTGGTAGTTTTCAGCCTACAAGTCTTTAATATATTTTGCTATATTTGCCACTAATAATATCTTATGTTTTGAGCAGTTGTTAATAATATTTTTAATTTCAGTGTCCACATGTTCATTGATAGTATACAGAAATATATTTGATTTTGATTATTTATCTTGCAGCTTGGAACCCTTCTGAGCTGATTAATTCTAGAACTTTATTTGAGATTCTTCTGGATTTTTTACATAGATAATTATACTATCTGCAAATATGGATAGTTTTATTTCTTCCTCTTTAATCTGTATGCCTTTATTTCCTTGCTTTAGTCTATTGGTTGCCAATATTATGTTGAATAAGGCCGTGAGAGTGGACACACTGGCCTTGTTCCCAGTCTTAGGGAACAAAAGCATTGTCTGTCAACATTAAGTATAATGCTACCTTTTGCGTTTTTAAAAATAGATTTTCTTTGTCAAATTGAGGAAGTTTTCCTCTATTCTTATTTTGCTGAGAGATTTTATCATAAATAGATGTTGAATTTTGTTAAATGATTCTTCTGCATCAATTGATACAATCCTGGAATTTCTCTAGATTGTTAATATGGCAGATTACATTGACTAATTTTTGAATGTTGAACATTCATGCATTCTGGTCGTGTATATCTGGAATAATTGGTGATGGTATCATAATTTGTTATGGTATATAATTTTCTTTATATATTGATGATTTCTATTTCCTAATATTTTGTTAATGGTTTTTTACACCTACATTCAAGAGGAATATTGATTTGTAGTTTCCTTTTTTCCTACTATCTTTGTATGGCTTTGTTATCAGGATAGTAGTAATAGCTCCATAAAATGAATTGAAAAGTATTCTCTCCATTTTATTTTCTGGAAGAGATTGTATAGAATTGGCTTTAGTTATTCTTTAACCACCTGGAAGAATTTTCTGGTGAAACTATCTGGGCTTAGATATTTCTACTTTTGAAGTTTTAAAATTACATATTTAATTTTCTTAATAGTTCTAGTGCTATTCAAAGTATGTATTTGATATTGAGTGAATTATAGTTGTCTGTGCTTTTTCAGGAATTGGTTCATTTTATCTATGTTTCTGCAGGGTTTGTAGTGATATGCCCAGTTTCATTACTGACATCAATTATTTATGTCTTCTGTATTGCTAGAGGCTTGCTAAATTTTATTGGTCTTTTCAAATAACTGTTTCTTTGCTTCATTAATTTTCTCTATGTTTTCTGCTTTCAATATCATGGTTTTCTGCTCCAATCTTTAGTATTTCCTTCCCTTTCCTTGTTTTGAGTTTATTTTTCTCTTTCCTGTTTAGATTCCTGAGGTGAAAGCATATATTATTGGGTTGAGGCTTTTCCTGCTTTGTAATGTAAGCACTGAGTACTATAAATTTTTCTTCAGCACTGCTTCAGCTATGTTCCACAAATTTCACTGCATTTCCATTTTATTCAGTTCAATGTTTTTATTTGTTTCTGTTTTAACTTTCTTTGAGACTTCCTCTTTCACACATGGGTTATTTGGAAGTCTGCTGTTTAGTTTCCAAGTTCTTGAATATATTTCTGTTATATTTCTGTTATTGATTTCTGTTTTGGTTCTATTGTGGTTGGGTTTATGGTCCAGAATATGATCTGTGTTGTTATTATATGAGAATTCCTAGAAAGTATGTGTTTTCTGTTGTTTTGGGCCAGAGTATTGTATAAATGTCTATTAGATACATTTGATTAATGGTGTTACAGTTCTTATATATCCATAATGATGTTCTGTCTAGTTCTAGCAACTGTCAAGAAAGAGGTGTTAAAGTTTTCAGCTATCTATTTTTCTCCTTTCAGTTCAATCAGTTCTTGCTTCACATATTTCACAACTTATTGTTTGATGCCCGCACATTTTTTATTTGTATATCTTTTGGTGAATTAACCATTTGGTCATTGTATAATGCCCCTCTGTGTTCTTGGTAGTTTTATTAGCTCTAAAATCTACTTTTTCTTTGTCTTTTCTTTTTTCTTTTTTTGACAGAGTCTCGCTCTGTTGCCCAGGCTGGAGTGCAGGGGTGTGATCTCAGTTCGCTGCAACCTCTGCCTCCCAGGTTCAAGTGATTCTTCTGCCTCATCCTCCTGAGTCGCTGGGATTACAGGTGTGAGGTATCATGCCTGGCCCAAGATTTACTTTATTTGATATTAATATAGCCACATCTGCTTACTTTTAAAATTAATGTCTGCATGGCATATTATTGCTATTCCTTAATTTCCAATTTACCTCTATCATTATAGCTTACCCACTGATGTAGCTTTAGCAGCTGCTGTCCCAGTTCTCAAATATCCAGGCTAGCTTGGTGGCCCCTTTATCCATGGGTCATTTATTTAATCCAATCTGCCAATCCCTGCCTTTAATTAGTGTTTTTAAACCATTTACATTTAATGTAATTATTCATAGTTTAATCTGATGTCTGTTATTTTATTTTTTGTCTTCTCCTTATTTTCTGTTTCTTTTTTGCTCTTGTCTTTCTTGTCTTGTTTTTTCTCTTCCCTTTAACATTTTTTAGATCTCCTTTTGATTAATTTATAGAGTTTTTGATTATATCTCTTTGTATGAACTTTTTAGTTATTGCTCAAATATCACATTTTATATTTATAACACAGGCTACTGATGTTGACATTTTAACAGTTCAAGTGAAGTGTAGAAATCTTACCCATTATCCCTCCCTATTAATAATATAATTGTCTTAAATGTCTTTTCCTACATATATTTATAACAAGTATATGAGATAGCCTTACAATTTTTGCTTTAACTATCAATCATGCATTAGGAAACTCAAGAAGAAAGGGAAATGTATTTAATTCATATTTTCACTCTTTTTAAAATGAATTTCATAAAATCTAGATTGGCAAATTTAGAAATAAAATTTCTAAATGTTGTCATGTCTAATGCTTATTGTCTGCTTATTCTATGCCAGGAAATGTTCCAAGTCCATTACCTGGACTCATTCATTTGATCTTCATAACAAATTGGGGAGCAGGGTATTCGGAGTGCTGAACTCTCCCCATGCCTGGTCTACAGCTGAGGAAGGGGAGACTCGGCTATAAACACTCTATAAAAAACACTTTATAAAAAATTTCTTCTGAACAATTACAATGATGCCTGTACACTATTTGATCTACGTACAGTTATCTTACTGACAAGTCTCTTTTCCAGATCTGCACAGATGTAGTAAAATGACTTTTGTTGTATCTCAACATTTCTTCATCCCTCATCTCTTTTTTAGAGATGTTGCCTGATATATTAAGTAGGTCTATTTGCAAGTGAAAGGTGTTTAAATGCAACTGTCATATCTGCTGCCACTGGAAAAACTTGGGTTATTCCACTTGAATTTTAATGATGTTTTTAAATCTAATGTACATTTACCAACTGATAGTGATGACCAAGATGAGACCTGAACTGTAGGATGGAATTCTGGCACATTAGATTATTTGAACTTTTTTTTTTTTTTTTTGACTCTGATGTCTATTATCTGATGTGTGATGAGGACATCTCTGAACTTCATCATTCACAGATGATTCTGTGATTTTTACAATAATGATACTCAGGTTCAGCTGAAAAACATTTGAAAACACTGTCCCAAGCCTCAGTTATTTGTCTCTCTTTACCTTTATTGGAGTGTACAAGTTGATCATTTTTCAATGTTTCTGCCTGAATAAATCAAAGTCATCAACCTTTCTCCCTTTGGGTTTAGTCAGTTACCTTTGCTGATTCTTTGATGGCAGCACATGCTGATATAGTTCAGCAATATCTGGAAAGGTGGCTGGCATACCCATTCTCACCATCTCCTATGTGAGAGGCAGCCAGGATGACCCCGTGTGAGGAGGAGCTGTCCTTGCTCAAACACCATGCCCTGCAGCGTGAGTGGCTCTCCTCTACTCTCCAGCCACTGGGTTTTCCCACTCCTGGAGCCAACATTCTTGAGCCACTAGAGGACACCAAGTGCCATGTTTAATTACATTTTCTCCTTTCCTCAATGTCTACCCTGGCTTTGAGGACAAAACAAGTTTGAGTTTTATTGTATAGCATCAGTGAATAAATGGATAAAGAAAATATGGTAAATATACATATTAAAATACTATTCAGCTCTAAGAATAGTACTAAATCTTATCCCATTTGCAGCGACATGGATGGAACTGAAGGTTATCATATTAAGTGAAATAAGTCAGGCACAGGGATATTGCATGTTCTCATTCATAGGTGGGAGCTAAAAAAGTTGATTTCATGGAAGCAGAGAGTAAAATGATAGAGGCTGAGAAGTGTAGGGGGGATGAAGACAGGTTTGTTAGTGGGTATGAACATAGAGTTAGTCAGAAAGAATAAGTTCTAGTGTTCAATAGCACAGTCAGGTGAATAGAGTTAACAATATTGTGTGTGTGTGTGTTTATATATATATATATATATATATATATATATAATGATTATTATTATTTGAGATGGAGTCTCGCTCTGTTGCCCAGGTTGGAGTGCAGTGGCACGATTTTGGCTCACTGCAATCTCTGCCTCCCAGGATCAAGAGTTTATCCTGCCTCAGCCTCCTGAGTAACTAGGATTATAGGCATGCCACGAAGCCTGGCTAATTTTGTCTTTTTAGTAGAGACAGGGTTTCTCACCATATTGGCCAGGCTGGTCTCAAACTCCCGACCTCAACTGTTCCACCTGCCTTGGCCTCCCAAAGTGCTGGGATTACAGGCATGAGTCACTATGCCTAGCCACAATATATTGTATATTTCCTAATAGGTAGAATAAAAGATTTGAAATGTTTCTAACACACATAAATGATAAATGTTCAAGGTGATGGATATGTTAATTACCCTGATTCGATCATTGCACATTGTGTGTGTGTATCAAAGTACCATATGTACCCTGTAAATATGTACAATTATGATGTATCAATAAACACACACACAATAAACTTGTTGTATGCCTTTGTGAACCAAACTCGAAATGGAGTTTAAGAAGCATATTTCTAGGATAAAACCAGAAAGGCTATTTGAAAGTCCCTGAAGAGAAACTTGGCTTTGAAACAGCTTCTGCATTTTTCTACTTCCATATAATGTGATGATAACATTTCCCTCCCATGATTATGTGAGAATTAAGTGTAAAAGCTGACACTTACTGCATGATGATGCATCACGAGTACTGCCTGAAGACCTTTAGTATCCACAACAACTGACATGTTGTGTTGAACACACTCATACTTCATTTGATTGAATGGACTTACAGCCTACCTTACTGACACAGAGACCCTCTTAATAGGGAGCTTTCAGGATGTCCCCTGACATTTTATGGTGATTTATATATTTTAAAATATGAACCTATAGTTATTGCCTCAAAACACTTTAAATAAAACAAGCACGAAGTGGTTTTTTTTTTTTTTGTAACTGTGGTCTCTTCATTTGTCAGATTATTTGTGAGTCAGCTCACAAATAACAATTCACAAATTAGCTCACAAATAATTCACAAATCAGCTCACAATTAATAATTCACAAAGTAGCTCACAAATAATAAACAAGCTATGAATCCATAAATTCATAGAATATGAATGTAGTAATTCTTTAAAGAAAAGATTCTTAAAGTTAGAAAGGACCTTAATCTTTTCTCTTAAGCCATTTCTAATTTGAAGCAGGAATTAGAATCTGTCGTTTTCAGGCACTGCTTCAATACATGCTTCATTCTTGTATTCGTTCACTCAATGAGTATTGACTGTGCATGTACTATATCCACGTGATTCGTTAGGCACTGGGTAAAAAGGTCCCTAAGAAACTTAAAATCATGTGAAAGAGCATTTAAAGGTGGCAGGACCTACATTGAGTGTTGTCATGTCTAATGCTTATTGTCTGCTTATTCTATGCCAGGAAATGTTCCAAGTCCGTTACCTGGACTCATTCATTTGATCTTCATAACAAATTGGGGAGCAGGGTATTCGGAGTGCTGAACTCTCCCCATGCCTGTTCTACAGCTGAGGAAGGGGAGACTCGGAGCAATTCACTGCGACAGAGTTCCCACCCAGGCAGCCTGAATCCAGAATCTGGGCTTTTAATGAGGATGCCATAGAAGTTGCTAGAACGTAGTGAAGAAGTACCCAATTCAGCAAAGGGGGCTGGGGGCTGTGAGCTGTCACAGCTTGCTTCTTATAAGGTGGTAGCCAGAAACCAGGTATGGGGAACATGCCTTATACAAACAGGGCATTGGCCTTGGGTAGTTCATGAATGTATTCCTGAAAAATAAGGAAACACAAAATGAAAAGCTTCCAAATGTTATAAAAAGAGGGGAGGAAGGGAGTGCGTGAGAGGAGCCCACAGAACAGTACCCTGTGGGGAGATAAGAGAGCAGTCAGTGAGAATGGCAGGTTCTCTTTCTCATTTCCGTGGCGATGTCACTGAGACATATGCTCCAGCCGTTTCCATTCCTGCCGTTTGCCAAGATCCACCCGCTCCGCCCACCAGCCCCCACGCAGGCCGTTCTCTCCGCTGACGCCCTCACCCTCCTAGCCTGGCGACACTGTCCTCCTCTCAGCGCCGTTTCCTGGGGAGCAGATCCTGGCCCCACGACTGCGTGCATCCCTCCATTGCACATTTTCCTAGCACCCGCGGGTTTTCCCTCCTAGCATTCCCTGTAACTGTCATGAAGTCACTATTTGCTAAGTGCCTGTTAATAGACTGACTGGTCCTTCCTCCCGATTCTGAACTCTATGAGGACAAGCGCTGTCTCTCCTTTGTTGACCACTGCCCACCTGTCACCTAGGATAGGGCCAAGTTCAAAGTAAGTGCCTGCTGTCAGTTGGAATGTGGCCCCTCCGCACATCCCACCAAAAAAAAAAAAAAAATGAAATAACAAGAAAAAGAAAAACAGATATGTTAGAGTCCTAAACCCTGGCACCTTAGAATATGACCTTATTTGGATATAAGATATTTACACCAAGTTAAGGTAAGGGCATTAGAGTGGCCCCAATCCAGGATGACTAGTGTCCTTCTAAAAAGGGGAAATTTGAATACAGGCATACACACAGGAGGGGGCCATGTAAACATGAAGGCTGAGATCCGGATGATGCTTCTATAAGCCCAGGAACACTGATGGCGGCCAGCGAAGCACCGGGGCTGGGGGAGAGGCCCAGGACAGAGTCTCCTTCACAGCCTGAGAGGGAACCAACCCTGCCCACACCTTGATCTTGGACTTTTGGCCTCCAGACCATGAGATGGTGCATTTCTGTTGTTAAGCACCCGGTCTGTGGGACGTTGTTGTAGCAGCCCTAGCAAGGCAGCATAGTGTCTTCTAACTATTTATGGGATGCAAGAAGGAAGAAATGATGGGTGGAATCACTCAGCCCTTCCCCTTACTTAGAATAAGGGTGCATAGTCAATGTTTGTTGCTAATGCGATGCTTAGCCCGTGCCATGATTGTTTGTTTGTTTGCTTTATTTCTCCTTGTTAATTTCAAAATCAGAAGAGTTTAACTAACTTTAGCTCTCAAAAACCCCAAAATGATGTCTAACCTCCACAACATTTTGAATATTTTTCACCCTGCTGGGTTTTTGACCCGAGAGAAGGAAGCAGAAAAAAGATTGTGGTGTCTCCTGAGACCATGTGTGACACCAGGTATAATCATCAAATCTCAAAAATCACATATCGTAGAACCAGCATGCAACTGTAAGGGGAAAATATGAGTCATCCAAGCATTTGCGATGATCTTGTCATGCACGGATTGGTACCTGGCAGGCTTAGTTTTCTCTAGGATTTCTGCCACCAACTGTCACTACATACTTTTCAATTTGCGCTTCCCCATCACTGCCAAGAATGAAGTACCTCCATGCGACTTGTAATTACCGAACTGCTCCCACCACCCCCTCCCCAAATCCCTGGAGGTTAAATTTGCACATTCTGACAAAGTAATTTCTTGATTTTGTTTTCTGTAGGAATCATTGAGGGTTTACTGAACGAGTGCTATTGTAAACAGAGTCAGTGTCAACACCAGAAAGTGCTTCCTGATCTGGCAGTTTAATTGCTCTCCTGATTTCCATGCTTTTCACTCTTTATGAAATGTGACGTTTTCTCTACATCTTGTACAAATACAGGTATGAAAACATTGGGCTGGTTTATAAGTTAGAGCTAAAGTCTAGTTAAATGGCAAAGGTGATTTTTGCAAATAGATACATAGCTTTTTTAAAGCCAGCTTCGAGGTTTCTCAGGCATTCCTGAATGGCTTGAGATTGAGGTTCCAGGAGGCAGAACATCGAGGGAAGGCAAGGGATTCTCTGGAATGTTATTCAGTGGACCTGAGCACTCAACTGCCACTTGAAACGTTAGTTTGTCGTTGGCCCTTTGGCCAATGGCACAAGTACCTCGGCTGCACTGGGGGCTGCCTTTCAGCTACATTAACCTGCTTTATAGTTCATAACGAGCCTTGGTGATTGAAGTCCACATAGCCACTGTGGGTTCACCTCTTGTCCAAGACACAGGCATGTCTCTCGACCCCCTGACCTCCCATTCTCTGAGTTCTTGCTTTGCCCCCTACATCTGTTCTGTATCTTCAGATTCCCACCTCTGGCTTTTCCCTGGATTCTTGATCTCAGCCTGTCAGCACACTTAAATGTACACCATCCTTAAAACAATAAAACAAAACAAAATCCTTTTAACAAGACTCCTCCTTGGAGGACAACCCTCTTCTCTCATTTCCTTTCTTGCAAAAGCCTGCACAATGGACATGTATCATCTTCTCTTTCCCACTTTCCATTCACATTGGCTACTACTCTGCCACCTCCCTGTACCTGCTCTCATTAAAGTAACCACTGTTTCTCTAATTTCCAAACTAGGAGGCTGTCACTCCTCATCCTCCTTGGCTTCTGAAGCACCTAACAGTGTTGAGTGAGCAGCTATGTGCTGAGCTAAGACAAGGGAGTTTGGTAGCTAGTAAAAGGACAAATGGGTATCCGAGGTCAATGAATGGTTCTGAGGTCAAGTATAATTCTCTGCTGGGAATCATTGACAGACTCAACTTCATCTCTTTTTCCCTGAACTGGCAGTTATTTTAGGATTTGTACTCATATCTTTCTCTTCTCTTCTTCATTTTCTTCTCTCATCTTATCTTCTCTACTTACTTATATGTTCTTCCTGGGCGACATCATCATTTTTTTTCCAGCTTCAAGTATATCTTGAATTCCAAATCTTTATTTTTACTAAAGCCATTGGCTGAACTATAAACCTATATTTTCAAATGCTCATTGGACATAACTCCAGTAAAGTGTTATAGGCATTTCACCTTAACACACAAAAGGAACTTGATAATATCTTTAAGTTTGTTCCTCTCTTTATATTCCTTTTTTGTTTGAGATGGAGTCTTGCTCTGTGGCCCAGGCTGGAGTGCAGTGGTACAACATCCACTCACTGCAACCTCTACCTCCCAGGTTCAAGTGATCCTCCTGTCTCAGCCTCCCAAAGTGCTGGGATTACAGGCATGAGCCACCATGCCCAGCCCCTGTCCTTATGTTCTTCATTTCAGACAAATGGCAGTGCCACTTTCCAGTATTCTAAGCTAGAATCTTGCATATGTCCCCAATTTTTCTTCTATTTTATTTCTTACCTTCAATGTCATCAAGTTTGGTCAATTCTTCCTCATACACAACTCTTAAAAAATTCATTGTTGCTTTTCCATTTGCACTGCCATAGTTTTGGTTCTGCCCTTAGCATCTGATATGGTTTAGCTCTGTGTGTCCACCCAGATCTCATGTTGACCTGTAATCCCCATGTGTCAGGGGAGAGACCGGGTGGGAGGTGATTGGATCACGGGGGTCGGATTTCCCCCTTGCTGTTCTTGTGATAGTGAATGAGCTCTCCTGAGATCTGATGGTTTAAAAGTGTGGCACTTTCCCCTTCACTCTCTCTCTCTCCTGCTGCCTTGTGAAGATGTGCCTTGCTTCCCCTTTAGCTTCAGCCGTGATTGTAAGTTTCCTGAGGCCTCCCCAGCCATGCAGAACTGTGAGTCAATTAAACCTCTTTTCTTTATAAATTACCCAGTCTCAGGTAGTTCTTTATAGCAGTGTGAGAACAAACTAATACAGCATCTCTAAGGCCCGATAACCAAAACCTAGTCCAGCACTTTTTTCCTCAAGGAAGTGCAAATCCCTTGGGCGTCATGTTCAAATGTGGATCCTGACTTCGAAGATCTGTGTGGGGCTTGAGATTCTGCAATCTGGCAAGCTCCTAAGGGCTGCTTCTTGTTCCTGGACCTCACCCTGAACAGTAATGACCTCAACAACTACTACCCTTCTCTCAGGCCTCATTCCCTCTGCCTTACCACTTGCCCACCCTCTGTTCCACCCCAGCCTCCACCCTGCACACCACTCCTGCACTCCCAAGTCATTCTCTATAATCGTGACTATCTTCTAAATTCTTAAAGTGGAAATATGATAATGTCACTGTCCTGTGTTAACAGCTTTAATGGGGGTCCCATAGCCTTCAGGATAAAGTTCAAGCTGCTTAATAGGAGATGCAGGGTGACTTTGATTATCTGAAATCCACCTGCGTCTTATCCCCCATGCCCTCTCAGTCTGCAGAAAATGTATGCACTTTTTTTTTAAGAGAAAAGGATCAAATAATGTGCTGGATTCTCAGAGTGTTATTTGGGTTTGAGAAAGAGGAATGACCACAGTCCTTTCTGCATTAGGAATTTTTTTTGTTTGTTTTTAGAGTATGATTCAGAGACCAATTTATTCCCAAAGAAAATTGCCATTACATCTATTAAGTTTTTATATTAAAACATTTTCTACCAAGGGATGACTGTCACTCTGAGCAACTGTGCCACTGTGAATGCCTCATGTGTCAGCACAGCTTATTATCTAGCTCTGAGCAGAATGGGAGTGCTGCTGAATTAGTCTTGAGGAAATTTTATAGATGAGGAAGCAGTAGCCCACATAGATTAGACAATTTCCCTGAATTTATAAAACTCAGACAGTGCCAGAGACTAGACTAGACCTTGAATCTTTGGGACTCTTGTCTAGTACTCTTTGCACTGAACCATGAAACACCATCCTTCCTTAGCAAGGAAAGATGGGGTCAAAGTGAGATGTGACAATGAGGAAGTGTGGCAAGTTAAAGCAGCAACAAAGCTACATGCCTCAGCTTCTGGGGTTCTTCCTTCTTCAATATTTCACTTCAGGGGAAGATGTGGCAGTGCTTAGATGCTAACAGAAAAAACCAGGAGACACAGAGCTGGTGTGGCAATGCAGAAAAGGCCCGTGGATTGTGGCTGGAAGAGGTGGCCAGGAGTGCCAAGTGTCAGGGTGGTGGCCTGTAAGCCACAGGTAGGGGAATGTAGCTTCGTAGCCTGGTGAAGAGGGGACAGGGCTGGGGACACGTCCAAGGAGTCATGTTGGTTGCATTCCAATATTTTGCTGCACTGATGAAGTGACAGGGAAGTGAGTTTCTGCCCAGCATTGAGGAATCACTCACAATTCCGTTGTGCAGGAATGAGAGAAGACGCACTGTGCTGTGGGAGGCGTTGCTCCAGGACTCCAGCCGAGTTTCCGTGACTACAGAGCATGGATATGGAGGATGCGATTCCTCCATAGTACAGGAGACTGATCAGATGACCTTGGGTTTCTCCTTCTGCACCCATTGCCAAGACCATATGTGCTTAAGTGAGGAAGCTGTGAATAAGGGGTGCTTCCCTCATGGCCAATTCAGGGATCATAGATGTAGGTGAGGAGGTACACGGATGACAGCCAGGATCAGGGAGGGCATTTTTAACCAGGCTGCCTCCCCCGAATCTGCTCTAAAGATGGGACTATTTTCTCCGTATTATTTTATAGGATCTTTTATGGCTAACTCATCTTATAGATTAAGCCAGTTGTCAAAATGTTTCTGTAAAGGGTTAGAAAGTAAATTGTAGCCTTTGTGGGCCACAAATTTTCTGTGTTAACAACTCAACCACATTGTTGTAGCACAAAAGCAGCCCACAAACAATCTGTGAATGGATGGGTATGGCTGGGTGTCAATAAAACTTTATTTAGTTTTAAACAAAACAGACGGCAGGTAGAGTTTGGCCCAAGGGATTAAATTATCTTATGGAACAATTGGCTTTGTATTTAATTTGATACATTGGTTGAAAAACAGAAAATGGATTCTGCATGTATTGATTTTCTACAATGTGCATCTGACTATATGTGTTTATTTGTATGATCTTTGTTAGTCCTAGAAATAAAAAAGGCTTCCATGTGAGTGCTAGTTTAGGCTTTGGCTAATGTATTAAAACATTGCCTCAATGTCTGGTCAATCTTGGTCAAGAGGACAAGGGCTACTTCTAGTTCCTGCAAGAGGCTTCAAAACCTGCCAGCATGGTGAAGGGAGGGATATGTGGATATGTGTTGACTTTCAAAGCTGTAAATTTACTATCAGGATTATTCATCTTTAAAGACACTGATTTATCTTTTGGGGACATTTTTAAAATGTCAAAATAAATAGCACTTGACATTAAAAAAAATAGTATTGAGCACTCAGAGAGGGTGAGTAGGAGAAGCATCTGGACATGTGGAGGCTGGGTTCCTGGTACCCCCGTTCATTACTCTTTTTGGAATGATGGCAAAAGGTGGCCACCACTACATCTTTGGATCTGTTTAATCTCCAGCTGTGAATATGTGATCAGTCATCTCTTGGACAACAAAAGACTTTTCCCAGGATGAGCAGTGATTTCCATGTGGTTGCAAGGGCTTTATATATGTGCGGTTCTGACAGGGTTCGGCCCTGATGATGTCATCTCTCGACTTGGTGTGACTTACAGTGAGCATGATTCAATGGCTTGCAAAGGAGATCCTGCACTTACCACTTCTACTATTGACTTTAACTAACTTATTGTCTTGGGTGAGTTGTGCCCCAGTTTTCTTCCTAATAGAAATGAGGAAAATAATACTTACAAGTTTGCAAAGCTCCCTGAAATTTCAAGTGTTACATACTATCAAAGTGAAAATTATTATAATCCCTTCTCAGTTGCTGCCTTCTATTTACAAACAGCTGACTTCTGCCTCCCACTTCTGGATGAGACATAGAACCAGCACCCAAAGCAGACTCAAAAGTTTTTAAAGGAAACGTGTGTTCCATGGAACATGGAAAATTAGGAGCGCAACTTTCAGAGTGTAAGGAAACCGAGATTACCTGCTGCAGACGTTTCAGGCTATTTGGCTAAAATTCCTTCATGGATGGCAATGTATAGGGTGAATTTAGCTCAGCAAATAAACACTTTTCAATTCAAATGTGAAACTAGGGAGCTATCTAAGGCAAAACCGTTTTTGAAGAATCTTTATTCTCTGTAGTTTCTTGGAATTAAAATTTCTTGAAAGAATTTTATTTTATTTTTATGCATTTTAAAGCACATCATTGCAAGTACATAAAATCCACCTTCAGAATCCCCACTTCCACCATTTTCAAAATGGATAGGGCTGGCTGAGCACTGGCATGACATTCGTGGGGGTTTTCTAAGTTGCATTCTGTCATGTGCTTGGTGAAATATGGCAAAGCATATGGACGGTGGGTGATTCATCTCCATGTAAGATTTCCTGGGAAAAGCTGGGATGCATTCAGTTTGCAGAATTTCCCCCACGGTAACCCACTGAAGCTTTTGCCTTAATAAAATGGAAGTATTTGCTCTTTCCAATTTTCAAGTGAATGATCCCCCAGTGTGCTTTTTAAATGAATGTTTTTCTCATTTTTTGACTTTGTGTGACCCCCATCTCCTTTTCTAGTCTTAATCATGAGGGCATCACCCAATTCAGGCAGCTGGAAGGGGTCTTTTAGTTTACATGTTCAGTGGAGGTGCTGGGGACCAGTATCGAGTCTCTTGCAGTTATAGGTGTCCCTAAGTGAAAGGACATTATTAAAACTGGAAGAATATTTCAACAAATATATTGCAGCATATAGCTTAGTGATGGCAGAAGGTAAATATTTAGGCAGCACAAGCTGTTGATTGCAAAAACTAATTCTGTGGGAGATCAGGGTCAAGTGCACATACTAACAGTCTTTGATTTACAAGCATTATTCAAAAATCGAGCTTAATTTACAAAATGCTAAGTGGTCATGTTTGCTCTTGCCTTGAAGTACACATCTTTCATATTTGACTTCAAAGCATCAAAGACATGACTGGAAGAAGCTTGAGATGTGGAAGTTTTTCACAACAATATGAAAATGCAAAAAAGCAGAAAATTTTTCTTTAAGTAGTTTGCTATAATTAAGCATTTATTTTACATTCATAAAATGCAAAATGGCGAACCATTGAAAATTGTTTCCTTTAATTTGTTTACTTTTAAGCTTTAAAAATGTTTAATGTCAGAAGAATTCATGCTATTTGGTTCAATGAAAAAATCAGGATACAAATATGTACACTATGTTTCCATGTCTATAAATTTATCAGCAATATGAGGTTAAGCCATATGAAATTGCTGTTTTGTATGTCAAAATGTGGTTTGATATAATATCAAATGTTTCAAACTATATGGACAAGAGAAAAATGCACACACACAGAAGAGAAATACCAAAAGTTTGGTATGATGATTATAGACAACTTAAATATTTTTTCATTTTCTTATCTATACTTTCTAGAATAAATGTGTATTGCTTTTTTATAAGAATTTTTTTTTTTTTTTTTTTTAGATATTCCAGTGGCAAACCTTTCATTGCAAAAAGAATGGGACCAGGAGTTTATTCATACTGTTTGTCAGTGAATTTGAGGGTTTTTAGTCTCTGGTCTCCAGAGTTCTTTAGAAATTACCAGACTTAGTGAAAACACCTTCCCTTTCATGCCCTTCCCTTCTTTTACCTAAGTCGACTCCCCCAACTTAACTATGAGACACAAGCATCTGGCCCTAAGCAGGTGCTCAATCGATACTTGTGAATGATTGGAGGAGTGAATACATGATGGGAAGAAGGATTAAATAAATATTATGCAATACTTTCTGAAGTTTTGCTGATTTCCTCCCAATTGAACCAACTGGCTTGTCCTAAGAATAGGCTGTGGCTGGATCATAAGTCCATATACAGGTAATGTTAAGAAGAAAATCAGGCCTACAGAAAAAGACAAAAGCAAAAAAGACCTCCAATTTAGTTTAGAAGTCTCTTTGCAATTCTTTTGGATAGGATATTATATACCAGGGTAAAAGTCACAGCTCATTATGAATTTCTGGAAGATGTTAGCACTCCTGGCCCCTTACCATAGAGCATTTGGAAACAGCTTGACCTACAGGGCAAGTGAAGGGTGCCTGGCCTGGGCCCCTACTCCACTTTTGGGTCCTCCAGAGACTTGCGCGCGCGCACACACACACACAAACACACACACACACACACACTCAGAACTTCAGCTGTTAAGAGAAGCACTTAAAAATACCCCTTCCCAGGGGTAAGTGTTAACGATATTTTATATGTCCAGTTTTCCTTTCAATGACTATTCACTTCTACTTTGGAAGGAGGATGGAGGGGAAAAAAGATAGAAAGGGAGAAAGAGAGGAAGGAAGGAAAGAAGGGAGGGAGGGAGGGAGGAAGGGGAGAGGAGGGAGGAGGATGGTGGGAGGAAGGAAGGAAAGAAAGAAGGAAGGAAGGAAAGAAAGAAGGAAGGAAGGAAGGAAGGAAGGAAGGAAGGAAGGAAGGAAGGAAGGAAGGAGTAAGTAATAGGAAGGGAAAAAGAAGGCAGGGGGAGATTTTTAGCCATGTGAAATCGTTCAGTCTTTTCTTTTCGCAAGTGGTAGTAACAAAAGTCCAAAGGGTAGATATTGATTATTTACCAGGTCACATGATCGATAGAGTATTATTTCCATCCTGTGATTACCTCTAGGTGAGGCAGGCCAGCCTAGATGGTTCTAAGCCTCTGAGTAGAGCATGTCCTGAAATTAACTTGAATAACCTAATTTCTGCCTTCAAGTCGATCTCTTCCTACACACTGTGCTAAGGGCAAAACAGAAGTGAAACAAGAAAGATTAACAAGATCTGTGCCAGCTATTAGAGGAGAAGTCATTGTTTGTTCGCATTTAAGGAGAAAAGGACACTATTTGGCAGCGTGGGGTGCCTCTGTGCCGGCTGGAGCTAATGATCGTCGTCAGGATTGAGCTGGGAGGCAGGTGCCCATCGCCTGGCCCTGACTGCTCTTACTGACAGGTGCTAATGGGAGGGGCAGGACACAGCTGCCTGAGCAGGAATCCCATTATCCTTTGCTGAGTATTGATTCGCGCTGTGGGATGCTTCCTTTCTGGCTGTGTTAATTTTCACAATGCACATTTACCTCGTCCTCGGCACACAGAGAGAGTCAGAGGTGCTTGGGGTAAACGTAATGGGCTCTGCCTTCCAGTCTGCAGAGGTTTTGTCTGTTGGGATGTAGGCTTTCTCTAATTATAGTGCCTGCTTGGGGACGAGGTCTGGAAGAATAGCTTTGCCACTAACATAATTGCCTGAGGTGCATAGCAAATTAATCTAATGACATGAGGTGCATTTGGAAAGTTGGGGTATTTTTTGCATCCATAAACAGTAGTTCTTATTTTAAAACTTGATGTTTTGCACAGAAAATTCAGGAAGTGATCCAACAGTTGAAATCTTAGCCATCTACAGTCATCTGAAAATGTTCACTCTCTTCTTTGTTTACAATTAAGCCTTCTAAAAATTTTTTAGAGCTAATTTAGAGATGATCTGTGCCTTTGGCCATGTTCTGGAATTTAGTGGTTTGTGTTGAAGGGCAAAACATGGGTGGGTTGGGTTTATTGCAGTTAAAATTACTGAGTCTAATGTTTAAAGATGTATTATCACATAGATAAGGCAGATTGTACTCGGAAGAATTACATACTGCAGACTCACCTCTGGGAACTAAAGCGGCATTCCAGTTACCTTCCCTAACTCTCCCTAGCATCAGCCAGTCCATATCATTTACAGAATTTCTACTTGTTAAAGAACTCCTTCTTATTTTGAGCAAAATCCTGTATTTCTATAGATTTTATGTGAGTATATATATGTGTGTGTGTGTGTGTGTGTTTTGTATGAAGACAGTGACATGTTAGGTAAGTTTAAGACCATGTTTAAATATTTGTACATTTAGTTTAGTTCTCGAATTGTCCCAATTTCTTTCAGCTTATGTGTCTGCTTTCTTAGGATACAGAAAGTGTACGAGGACTTACTTTTGAAGGGATGCTAGTCACATTGGCTGCTTTTGTTTTCCAACCTCTATCTGGTCGTTTCTCTGTGAGTATTCCACCCTCAGCATTGTGCTTGTGTTTCTGCATTAGTGATGGACTAGGGCTCTTTTGATTCCTTTATAAAGACAAAGTGATACAAAGCAAGGAGAGATGGGCCCAGGACCTTGAGAGGAGGCTGTGCTAGCCCTGCCAGCTGTGAGTTCTGTTCTCTGGAATTACATCCCTTGTTCATTTGCCCTGCTTCTGCTTAATGAGGTAAATTCATTCTAGAGGTTTAAATATGTAAAAAGCAGATTTGCTAGGGATAGAACAATGTATATGAGAAGGTCAGAAATGTTTCTTATAATGATGGCATGAACTCCTTCCACTTCCCAGAAAGCTCCAGGTATTTCATATGCAACATTTCCTAGCTTTCTGGAAGAGTTCTAAAGTGATCGGATTTCAGCTTTGCACCCCATTCATTCAATTAGGGCTGTGGAAGCAGAGCACGTCCACTCAAGAGCTGGAGGAAGAGCCAGTCATGGATTTGATGATAATGTCTGTGTCTCCCTAGAACTTGCTGACATAAGAGGCCCGTCTTTTTTAATGCATCATATTTTTCTGGTTATACAAGTTATTATGTAGCTATTGCAGGACATTTTAAAAAATGACAATCATCTATAATTCTGCTATTCAAGAAATAATAACCATTGTTACTATTTTGATAATTTCTGCCCATTTCTAATCATATGATTTCTGTATCCTTTTTATCATTTGCTATTTTGCCAAAAAACATTTCCCTACCACATTAAAAACTCTTGGAGGGTAGAAGTACCAATGACTGAGTAACGTTCAGGGCGAGGAAGAACACTGGGGGAGGTTGTTGCATCTCCGTGAACTCTGAGCACAGTGGGTAGAGGAAGGAGTTCTCCAGGGCAGGTGGGAAACACTGATGGACAAGCTTTGGGAGCCTCTTGGCTTTTAGATTTCTGTCCTCCATTCGATTTTATGAAATGGAAGGTACAGCGGAAATGAATGAGGAGCTGTATAGAGTTAGCATCTCTGAAA